>NC_000011.10:122020909-122323939 GCF_000001405.40 Homo sapiens | reverse complement strand
TTGTGTAAGATGATGGATCTTAATATCTTTATAACATCTTTGTATCTTTTTTTTTCAGACAGGGTCTTGCTCTGTCTCAAATCTTTATTTATTTTTAGCCAAGGTCTAAAAACAAGTATATATATATATATTTTAGACAAGGTGTTGCTCTGTCATCCAGGCTGGAGTGCAGTGATGTCATCTCAGCTCACTCAGCCTCAACCTCTCCGGCTCAAGCAATCCTCCCACATCAGCCTCCCAAGTAGCTGGGACTACAGGTGCAGGCCACCACGCCCAGCTAATTTGTGTATGTTTTGTAGAGACAGAATTTCGCCATGTTGCCTAGGCTGGTCTTGAACTCTTAGGGTCAAGTGATGTGCCTCTCTCGGCCTCCCAAAGTGCTGGAATCACAAGCATGAGCCACTGCACCCGGCTTAAATCTTTACATCTTATTTTTCACTATAATCACAAAGCTTCAATTACACTTAGACAATCTTTGTTGCTTTCTATAATTATGGTGACTTATGTTTGTGTAGATCTGTATAGCTTACAGAGCTGTGTTACACACCAAGTCTCATTTGATCTCTCCATAACCCAGATGAAGGGAGGTGGCATCAAACATGAGTTTGAGTTACTTAAATTCGTCACCTGTAAAATGTGCATGATATTAACATCTGTCGCCTCAGGTAGCTGTGAGGAAAAAAGATCATGCATGTAGCATGCTTAGCAGGGAATCTGTCACATAATCAATGTTGAACATATGTTGGCTGTTTATTTGGTGCTTTGCTCCAGATCTCACACATTCCTGATGACAGACCTGGCCTAGGACGTAGGTGCTCTAACTCAGGTTAATGCTCAAAGTCATACACTGTGCTGTTTTCCAAGATCTGGGTGGGAGACCAGAAAGAGAATTTCTTCGAGGGAAGGATGGAACGTTGGCTTTAACCCTGGGTCTATATATGACAAGTATTTTCATTTAATATGTTCTTATAGGCACCTACTCTGGGCTAAGCACTGTGTTAGACATGAGGGAAACTGGAATATGAGTGGTATAGTGTTTGCACTTGGAGAGCTCACACGTAGTGGGTAAGTCAGATGTATAAAAAATAAACAATGTACAAGCATTTAACAATTTTTTTTCAGGTGAATAATGAAAGCAAGGTGCTTTGGTGTGCACAAGTAAGGAAGCACTCAAGTGCCAGGGGAGTTTGGCAAAGTTATCCTTGAACTGGGTTCTGACTGATGAGTTGGCATTACCTAGACAAAAGGCCAGAGGAAGGAAGGACAGGACGAATAGAGGGAATGGTGCATAGAGTGTAAAGAATTGTGAGAGAACATCCAGGGAATGCAAGTGTTTCCACATAGCTAAAGCACAGTGAGAATCTGAGGCTTTGGCAGAAGTTGAGTTGAAGGAAGTGGGCTGGAGTCAGATTGTGAAGAAATCTGTATGCCACGCCAAAGGGATGAACATTTATTTGTCTTGAAAGCAACGGAGTAACATTGCATGATTTCAAACATAAAATGACATGCTGATTTTTTTTTTAAAAAGAGAGCACTTTGTTGTTTATGTAGAAAAGGCTTGGAGAGTGTGATTACTGGAAGCTGGTTTTAGGTGCTACCATCATCTAGGCAAGAGAAACTGAAGACACACATTAAGACTACAGCAAAGGCACTGGAAAAGCAACTCAGATTGGTGAGATCTTTTGGATATATTTGGCAGGGTTGGTTATTGGGAGGGGAGAGCCATTTAGAAAGAAGGAGTTGGGGTGACTCCCAGGTTTCTGGCTCTGGTGACTGGGTGAATGGTTGGCTATCAACAACACCAGCCATATAGGGTTAAGTACTGATGAGGAGTTCTGTTTAGCTATGTTGAATTTTAGTTTCTGGGGGCCATTGGCAAAAGTCTTGGAAGTATTTGCTATTCTGGAGAGAGACTTGGGATGGCAAAGAGAATATAAATGAGCAATATCAGTGAAGTGGAGAGTTGAAGCGTCAGCTGTGGAAAAGATGTCACAGGGAGAATGGGCAGTGAGAAATTGCTTAGTTTTGTCTGTGTCTGCAGAGACCAGAGGATTTTACCACACAAATGGTAATTGTTGAATAAAGTTCCTCTAAGAACCACAGTTTTGGGCATTTCACTGGGGCTGCACATTTCTCTTACTGGCAACTCCAGAGTGTGTAGAGAGTGATGGGGCTGCTGGTAGGTAGTTGAGTTTCCTTCTCCTACTGCGTATCTTCTGCGATGCCATTGCTCACCTGAGGCTGATGGAATGAAGGTGAGGAGAGGGAAACCAAAAGGGCCCACTCAGCTTCCTATGAGAGACCCCTAGTCTATTAGGTTTGGAGATAGTCCCATTCAACTGTTGGCTGTCATGATGTTTTAGTTCTTTTGAATTTACATTGCCATTCCCAGATGCTGTCATGGATTGTAATAAACTGGTGATGTCAATTATAATCAATATTTTCCTTTGTGTGCAACATTTTTATTTTTAAAAATTTTTATGGATGCCCTCCCCACCTCAGGTCTTTTCTCCAGGAAGCTGCTCCAGAGTGAGTAGCTCTCTAATATTTTTTCTTAGAAGAACTTTTCTTTTCAGTTCAGAATTTTATCAGCAATTCTTATGCTAAAAGAGGTCAGGAGATGAGGCATTTCTCACGTTACCCTTGAAGCTACTCATGAATAATGGCCTATATCACCTCTATTGTCTGCTCCAAAACATAAGCAACCAGACATAAAGGCAGAGGAGAAATTAAAGATCTCTGAATGAGCCAGCAGAGCAGGCTAAGGCTGGGGTAGTGTGAAGAGGTAAAAAATTCAAGGTAGAGCAGATGGTAATGTAGGGGGAAATGTCTGAGTAGATTAACTACTCCACAGATAGAGAATAAGCCATATTCCTGGGTTTAAAGGCAAGAAGAACAACTGAAAAATATTCTGAAATCTTCAGAGTGAGATTAGGGCATCCCTCCCCAAGAGCAACGTAGCTAAAATAAATTAGAGGTCATTATTCCAGGCTGAATGCATAATGCACTAAGCTCACTGGGTTTTTGCTGCCCCTTCCTATAGTTTCCTGTGATTTATGCTGCCAGTGACTGCTGCGTGGGGGAACTCTGTGTCTCTAAATACTTTCTTCCTTCATTGGTGAATTGATTTCACTGAACTCCAACTGGGGTTTTAGGGTTGAGGGGGCCAGACAGACTGGAGAAGGTGCCAAGTGAGACTAGAAAAGCCAAAGTGAGCAAAATAATTCCAAGCAATTCTACAGGTAGACAATACTTACAAAAACAATGCCTTCTTATAGCTTTAAAGCATGGCACCTGCCTAGCAGCAAACTCACCCAAGGCTTTCAAGAGAGTGGCAACTTTTAAATTAAAAACTTGGCTGGGCTTCAATGCTATGCCAGCTGAGTTATTTTAAAATAAGAGCGGGAAACAAAGACCACACCAACTGAGGAGGTCATAGAGTGTGACAAGGGGTCTGTAAGAGGGCATACCGTGCTGCCTAATGGGAGAAAACCGAGTCCTTTGTGCTGGGGTGAGTCCAGGGAGTGATGGATGCTTTATGCGTGGAGGCTCAGACCTTCCTGTCCGGCAGCCTTGCTGCTGCTGGGCTGTGTGAGATGCCTGGCTTGGCAGAGACTGGCCTTTTGTTTCAGTGTCTTCTGAACCAGTGACATCAGATTTGATGGGCTATTGGCGCCTTTAGAGAGGCAAGTTTTATGTTCCTATGTTTTATATTAAAGCTTGTTAGAAGTAAATAGAAAGGATCCCTTTAATCCTAACTGGGAATAAAATAGCTGAGTCTTCTAAATGAGAATAATAATAAACGTACAATAAAATTACTCCAACCCGTTAAGACTTTCTTAAAAGATTACCTCATGCTGTACCTCCATTAAAACAGGAAGGAAGTAAAGCAGCACTGCACTCTGGGCTGAATCTTCCTTGTTTCATTTTTAGACAAATAGTTTTATGCAACAATCCTCTTTCTTCCCCACTCTTTCATAGAAGCCCAGCATTAATGAGGCTAAACCAATGGCTGCACTCTGGTGGCCCCTGGAATATGCTTTTATTTGGTGGGGGCTGGGGTGCATCTCCCATTCCAGAGCTCACAAAGGGGTCTGGAGTTTCTAGAGATCTTTGCAGGAGATGGTTCAGGGACTGTTGTAAGGACTGGCTAACATTCACACCATGTACTCTCTGGACTGAGATGGTAACACATCCTAATCTACAGAATCAGAATTAGAAATGGAAAGGGCTTTGAAAGGTCTTCCTAGACCATCGCTTATTGCCAGGCAGAGGTGCCCTTCAATTACCCTAGACAGATGAAAATCTCCAGATATAGGACCCTAAGCCCTCTGTTTAAATAAGAACCAATATACAGTATTAAACACTCTCCTAAAGATAACTGTCCAGCCCCAGCCAGGGATGGCTCAATTTTGTTATACTCAGAGCCACTTCTTTTTATTTTCCCCACCTACTGAAATCTTACAGATATATGGATTAATTAAACCATTCATTTACCCAACAGGCATTGATATGTTAAGTGCCTAGAGTGGGCACAATACTAAGCACAGCACTGTGGGGAATACAAAAGAACTAAAGGAATAGTCCTAGTCCTTGAGGAGTATATCATCTTATTGAGTGGGCAAGAAAATAATTCACTGAGTGACTTGAGAACAATACAGCACAGTGCAGTGGAAGGATGATACTGTGGGGGCAGACGACATGCTCTGGGATGTAGGGAAGTTTCATGGAATGAGGCCAGTCTTGAATTGGCTTCTGAGGAATGTGCTGGATTTAAACTGGTAGAAAATAGAGGGCTTGGGAGAAACATCTTAATGTCTGTGTAGCTTATACAGGAATTGAGATTTCATTCCTTTCTCTCCCTGGAGACTGCTCCTATGCAGGTTGTAGGGACCATCCTGCCCACCTTATAACCCATATCCTCCACCTTCAGCAATGATCAAAGCTTCTGTGATTTATACTGACAGAGCTTTGTGCTAGTCATTCTCCAATAAGCACCCCTTTTATGAGACATACATATTAGGTGCTGAAGGAGGAATAAGCCCACAGAAAAGGATTCATGACTACACACTTTGCCTTCCTTCCTCGTGGTGGGCAGGACTAAACTGGTATTTGCCTCACCTTTGCCTCCTTTAATGAAGAACTGGCAAGCTCAGATACCCAGGGATCTCTGGTCGTCTAGCGTGGTGCTCACCAGTGGCCGTGTAACTTCCGGTGGGCAGTATTGGTAATTTCTTCAACCTGGTGGCAGCTTTCTCCAAGCCAATGTTCATGAAGATTTTATACTCAAAGCTGGTGGCGCTCCTTATATCTCATGCTTCATATTTGTTTATTTATTTATTTGAGACAGAGTATTGCTCTGTTGCCCAGGCTGGAGTGCAATGGTGAGATGTGGGCTCACTGCAACCTCCACTTCCTGGGTTCAAGCGAATCTCATACCTCAGCCTCCCAAGCACCTGGGACTACAGGTGCTTGCCACCACGCCTGGCTAATTTTTGTATTTTTAGTAGAGACAGGGTTTCGCTTGTTGGCCAGGCTGGTCTTGAACTCCTGGCCTCAAATGATCCTCCTGCCTTGGCCCCCCAACATGCTGGAATTACAGGCATGAGTCACCACACTTGGCTTCATGCTTCATATAAGCTTAAATGCCCCTTCTTTGGGGAATTCTTCCCCTACAGATAGACATAATCATTCCTCTTCTTTTCAGTTGCAGTACTTATATCACAATTTGCAATTATATGTTAACCTGTGCACTTACCTGATTCATGTTTGACTCTCCCACTAGAATGTAAGTTCTATGAGTCAAGGACCTAATTTGTTTTTTGTTTTGCTTTGCTTTTTGAGACAGAATCTCACTCTGTCGCCCAGGCTGGACTAAAGTGGTGCGATCTTGGCTCACTGAAATCTCCGCCTCCTGGGTTCGAGTGATTCTTGTGCCTCCTCCTTCCTAGTAGCTGGGATTACATGCATCCTCCACTACACCTGGCTAATTTTTGTATTTTTAGTAGAGACAGGGTTTCAACATATTGCCCAGGTTGGTCTCAAACTCCTAGCCTCGAGTGATCCGCCCACCTTTTTGGCCTCCCAAAGTGCTGGGATTACAGGCATGAGCCACCACACCCGGCCCCTAATTTGTTTTGTTCACCACTCCACACTTAGCCCCTAGCCTAGATACTAAAAAATAAATGCTTGATGGATGGATGAAAGGATTTAAAACTAAAATCTTGAGTGGGTAGAGCTGCATGGCCCTAGGAATCAGGACACCTAAGGTCTCCTTGGGATTCTTATCATAGCCAGAGATGTTTCCTGGCTGCTGGCTCTGAAATCACCCACAGGATTCCCAAGAAAGCATTGAGAGAGAATGCCTGCTGTCACAGTCTGGAGAAAAGACATCCTGTGGCCTCTGAATGAACTCAGCAGAGCCTTGCAAGTGTCATCCCAGCTGTTTTAGAGGTGCTGCCTTGTCTGTGATTACATGCTGGATGCCTCTAGCATTGCCACAGGAATCCATTTTATTGCAATGTGGATTTTCCATTAGAGAGGGGAAAACCAACTCAGAAAATCAGCTTTACTTATATAGTAGATTTCCAAAGGAAAAGAAATTTTCCCTTATTTCATGTTTTCAGTTTCTTATTGACTTTTGGCCTGAGGATTTTTAGCTTTACATTCTGGATACTAAAATGATAGCAATAACTACAGCCAGTCTTTACAGAGATAGGCACTATCAAGTGCCTGTGCATATTATTTCACTTAATCTTCACAACAGTCTTATGGAATAGATGTCACTGTATTAATATGGACATTTTCTAGAGGAGGCATAGAGGGATGAAGCCATAGAATAAACAAGTAGTAGAGCTGGTGTTTGAATCCAGGTTTAGTTCTACCACTTGCATTCACCATACTGCCTCTGAACACAGTCTAATATTTAATTGAATTCTATGCATGAATCAGGCCCACATATAGTACATATGCATTTTGTTATTTAGTTGTTGCAACAACCTTATGAAGTGAATAAAATTATTATGCCCATGTTACAGGTGATGACCCTGAAGCTCAGAGAGGTTAGGGAAATTACTCAAGATCACACAGCTGGTTAGTTATTGGCATTGCTAGACTCAAGCTTTGATCAGCTTACACTAAAGACTGCATTTCCAGCCACTACCCATTACTCCCTATGCACTCCCAGAAATGCCCTTGCATGGACAGTGGAGCTTGGTGGCCTTGTGGGACTAGTTAGCTGTGTGCCATGCCAGTGGCTCATCAAAACTGCAGCAGGAAGTATACACTGGCAAGTTTTTCTATCATTGTGGTACAGCCCCTTCCTCACTGTATTTTAGATAGGGGAAGTGATCTTCTTTTGACAGTACTGTTTAGTTAAATTGACCTGCTTTTCAGAATTGAAAACTCTCTTATTTTCAATACCTAGCACACTCCTGGTAAATGAGCTGCTTCAGTTTTCATTCTTTCCATTTGAATCAGTTTCTGGCACTGCCAAAGAAGGTGAACTGAGACAGGTATCTCCCTCTGCTTATTTCAGTCAAAACTCTGTCTTTGTACCAATCAAAAAAAAAAAAAAAAAAAAGGTGGGGAGGCATTTAAATTATCCAAGTCAGCTTTCTGTAATAAATTCACCATTATGTTGAGGAAATATAAACTGGTGTTAAGTTTCTGCAAACAAGATGCCCAAATAAATTGGTGCTCCTTGCCCTGGACTCACTCTCTCCATCCATGCATTGTCCCCATGCTAGCCAAGAAGATGAGCCTGAATCCCTGCTCCTCCCCACCCCATATTCTATCTTTCCCTCTTTGAGATGCCTTGGCTCCTGTTGTCACCTGGTTCTGTGAAGATGAGCTCAAGTTTGGTCTGATCTCTTCAAACTTTAATTTATAGTGCTCTTGTCAGTATCTGGGCCTTGGCTTTCTTCTGCAGATTTTTATTTGATTAACCCCTTTGACTTCTAGCTTCTCTGGTTGCTTTAAGGTGGAATCTCCTGTCCTAATCTCAACTCTTCTGAATTAAATTTCAGCCCCTTTGCCACTAAGGCCATTCCTGAGACCCAGCAAGTTTTTGCAGTTGTCTTATCACATCCATAATCAGCAATACAACTTGGCCCAATCCTTAAACAATAGGATATTATTGTCTCTCACACTGATAGTCCTAGTGTTGACAAAATAGAAATAAGTTTTGATGGTTTCATTTACTAGAAAGAATTTAAATACAAACATCTGAATGGAATAGGTGGCGGCCCCAAAACAGTTTTGAATATATAAACAATTTTGTCACACTTAAAATATCAATATAAGTAGGACTGGATCCTAGGAAAATTACCTGTTGAAAGGGAAACAAAACCCTCAAGTTATATTCTCACCTCACAAAAGGCACCTCAATTAATTTCAGGTAGATTACATGCAAAAATTGTATACATAAATAACTTGAAGACAATATAAGTGAATATTTGATTTTGAGTAAAAAATACTTCAAGATATAAAAGCATGTGATGATGTCCTCAAAGAAAATATCAATACACCTGCATATATAGAATATAAAAGTTCTGTAAACTGAGAAAAAGTAGAAAACGCATTTGCAATAATTGAAAAAGAGTTCAAATACGTGCATACATAGAGGTATGTTTGTGCATGTGTGTATATATAAACAAACACACATATACACATACATATATGTGTGTGTCTTACAAATCAATCAGAAAAAAATAGCAGCACCACTGAGAAAATGACAAAGAACACAAACAGATAATTAACAAAATTTAAAAAAAAGAGACATGATCAATGAACTCTTGAAATATCAATCCAATCTCACTAGAATTCAATTTTAAAAAACCAAATTAAAAAGCACTGCTAAGTAAAACTGAAACCTAGTGAGATTTCAACTCCCTTCAAATTGGCAAAACTTTCTAGAAAGCTATTTAGCAATACTTAAAAAAAAAAAGAAAGCACTTTCATCCAATAATCTCACTCCTAATCTGTACTAAGGAAAGCAGTCAAATATTCATGTGGAAAGATGTCTCTCACAATCTTACGTATAGTGCAAAAAAATGAAATTATCCTAAATGTTCAATATTGGAGGAATGGTCAAGTAACATATCTATACAATGGAATATTATATTGTCCTTTAAACTGTTTTTGAAAGATACTTAAACTTCAAAAATGTTCCTGATACAATGTTAAACTAAGAGAATAGGAAGAATAAATATTTATATTATGATCCAAACATTGTAAAAATTATATAAATATGAATAAACATTCACATATATAAAAGACTAGAAATAAATTTATTAAAATACCAAAGAAAATATCAGGAAAATCAGGAAATATCAGGAAATATGAGGAAAAATGCTAACATTATTAAAATGTGTGTACCTGTACTCTTGAGTTATTATGGAACTTTCTTTTTAAATTTCTGTAAAGCATCAGGGGAGAGAGGTAAAAACGCAGGTGTCTTTCTTCCCTTTGTAGTACCTGGGCTGGAGTAAGTTGTTTCAGAAGCAGAGAACGTGCATCTCCAGGGAACTCAAAAGGGCATCCTGGTTGAGTTGCACATGCCACACAGTGCCAAAAAAGCATCCCCTCCCCAGACACTTTCCAAAGCCCCAGATTAGAAGGAATGATTGTGGTTAGCATGAAACCAAATGAAAATACTACTGATAACTGTTCCTGTCTGGGACATCTGGATCCAGCCAGTTTTCATCTCCTGAACCTGCTCTCTTAACAGTTATCTCATATGGAAAAATACTACTCTGAGTTTTCAGCTCTAGTTTTTCTAATACAGCACTTGTTCCCTGTCTTGTGATTGCTTGTGGGTTTTTGTTTGTTAGTTTTTCTAACAGCCCACTTACTCCCTATATTGTGATTACTTGTGGGTTTTTGTTCGTTTGTTTTTGAGACAGGGTCTTTCTCTGTCACCCAGCCTGGAGTGCAGTGGCAGGATCATAGCTCATTGCAGCCTCAAAATCCTGGGCTTAAGTCCTCCTCCCACCTCAGCCTCCTGAATAGCTAGGACCACAGGTGCACCCTACCATGCCCAGCTAAGTTTTGTAGAGACAGGGTCTCGCTATGTGCCCAGGCTGGTCTGGAACTCCCAGGCTCAAGCAATCCTCCTGCCTCGTCTCCAGAATGCTGGTATTATAGGCGTGAGTCACCGCACCTGGCCCATTGCTTCTTTTAGTGGCAGTCTCATATACTAGCCTGTGAGCTTTAATGGGGTAGAGATCCGCTCAGTATAGTAGAGTCATGCTCAGTAATATTTGTTGAGTGAATGAATGCACTCAAGGAATGAATAAATTTACACTGCTATATTTTGCTTCTGACCATAAGTTATACTTGACCAAGTGGGTTATCTCTCTTTTTTTCTTAGAGTTTACCCACAGTAAACTTAGCTTATCGGCCATTTGGTCCCACTTTTACTGAAAATCAGATTAAAGAGGTTCTAAGGAGGAAAAAATGATGAGAGTGGTCAAGGGCATGGGCTCAGGCATCAAATTGCCTGGGTGTGAAATTGACTGTATTATGTGCTAGCTCTGTGATCTTGGGCAGGTCACTTGCCGTCTTTGTGCTTTAGTTTCTTCATCTGTAAAGCTGTGATGATAACAGTAGTACACACCTCTTAGGGATATTTTGAAGATTAAGTGGGTTGTTAGACATAAAACACTTAGCACGTTGTCTGGCATTGTATAAGTACTCTGTAAGTGGTAGATATTGTTATTATTATTTTCCCCTAAAAGCAGCAGATATCTTCTTCAGTTAATTATACCTATTGAATTGGTTTTTTTAGTTTCTACAAGCTTTCCAATATTTTCTATCCAGACCATGCATAGGTAATGAACTTGATGTCTTAATAAAGCTTGATATTTTGCAGCAATTATTTTAAGCTCTCTCATCTATTGTCTGATTTCATTAGTTAATGATTGTCATGACAAAGTAATAAAAGAGGTCCTTTTAAAATACTTCTGATACTGCAGATGTCAAACATCAATTACTGCCAAACTTTATTCCAAGACTAGTAGTATTTTTCTCACTTCAGGTTTTGTAATTATTTTCATTTTATGACATAAATATTTTTTATTTAGACTTGAAGCTCTTTGAGGGCAATTTATCTTCCCTACAGCTCCCACCTATACTGTTTTATGAATATTCTACTGATAGATAAAAACTTATTAAATGAATAATCAGATCTTTTCCTCTTTTATTGCAAACACAGGGAACACTTAGCCGTGCTATTCTTACTTCTCATCAAAGGTGTTTCCGCCAACTCACTGCTAGATTTCTTCTTGTAGTTTCATCTTGGAATTTTAAGTACTTTTTTTTTTTAACCTTCAAAAGATGGTGCTACCATTGGCAACTAAGATTGGCGTGCACTGAAAGACTGGTTGCTGGTGGCCAATTCACTTGATACAGCTCTTCCAGCAGCAATATTTCCCCTTGGATTTAAATACATAATTGCAAAAAAGGGAGGTCTCAGACCATACTATTTCTTTATGTCTTAGATGAAATAACATATTCAATTTTTAAGGCTTTATTGTTATTTTTGTCAACAATAATAATACCTTCAGTTGTGCATTGGTGAACAGTTTATTGAGAGTTCTATATACACTATTTCATTTAATTTGTACAATAAGATTGCATTTTTTCCTTTTTTTTTTTGAGACAGGATCTTACTCTGTTGCCCAGGCTGGAGTGCAGTGGTGTGATCATATAGCTCACTGCAGCCTCGACCTCCTTGGGCTCAAGATATCTTCCCACCTTGGCCTCCCTGGTAGCTAGAACGACAGGCACATCCACCATACCTGGCTAACTTAAAAAATTTTTTTTGTAGAGGCAGAGTCTCACTATGTGGCCTAGGCTGGTACTGAACTTCTGGGCTCAAGCGATTCACCCTCCTGGGTCTCTCAAAGTGCTGGAATTACAGGCCTGAGCCTCTGTGCTCAGCCAAGATTGTATTTTTACTGCTAGTTTATATTTGGAAACACAAGGATTGTGAGGGGAAAGGTTTAGCTATTATGTGCCACATAGTTTACATATGTTATCTCACTCAACCCTCATAGTAGCCCTTCAAGTAAGCAATAATATTTCTATTTTGCTAATAAAAATTTGAGGTTCAGAGGTGCTAACTAGTATATGATAGAATTGAAATTCAAACTCTGGTTTGTCTGGCAACAAAACCTATGTTCTTTCTGCTACACTAGTGGTTGATTGAACTACCTTATAACCCTAATTTAGTAGAAAGAGTCTACTTTTTATGACTGAAGTTACTGTTTATGAACCTCCAGTGACATTAAAATCTAGACACGCACATGATAATCTCAGGCCAGCCTTTCTTTGCCTCATCCTTCCCACAGAAAGCTCATCCCGTGTGTTCCGGGTTCTCTGTCTCTGGTGATAAATATGGAGTATCCAGACATCGTATTGCATTGTTATGTCTGTCACTGTTTGCATAGACTCAAACCAATGCAATAATTTGGAATGGGGCTGTGCTCAATTAGCATTCCCACGATTCTTTCCCTGCTTCACCCTTTCTAAACCCAATTCCTTGGGGCAGAACATCACAGAAAACCAAGATCAGAAATGTGGTAGTTCAGGGTGGCCTAGGAAGTGAAGAACAATGCCTTTCCTTTCAGATACTCTAACCTGCACTTCAAAGATGTTTGTTCCAAAATTCTAAAAAATGGCCAATTTGACTAGACCTCTTGTGGTGTGAGTGTATTGCAGAGAATCTTGTGAAAAAAGAATAAGCTCACTCTTGACAAGGCAATCTGATCTTTAGATCTTAATAACCCTGGTTGGAAGATAGAAACTCTAGTGTTCATTTTTGGGTCAGGGAGTCATTGCTCAATACGCTAAGAGAATTCATTTTCCTTGAGTGTTTTTCCTTTCAGGTCACGTTTTACTGCTGGAGTTACTCAGCGAATTAATAGGTATAGAAATGCAAAGCTCTTTTCTTATTACATTCTATCGATCTGATTGCAGTGTCATTAATTGAAAGACTAGGAAAATGTGATGGATAGTTCAGCTCAAGATTCTACATTTGTTTTGGCCCAGATCCGTTGGAAGAAAGCTGCATGAAACTGACTGAAAGAAGCCTTTTGGTCTGACATGAATTTTTCTTTCTTTGTCAATCCATGTGAGAGCATTATTCAGTCCTAGTGAGATTTACAATGTGAAATTGTAAACTGTTTCAATTGTTAAAGCAAAATCAAAACTCAGAATGCTTATTTGTAGAGTTAGAAATAATCCATCCTGTAACTCTCTTTTACAGATTACTTACATACAATATTTTTAAAAAACGTAATTCTGACACAAACAAATTCTGACTCAAAAATATGGAAGGTGGGCTGTTTGTTCTTCATTTTAAGTGATTGTGTTTTGCAATATAGTGGTTGTGAAAAATTAATTTCATTCATTTCCATTCAGTCCATTTCTATTCCAGAAGTGCATGAAACTAGAAATTGGTGTGTGGTTAAAGATTGTTTTTATGGTTATTTTTCTTTTCTGATGGTTTGACCTACTAGTCCTTGGATTTCTCTCATAAGTTTAAATTAACTTGAGAATTTTGTCTATGTATAGATAAGTCCACATACATATTTGATTACTACTTTAATATGAAAAATTTAAAGGAGTCTTTAAAAATTTTTTAATCCTCCACACGAAGGGAAAATTCCCCAGATCAGATAAGAATATACCAGATTACAGTTAATTTGTTTGCAAAGGCTGAATTGTTCCTTTCTAGTTAATCACATTTTAAAGAGCTGAGCTATTTTTGTGTGTGTTTATTATTTTAAATGTTTGAAGCTTGAAGTGAATGCGAAGAATATCCAATTTTAAAGCACATTTAAATCTGACATAAATCATTATCCGTCTCTTGCTTTTAACAGACATGTTAAAAAGTTTAGTACATGTTATTAATAATAGATGTCCTGTCAAATATTTTTATCCTTCGTCTACAGTGTTTGAATTGTCTTTGTCAAGGTGTGATTTCTTTTTCTGGTTATGCTTTTGGATGATAGAATAAGTCATTTGTGGAAAAATAGGAAGTGAGCGAATTGCCACGCGGCATGACCTCATACTGGAACACATCTTGAAAATGTATTTAATGCTTTCTGAGCACAGAGACAATGGATTGTGGTTTGGGGTCCTCCTTCCTGACCTTTGGCTTGGTGAGAAATGTGGATTGCTTCCTCTGCTCATCAGCTACTCTCAGAGTGAAAAAGAGGCTGCACCCACGTTAGGAAGCAAATGCTGTTGATGAGTGCACAGGCTGCCTTCCCCATGATATTATGTCTAAAAATACATCCACAGAGAGGCAGGCATATGCTCGCGTCTTGGTGTGAAGGAGCTCTCGCCTGTGTTTCTTGCTATACCCATCTAAATTCTGGAGTGAGGAATTAAATTATTCCAGAAACCCTGCCAGTTTTTGATTTGCCATTGTCTCTGGTTCTTCGTTGCCTTTGAATGGGACCCTTGATACAAGGCTTTCATAGACCAGCCGGTGCTGATGGGGTCCGGGACTTGACGATGGCGCCTGCTCGTTCCTGTTGTGTTCTATCTGAGGCATGATTTTCTTTCGTTTTTGGGAGGTAGAGAGCACGGGGCAGAGGTTGCACCTGACACATTAGAACTCCGTTGTCACTGCTGTGGCTGTTATTCCCCTCGGCAAGAGCCAAGGAGCAAACAGGACGGTGGGTCACCTCGCCAGCTATTTAGCACCATTTCCTTTCTCTTCCTCAACCTTGTTAGAATTTTCTCTTTCTTAAGTGACAGGGTTTGATGGGGGTTACTGTGCCCCCCTGTCTACCCCTGCTTTATCTTGATAAGGACTTGCTTTATCCTGATTTCTAACACCTCTCCTCATTATAAAAGCTTGCTAGACTCTCATTCCCGGTTCCTGCAACTCAGTTTTTCTGCTCTATTGTTTGGGTTTTCTCTTTGAATGTTAGTCCCGAATTTCTCAGCTTCTGTGGTTACCTCACAAGTTAACAGGGGTAAAATTATTGTCTGAGCTATTTTCTTTAGGAAGAAAAAAATTTTGCTCTTTGGGGTGATAGTCCCAAGAAAAGGAATGAGTAGCAGAGGGAAATGAGGGGATATTGTTTTGCAGCTTCTGCTACGGCTTGGCTGTGAATACCTGTGCTCAGGTGAGACTTTCTGTTGTGTTTATGGAGTTAGAGACAAATGTTAACCTTCATGATATTTTCCATATCTCGCTTGGAAATTATTTCAATTCTAACAAAAAGTGCGGAGGAAAGAAGCATTGCTTTTCATGCACCAGAAAAGAGGGACAAAATCACAGATAACATCAGATGCAAAGGACATCATTCCATTTGAAATGATTTATATTTAAAAGGGAGTGAGATCAGCTGTTACTTATACCACCCTCTTTCTTCTTGTGTATTCAAGTTAGCAATATTTTAATGTCCTTGAAAACGAAAGGCAGAGCATTGGTTTTCGGAAGGGTCGATTTTTTTGAGGTTTCTGTAAAATGAGATAAAAGAAGTCTTTATTTTGTTTCAGGTGGTTAGCCCAGAATATATTCAATACAAGTTAACACAGACATATGCAGTGTAAGACGGTGCTCACAACACTTGCAACTAAACACACACAGCCCCCCCACACAAACCCACTCAACATTAACCAAAATCCAGGCTTGAGTTTAAACCAAAATGATTTCATTTATGGAGGAAAATTAATCTTCTTATATGCTTTTCTACAGCTAAATATTTAGCTTTCCTTTTTTAATCACTATTTTCTTAGCTTCTTTCATAAAAACCACTGAAATGAACAAAGAACTCTACCGTATAGTTAATTTCAGTTCTAGTGGGAGTTGATTAAAATGGAACGTAGATCACATATACGATAAACTCTTTTTTGTCAGCAGGCAATTCCTTTTAGTTCAGCTTAATGCATTTTATTCCCAATAATGCCAAAGAAACATATATGTCTTAGATGCTCCATATCTAATTATGTGGCTGGATACATTAATAACCCATAATGTTACATAGATTTGAGGACTAAACACAGATAAAAGCCAGAGAAGGTGCCATTATTTGTAGCCAGCAAGTTGCATGATCCAGATGCTGGAGTATCTGCCTGTCTTTCCACCTTTGTTCCTTCAGAGGCGTTGAAGTTCTCAGCTATTGCTGACTAATTGATAGTTGTAGTAACTGCTATAGGCTTCTTAGATTAGAAATGCATGCAGACGTGTGTCTTGATTCAAACATTAAGGAATGCACACTCTCACTTACTTACACAGGCAGAAAGTCTTCATAGTAACAGAGGCATGATGGAGATAGCAGGACATAAAACAGAAGAGAAAGAGAGAGAGAGAGAGATGACTGGCAGCAAGTAGACCTCTGCAAATAGTTCTAAAATTCGTTTGCAAATTCAGAAGCCTTCAGAACCATCCAACAATTCAAACACTCTTTTTATTTCTTCTCTGCGGGAAGACTCCATCCAGACTTTTTATTTTTGGCAAAAAAAAAAAAAAAAACCCAAAAAACAAAAAAATTCCCCAAAATGGAAAAGGTGAGAACCCTGCCATCTTAGCTCAGAATTCATCTGATTTCCTTTCTTCCCCGCTGCCTTGTATTCCTCATTCCATTGTCCATGCATCGGATGGCAGACGTCCTTGCTCTTGAATGCAAGTGTCACAGCAGGAGCAGAAAGGGGGTTGAGGGAAGGCATTGTCAAAGCCACGGTTGTCTATTGTTTCTTCGCTTTCACTCCTCTTTTTTTTTTTTTTTTTTTTTGAGGCTTTCCCTTCCTAGTGGCCTCTGTCCAGGAGGAGGGAGAAAATTGCAAGTTAGTAGAACGGTGGAGGCTTTTTTATTGCACACTGGTTTGATAAAGAGCTCAGCAATAGAGTCTACAAAATTAGGAAATACAGCAAAAGTGGAGGATTCTGATGGGAGATCGAGGGGAGGCTTTGGAGTCTTTGCTCCAGCCTACATACCAAAGGCAGTTTCTTCGGAATAACTTCGGTGGTGATATTTGCTTTGCTGTTGCATTTTCATTTTTTAAAATCATGAGAAAAGTCTTATTCATCTGTCAAGCTTTCCATTTGTTTATTTTTGTTCAGTGCAACAACTAGATGGAAGTTGTAAGGAAGGCCAGGTCTGCTGTTTGTAATTTGCTCAAATGTTGAAATCATTTCAACCTAAATTGGTGATTGTCTTTTTCAGATCATTTATGCTTGCATGTGAAATTTCTGTGGTAACTTTCTGCTCTGTAGGAAAAAAAAAAAGGGTTTGACTATCGTTTGTGTGGCTATTAAGTCTTGGTACTATGTTATTTTGTACCTTAAACATAGCTGTTCTTTTGAATGACATTTATGCATGAGTGATTGTCTTCTATGAACAGGCCAACTCCTGACAACTCCCAAAGTTTTCAAAGGTTACAGAGTTACACCGTCAAAACAGATTTTTAGGAAAGTATTTCAAATAGGCATTTGACATAACATGAAAATCTGGAGATCTCTTCCAGCCACTTTAACTTTATGCAATTTATATTTCTTCAAATCAATACAAGTGATTAAAACTGATTCTACCTAAAAAGAAACAGAGGAGCAGATTAAATTTGAACTCCATCTTTAAACGATTTTGCTAAAAAACAAATTTACACATTTTATAAACTTAGTTTTAGCCTAGAAATATCACATACCTATAAATGGTCCTCCATAGTTTTCTTCCTTCTAAATATTGTACTATCCGTAAGTATCTAGAAAAAATTATTCCAAATTGATCATTTTTTCCCTTAAGCCATACAACATTTGGCTTGAGTCCAGAACTCTTCACTATTTTCAGAATTTGCTAAGCATTCAGCATTTCAATTCTAAAATATATTTTTAAGTCAAGGGGGATATGTCTACATGCAGAGGAGGAAATATTTTCTTTCAAGGAGCCATTCCATTTTATAACACATGCTGGTGGGTTGATGTCCGATGAGAACTCATGATTTATTTCTTTTTCAAATAATAATTGTAGTCTGTCTGTGAAGGCGTGGATAGAATTACCTTTGGGTTCCAGAAGAAAACACCCTAAATTAGAAGCCTCAGATCTTCCTGTAGATGAACATCTAGTGTGGCATGCTGCAAATACATCTCTCCCTTTTCATTCTCATTGCCTTGATTTAGGGGACTTGGGCAGAGCTACCCTGCCTTTCTTTTGTGAAAAGACATTCTGAAATGTCTTTAGAAAGCAAACTTCTCGAAGAAATGCGGAGCGGGCCATGGTTTGAATGCAAGTCTGAATTTAATTGCGGCCACCCTGGTAGTACACTGTTTAATTTCCAGCATGTGTCTGGATGATCCTTACAGCAACTCCAGGCCAGGAACTGTGAGCAAAGAAAATTTATCTGTGATAAAGTTACATATTTTGTTGCCAAAGAACAGTCACTTGGGGCTGATTCAAAAGTCAAATTTAAACAAATGATTCCAAAGCTTTTGTGAAAGGAGAAGTTGGCATTGCTAAATTCTTCGGTGCATTTTGGTTGGAGAAAAATGGATCGTCCCATCTTCTGATCAGTTATGCTTTAATAAGGTGTGAAATGAAGGGGGAAGGAAGGAAATGGCTGAAATATTATAAGGCTGGGTAATATTTCCACCTAAAATGCTAGAAGAGACAAAGAGGTTAATGAAAAGCTGAGTCTCTATGGTTGAAGCAGTCGAAACAAGTTCTTTTTGCACTCACAAATAGTGTAGTTCTCCAAGGAGCTGGAAGGAATGCTGAAACCCTTGGGAGAACAGATTTGGAGGGAACCCCATCTCTTAGCCTGTGTCTTCTGCAGATATTTAACTTCTGGAACAACTTGAAAGGAACAACTCATCTTGTGGCCAAGGTCCATCCCAAGACATTTTGAAAGCATAGGTTCAAGTTCAACCATTAATCCAGACATTTCAACAAGTGTCTGTAATTGCTCCAATAAATAGAAAACTTGTAAATCAGACTGAAGACCTAACCCTGACATTTCTTGAAAATGGCCACCCCCAGTATTTAACATACTGAACATAATATGGTCAAAATATTGTTTGTAACTTATATCTTCTGAGCCCTAAAAATACAAATATCTTTTAAAAAGAAAGAGAAATATAGCACACATTCTGGAATTTTGGAAGAACATGAAGCAGAAGATCACATGTATAGGTAGACAGAAGATGAAATAGGATGTAACTGTTCTCCTTCTCTTTACCCATAATGCCCTCAGGCTGATTTAAAATAATCACTAAGATGGCAGCACACGACCAAAAATACTAAATTTATTTTCAATGGCCCCATTAATTGAAAAAGTTTTCTTTTTCAAAAGCATGTCACTGAGACTTTACAGTTAAGTAGCAGACACAGCTTTCAGAGCTCCCACTTTTTAAACTTTGTTGGATTTCTTTTTTCCACTCCGAATTGGGAGGACAAAGTTGAGCTTCCCCTTTCTGACTGCCTTCCACTTCCTAACTGTATGAGGCCTTCAGAGATAACATGCTCATTTAATTTACTTTGAGGCAGGTTTCCTGGTAGTACTTATACAGCATGTGAAAAGTATCAGCAAAACAAAGACTTTCTACAGTGCTAATCAACCAACTCAACAAACAATGCTAGTAATATTTGGGCAAACAAACAGAAACCTTCTCATGGTTTGTTAAGTTAGCAAAGGGGGAGCATTTGGATATAATATTTTATATTCAAGGAGTTGGGGTTAAAAATAAGCAAATATGCAAAATGAAGACCCTGTTATAGAGAATGCTCTGACAAAGTTCTCTTTTCCTCCCTGATATTTTTTTAGTGTGTGGCAAGGATAGGTATTATTTCATTCATATAGACTGAAATTTGGAATCTCCTTGAAAAATAACTCTATTATTTTTACAAGTGGTGTGTTAAGTAGATTATAAAACTCCCAAGCATATTCTAAGAGAAGTTATGTTGTAATCCAAGGCTGATATTTATTTTATTGATATATATTTTTAAATATTCATTCATATTTATATATATTCATTCTTATTAAGTGAATATATATTCATTTAATGTGAAAGTCTATGTAAAAGAAACAGTGATGACTTGGAGAAACTGCCCCCTCTACTCTTCTGTGAGTGTAAATCTGGAAGAATGAGAAGAATATATGCAAAATACCCACTCCACAAGTGCTAAAAAGAAAGTCTGTGGGCAGGTATTAACAGGGATATCTCAGATTAGCAATTCTTTAAAAGATTAGCAGTGCCTCTCTACCCTTCTTCAATCCCTTTTATTATCCCCCATTCCTTTGGGTCCTCTCGTTCTACCCTTGCCCCAACCACTGGCAAGGTAGAGCTAAAATAAATGCTGGCAAGGAATACCAATGCCCTTACCCAATAAGATCAGGGTATCTAACTATAAATCAAGAACTGGCAAAGTAAATGTGATGTATTCATATTATTCAGTTTTTTGAAGAAAATAGGTTATTTTTATTGTGCAAAGCCTTTTTTTCCAAGAAATTAAACTTATTTGACTGTCAATATGTATTTCATCATCGTACTCTTAGAAAGGGTGATTTTTTTTTTTTTTTTCCCTGCCATGTGTAAGGGGAAACTAAAGATCAAGGACAGTTTGGGGCCGGGTGCAGTGGCTCATGCCTGTAATCCCAGCACTTTGGGAGGCCGAGGCAGGTGGATCACCTGAGATCAGGAGTTTGAGACCAGCTTGGTTAACATGGTGAAACCCCATCTCTACTGAAAATACAAAAATCAGCCAGGTGTGGTGGCACTTGCCTGTAATCCCACCTACTTGCTTGGGAGGCTGAGGCGGGAGAATTGCTTGAACCTGGGAGGTGGAGGTTACAGTGAGCCGAGATAGCACCACTGTACTCTGCCTGGGCGACAGAGCAAGACTCCATAACAACAACAACAACAACAACAACAACAACAAAGACCGTTTTGGCTTACCTAAGATTAAGAAACATGTGGTGCTGGAGCATGTACTGAGGCTAAGACCTGTGCTCCCTGGTCCAGATCCCTGTGCTAGCGTGCATTACTTTTCAAGGTTGTATTTGAGATTTTATAGGAATTCAGTTGCTGCTCTCGGCTGGTTAGTAGGACCTGAGACCTGGACTGCCCTTTAAGAAACTCACAACCAAATGAGAAAGTTATTTCAATATGATGCCCTTTGCTGGTTTCAGGCACCTATTTCTTGGTAGATAAAGTCAACCTTTTTGCACATTTGAGACATTTTAAATACTTGTGAATTTTTATTTCTGTTATGTAAAACTTTGACAAAAGTCGAACATAGGGATATTAGAATGAATAATATGAGAAGTGTCAAAACTCCTTAAAATGTTTTGTTTTATTTTTTCCCCACTATTTACTAACCTGAGAAATGATTTGTAATGGCAACTCAGGCCTACAGGGTGTTGACCTTTACTGGGGCCTGTCCTTCGCTGACTAGGACTAGTAATTTTGGATATTCCACTTCCTCCCATTTTATATCAGTGAATTTTGGTTGTACAGGTAGTCACTTGGGACCATTCAAGTCCACACCAACTTTTTTTTTTTTTCTCATCTAGTATCAGATTTTATAAGACTAATCTGGACGAATGCCTCAATTCTTGACTTTATTCCATTCCTCTCAATGGAGCCTTAAAATACTGCATTGCAGCTAATCACATCAATGACCTCACTGCAGAGAGAAAATCATCAATCCTAGATCACAGAATTTTGGAGTAATCAGGACTCTGGGGACTTTTAAATAAAATCATAAGATGTGAGTTAAAGTTCACTGATATCCCATGAGTTTTACTTTAAGTAAGAAGTGCAGTGTCATTATTTTTTGCCTCCAAGTAATTTCATACTAGACCTATCTGGAAAAACCCTTACAATTTTTTGACATATCTGCGATTGTGATATATTATGATGGCAACCGTGCTTCCATTCCTCCTCCCAGTTGATATGCTGTGATCAATGTCGAGCTTGTTCTTTTTATTTACATCAAGTTGATGTGATTTTCCAACTTCCAGAAAAACTATCTTCTCATTGGTTGCTCAGCACTAGCTTAATGTTTGGATATGGTGTCAGCTAAGTTATGCCCAGGCATTCAACAATGGTTGATTAATTTATAAACTTGTAAAAGGAGATTTATGTTATTTTATTTAAACAATGGAGAAAAAGGGAGCTTCTTTTCATTTTTATGCTTTTAAAAAACCTAATAGTAAAACATGCTTTATTTTATGCTTAAAATAAAACATATCACATAGTAGCATTGTAACTTTTATTTTAATAATGATGATGTGAGATTGGGTTTATTTCCACAAATATCCTGATATTTTCATTCACCTAAAAAATTCCAAAACATTTCAGTTTTAGATAAAGCAATGTTATAAGTTTTCATCACCCAGCAGGTCTATGTATTATGAATACATTGAGCAATGACCCAACCCTCAGCTTTGTTGGAATGGCACTTGTCTCATGAGTAGGCATTATTTTGAATTTTCCCGAAAATTTTATTTGCATGTCCCTTTTAATTTTTTTTCTTTTTTCTTTTTCCTGTTTTTTGAGATGGAGTCTCTCTCTGTCACCCAGGCTGGAGTGCAATGGTGTGATCTCAGCTCACTGCAACCTCTGCCTCCCGAATCTCCTGCCTCAGCTGGATTACAGGTGCGCGCCACCACGACCGGCTAATTTTTGTATTTTTAGTAGAGATGGGATTTCACCATGTTGGTCAGGCTGGTCTTGAACTCCTGACCTTGTGATCTGCCCTCTTTGGCCTCCCAAAGTACAGGGATTACAGACATGAGCCACCGCGCCCGGCCTTTAATTTTTAAAAATTCCTAGACAAGGTTAATATGCCAATCTGGTGTATATATTGGGACCACAGGAGAGGAGGAAAGTGGCCAGAATGGAACCAGGTCAATATGCTGAGATTGAATCAGTGACAGATCCAACCTACTAGAGACTTGACTAATCATTGCTGAACTATCAGGATATAGATACATGACAACAAACAGAATTGGGGTATGGCCGTTAAAAGACTGAATCCTTCCTTTCCTGGGAACACATCTAAGTGGGACATTCCATCCTCTCATATGCAGGCCTAAACTTATTCAGGAATATTTAATAATAATTTGTCAATTGACAAATATTGTTTGAAAGTTTGCTCTCAATTCAGGGTTGGAGGAAGATGCTGTCAAAAATTTGAGAGTGGTAAAAAATGCCATAAGTGCACTTGGAGTGTTTATCATCTGCAAGGAAATTACAGTAAATTCAGCATAGTTGTTCCAGAACACTGAAGAGTACAACTGTCTGCCAGGCACTGTGTAATGTGCCATGGTAGGAGAGAGAGAAAAATACTGTTGCTGCCCAGAAGGAACTTGCAGTCTAGTGAAAGTACAGGCTCATAAGCAGGTAATTTCAATAGAATGTGCTACATGTAGGGTGCTGATGTGACAGATGCAGCTCACTACCACTTGTTAGGGCTTGGAAAGGCTTCCTGAGATGATGATGTCTAATCTGAATCTTGCCTAAAGAATTATTTATTTAGTATCCATTAAAACTGTGGAATCTTTGCTTCATGCTGGGAAATTAAAGGAGAAGGCAGTGTCTATCTTTGAGGGGGATTGTTGTCTAATTTAAGAAACAGGTTATAAAACACACCATGTACACACAAAGTGGAATAGGGTATAGACTATAACAGAGGTCTAAAATTTGTTTTAGGAAACCAAAGGAGGAATCCAGATCCTTTTGGAGGGAGTTAAGAAAGGTGGCCTACCCAAGCTGCTATTAAGTGTATTAGCACTGTGAATAGAGAGATATGAAGATATGTAGAGGAAGGAGTGACTAATTTTGCCTGGAAGAGGGTAGAAATTTCTTAAGACTTCATGGAGGAGGTGGCATTTGATCTGAGCACTGAAAATTAAGTGGAATGCTCCCAGGTAGGAAGAGTGAAATAAGAACAGAAGAAAATCCCAAGAAGATGAGATAGCATGAACCAATGCTTGGGGTTGTGAACAGCTCTGGTGTATTTAGAGAAAGAAGGTCTACTTTGGTTTGGCTGGAACTTGCGGGGCACTGATAATGGTTTGGATGTGTGTCCCCTCCAAACCTCACATTAAAATGTGATCCCCAATTTTGGAGGTTGGGCCTGGTGGGGGATATTGGATCATGGAGGCAGATCCCTCATGAATGGCTTATCACCATCCCTTTGGTGATGAGTGTGTTCTTGTTCAGTTATTTCACATGTGATCTGGCTGCTTAAAAGAGTCTGAGACCTCCCCCTTCTTGCTCCTGCCATATGAAGCACCCGTTCTTTCTTTACTCTCCACCATGATTGGAAGCTTCCTGAGGCCCTCACTAGAAGCAGATGCTAGCACCGTGTTTGTATAGCCTGCAGAATGCTGAGCCAATTAAACCTCTTTTCTTTATAAATTACCCAGACTCAGATATTTCTTAATGACAACACGAATGGACTAACATAGAAAATTGGTACTGGGAGTGGGGTATTACTATTGCTATAAAGATACCTGCAGATGTGGAAGTGACTTTGGATCTGGGTAATGAGCAGAGAGAGGTTGGAAGAGTTTGGAGAGCTCAGAAGAAAACAGGAAGATGAGGGAAAGTTTGAAACATATTAGACACTAGTTAAATGATTGTGACCAAAGTGCTAATAGAAATATAAATAGTGAAGGCTAGGCTTACAAGGTCTCAGATGGAAATGGGGAAGTTATTGGGAATTAGAGTAAAGGTCACCTGTGCTATGCTCTAGCAAAGAACTTGGCTGCATTGTGTTTATGCCCGAGAGATCTGAGGAAGCTTGAACTTAAGAGTGATGACCTAGAATATCTGGTGAGCAGCAAAGCATTCAAGATGTGACCTGGCTGCTTTTAACAGCCTATGATCATATACAGAAGCACATAAACGACTTAAATTTGGAACTTTAAATACAAAAATTTGGAAAATTTGCAGCTTAGCTATGTGATAAAGAAGGAAAAAAGCATTTTCAGGAGAGAAATACAAATGGTCTGTGGAACAATCACTTGCAAGAGAGACTTGCATGACTAAAATGGAGCCAGGTGCTAATATCCAAGACAATGGGGAAAAGGCCTTGAAGGCGTTTCAGAGATCTTCAAGGCAGCCCCTTCCATCACAGGCCCAGAGGCCTATAAGGAAAGAATGGTTTCATGGGCCAGGCCCAGGGTGCTACTGCTCTACGCCACCCTGGGAATTTGCTCCTTGCATCCTAATCACTCTGGCTCCAGCCTCAGCTCAGAGGGCCACAGGTATAGTTCAGGTCAAAGCTCCAGCACGTGCAAGCCTCTGTAAGCCTTGGCAGCTCCAGCAGGTGCCAAACCTCTGCAAGCCTTGGCAGCTTCCACGTGGTGTTAGGCCTGCAGGTGCACAGAATGCAACAGTGAAGGAGACTAGGCAGCTTCCATCTAGATTTCAAAGGATGTATGAGAAAGCCTGGGTGCCCAGGCAGAAACCTGCTACAGAGGCAGAGCCCCCATAGAGAACATCTACTAGGAAAGTGCAGAGGAAAAATGTGGGGTTAGAGCCTCTACATAGAATTTCCATTGGGGCACAGCCTAGTGGAGCTGTGGGAACAAGGCTGTTGCCCTCCAGACCCAATAATGGCAGCTTACATTCTGAGCCTGGAAAAGTTGCAGGCACTCAACTCCATCTCATGAGAGCAGCCATGAGGGCTGCAACCTGCAAAGCCACAGAAGCAGAGCTGCCTAAGGCTTTGGGAGCCCAGCCCTTGCACCAGTGTGCCCTGGATGCAGGACATGGAGTCAAAGTAGATTATTTTAGAGCTTTAAGATTCGATGACTGCCCTGCTGGGTTTCAAATTTGCATAGGGCCGTTTGCCCCTTTCTTTTGGCCAACTTCTCCCTCTTGCAATGAGAATGTCCACAAAATGCCTCTACCATTATTGTATCTGGGAAATAAATAATTTGTTTTTGATCACAAAGGCTCATAGGTCAAAGGATCTCATCTTCAGATGAGATTTTGGACTTGGGACACTTGAGTTGGCATTAGAACACGTCAAGACTTTGAAAAACTATTGAAAAGGGATGACTGAATTTTGCAATATGAGAAGGACATGAGATTTCAGGGGCCAGGGGAAAATGATATGGTTTGGATGTTTGTCCTTTCCAAATCTCATGTTGAAAGGTCATCCCCAATGTTGGAGATGGGGCTTAGTGGAGGATATTGGGTCATGGGGACAGATTCTTTTTTTTTTTTTTTTTTTTTTTTTTTGAGACGGAGTCTCGCTCTGTCGCCCAGGCTGGAGTGCAGTGGCGCGATCTCGGCTCACTGCAAGCTCCACCTCCCGGGTTCACGCCATTCTCCTGCCTCAGCCTCCCGAGTAGCTGGGACTACAGGCGCCCGCTACCACGCCCAGCTAATTTTTTGTATTTTTAGTAGAGACGGGGTTTCACCGTGTTAGCCAGGATGGTCTCGATCTCCTGACCTCGTGATCCGCCCGCCTCGGCCTCCCAAAGTGCTGGGATTACAGGCGGACAGATTCTTATTGAATGGCTTAGTGCAATCCCTTTGATGATGAGTGAGTTCATGCTCAGTTAGTTAACATGAGATCTGGGTGTTTAAAAGAAACTGAGACCTCTCCCTCCTCTCTTTGAGTCCCATTCTAGCCATGTGATGTGCCTGTACCCCCTCCACCTTCTGACATGATTGGAAACTTCCTGAGGTCTTTACCAGAAGCAAATGCCAATGCCATGCTTCTTGTACAGCCTGCGGAACCATGAGACAAATAAATCTCTTTTCTTTATAAATTACCCAGCCTCAGGTATTTCTTTATGGCAGTACAAATGGACTAATATAGGCATGGAAGAAATTGAAGAAAACAAGGGCAAGAGAGTGGCCTGGGGCAGAATGTGAAAGCCAACCTGAAGAAAGGCAATGAGAAGCCTTTATTGATTAACTGGAAGTTTTGAAAAGTTACTCAGGCAGGACAGGCAGGAAGGATTGGAAGGAGAAAGATTAAGACAGTGATTCTCAACAGGAATGGGAAATCTGTGAGAATAATCTGTAAAGCTTTTGCAAAATACGCAAGCCTGGTTTTTCCTCCACCGTTCTGTCTTCTCCTTCAACCACACTTCTGATGCGATATGGGGTTACAGGAAGGTAAGCATTTTGAAAAATGCTTGCTAGATGATACTGATAAATCCTTCCCTCTACCATTGCTTTAATTTAGCCAAGAGGTACTTAAGTAAGGCTGTGACAATGGAGATGATAAAGAATGGATTTGAGAGGCACATGAGTTGGAATTACATAGGATGGATTGGATGAGGGTGTAATGGAGAGGAAACATGACAAACAGGTGTTTAGTTTGAGTGACTGAGATACTATAAACTGAAATGAGCCCAAGAAGAGGAGTAGGGTTTCTGGAAATAATTGTGGATTCTACTTGATACAGGTAGAATTTGAAGTCACTATAGGCAGTTGATAATATAAAGAACTGGAGTTCAAGAGAGCTTAAAACCATAAATACCCAAGTAATTGTGAGGCAATAGAATAGAAGCAATAGACAGTACCATAGAAGTGTTAAACATTGGCAACAGAAAACCAGAGGCAAGGGAGATCTGTATTGTCTGGAGCAGACAGATAAGTCTTCTCGGATAAGTGAAACTTGAGTTGCATCTGAAAGTATTAATAGCTTGTTCAGCTTTGAGAGATTAAAAATGGAGATCATTTGCCAAAAGGTATGGGCGAGAAAGAAAAATGCTGTTTCAAGAGGGCAGGATAGTGATATGAATGACTTCATAATAAAAACTAATATACTTTCATTTATTCTTCACTCCCAGGGGGAGCTATTATTATTCACAATTTATAGATGAAGAAATAGGTTCAGAGAGGTTAAATAAATGGTCTGAGTCATTTCAAGTAGAGCAGTGTCCTTGAATCTGTAACCTTTAACTCCAGACTCTTGTTCTAATCCATAGATTGTATGTGCTTAAAGGCAGGGTTTATTTCTTAATTATTTTAATATCCCTCATGGCTAGTATATAGCCTGAAAATAGACTCTAAGTACATATTTTTGAATTAAACTGAAAATTATCAGTTCTTTTGTGCATCAGTTTAAGTATTTATCATTTACACTTAAGACTAAACATAGAAGTGAAACATTGTAGGACTAGAAATTACTTTAAGATCTTCAAATCCAACTGGCTCACTTTATAGAGGAGGAAATTAAGGCCCAGAGAAAGGAAGAGACTTACCTAAAATCTCACATGCAGTTATCAGCAAATATGGAGCAAAACCTGTGCCTCAACTTCTCAACCAGGACTTTTTTCGCATACCATTCAATCTAAGAGTGAGATTGCAAAGTGTGAGACTGTCCTCCTCCTTCTGAGCTCTCCAAAGTTAGACAGAAACAAAAAACGTAGATAGACATAGGAGGCAATCTGATAGATAAGAACTCTTGGACTGTTTTTTTCAATCAGCAGTCTAATCATTGGATAGAATAAGAGAAGGCTGATATAAGAATCAGGCACAGGAATTCTCGAGCAATTCATCTGAGAAAAGAACAACAACAAAGGTTTGAAGGGAGGTAGTATATTTTTCAATGGATTCTAATGGCATGCTATGGAGTCACCATTGTTTGTCTTGCTATCTTTTAAATATAAAACACAATCTCACCTACCTAAGGCAGATGAGAAGAAATACCATTCCTGGTCCCTGGTCCAGGGCCAACTTACAGAACCCTGAAGGGCACTCATAAGCTGTGCAATTTGGAGAACTCACACTGCTTTGCTCTCCCAGGCTCCTCATCTGTAAATGAGAGGGTTAGATTACATTTATCTAGTTTTGTTTATCACTTCCTCTCTCAACTAAACCCCTGCCCAAAGATAATGAGCCTATTCCTACCAGCGAGTGAGGTGAAGAATTAACTTGAGGCTGTCCATACTGTCATGATGATGGCTCCTAGAATTAACTTGATTCTTTTCTACACCAGCATAGATGCTGGCTCCTAGGGTGGGCAGATTCTGGTCCTGCACCAACCCTGACTGGTGACCTTCTTGTCCATCAACACCATGTGGGTCCAGGTGGCTTCTGTGGTCCCTTCAGCTCAAGCTGCTGGTTGATACTCAGTGAAACACCACTGTTCACAAAAACAAAGTGAGTGTGAAGAACCTGATCTTCTCACCAATTTCCTATTAGTCTGTCCTCCAAGTCTCAACTCAACTCTGTCTTCTCATAATTTACCTCCTCTATACATGCTTGATGAGACCTCAAATTGGCCTCACTCTTTATCTGCTTATCCCATTCTGCCCTCAGGCTCCATCTTTTTTTAATGTCTTTTTTTTCTTTTTAAAATTTTCTTTTTTAAATTTAGCATACCATTAATGAAACAATTTTACATTAAGCTGAAACACTGACATTAATTTTTGGTGTACTGTTTCTATAAATTTAACACATGTATAGATTGATGTAATCATCAACAGTAATAAAATACAGAACATTTCCATAACTCCAAAGAATTCTTTCATGCTATTTCTTTATAGTTATACCTTCTCTTCAGCCCCAATCTCTGGCAATTGCTGATCTGTTGAGAATGTCATCTAAATGGACTCATATTTATCTAACTTTCTTTTTAAGAATGGCTTCCACCACTCAACATAATGCCTTTGAGATTCATCCCTGTTACTGTATGTATTCATAATTTCTTCTTTTTTACCCCTGAGTAGTATTCCATTGTATGGATATACCACACTTGGTTTCTTCATTCACTGATTAAAAGACATCTGGATTGTTCCTAGTTTGGGGCGATTATAAATAGAACTGTTATAAATATTCACATACAGGTATTTAAAAAGTTTTTCTAGGGTGAATACCTAGAAGCGGTTGACCCCTTAGTTTTGATTCCTTCTCACTTTTGAATCTAGGTTTGCCTCACCCCCGGATTAGTGATACTGAACCTACACTGCTGCCTTGCCTCTTCCTCTGATGAGCAGTCCCTGTCTACCAGTTTTGGTTCCATCTCTTCCATCCCACCACTCTCTTATTTCTGGCTAGGAGCTCCAAGCACATCATAAAACCAAAGCCCATTTTAATTTGTCTAAATCTTTTTCAGCTGTAAATTTGCTGTGATTTGGATTATTGCACCAGTATTGTAGTACCCTCTGCTGGCCGATTTGCAAAGATGGCTTTATGCCTGTGCTAGAAGAGAAACTGTAGGTACAATAGAAAAAAGAAAAATAATTAGGGGGAGTGAGGAGGAAGAGCGGTGGCGAACTACCATTGTAGTGACAGCCTGACTGGGACACTCCATGTATTTGGTGCTACACATATAGATAAATGCTGCAATATTTTTGTGGAACCCTACAATATTGTGCTTGTCTTCTCAATTGTAGGCAAAGATGGGCTGTCTGGAAAGCTGGACTCAGCCTGGAGCATGTTCCCCAGATTGCTATTTTGTGAAGGCTTCCGCATACAAATGACTCAGATCCAAACATTCAAAAATGATCTTGGAGGGCCATCTGGTTCTTGCTGGTTCTAAAAGCTTCCTTCAGCCTGGAGTATGGATCCAGTACAAAAGATAGTGAGAGCTGTTCATTGAGGTTTAACATGTTCCACTGACCGAGGCTAGAAGCTGGCTTTAAAAAATAGCCAACACTGATGCTCCAAGGGCCAATTGCTGATGCTTGTCACAGGTCAGTGGAACTCTGATAAATATTTAATTGATGATGATGTGGTTGTATGGAGGTTTACACATACATACACACACACAGAGCAACACAATTTTATATCATTAGAAAACGTGTTAATTTGTTTGGGTGTCTGAAACAGTCTGGGAATTAGGCTGAACCAGCATGTCAGGCAGTGAGAAGCCATGTAATTGTTGTGATGTGTCATTTTTAATTTGTGACGACAATACTGCCAACCTTACCATTTGGATAATGGTGCTGATGGATTTGCCATTTGCACTAGCTGGCTGCTTGCTTTTCTGATCAAGTGGCTGCCTATTCTGTGGCCAAGGGACAGGGAGTGTTTCCTATTTGGGAGGCTCACGAGCTTGAATGAGGATGGGAGACTACAATCTCAGTCTTAGTTTCTGGCTCCAACCAAGTTCAGATGGAGATGGGGCATCTCATGAGGGGGACACTGGGCATCAGAAACTATGGATTTCAGACAGTCACCTCATTGGACAAAATGCATGAAGTGGCATTACTTGACTCACTTTTTCGTTTCTATAGGCTTTGGCTGTCTCGTTGGAAAGTGGTGTGAGGGGAGGTGTGTGTGCTTTCTTTAGCTTATGCAGATGAAACCAAAATATATCCTATATAATGACATTGTCATTCCTTCTTTATGCTTTGTCATACTCTAGGATGTAAGATTATCAAATACAGGGATTGTATCTTGTTTATGCATACCCCTAACCTCTCACAGTATCCAGCAAAGAGAAGACATAAAAGGAGAGCTTGTTAAATGCTCTGAGTAAAGTTGTGGCTTTTTAAAGGCACTGATAGATTGGATGACATCTATGAATGTTGGGGTCATGGGAAATTATTTTACCTGCATCTTAGATAATTGATTTTTCTTGTATTCACTCTCAGTGAAGATCCCGGTGTTACACATCCAATCGTTCACCTCCTTCCAAGACTATGACATTCCAGGAAACCTTCACTGCTAAGAGGAACTAAGATCTAGAGTATCTCCTCGAGGAAGTACAACTGGTAAGTCCTTACCAGCGAGTTTAACGTTTGTTTCTAAAATGTACCAAATAACAACAAAGATCCCCCAAGCCTGGCAAACAGTACCCATGCCCCTGCCACATACCATGAAGCACAGCCTCTCAATGGTCAATGGCAAAAACTAATGTTTGTCTGTCCTAATGTGTATATTCTATAGAGATGGAAATGGCATTTAAAATGATTTTTATTAATGGAAAAATTTAGCACTATTGGTTTTATAACGTTCTAGTGAGCTTTATGGTCTCCAAAAAAGACTAGATAGGGCTCTGCAGTTTACCAGCTTTTTTCAACAAAGCTTCTTCTCTTTTACTCTCAGTATATCATATTATACTTTCAATAGAATCTGAAGATTTCTTTTTGAGTGGATTTCTATAGGGGTTCCACCTAATATAGTCCCTGGAGACCTATGCTGGCATCTGGTGAGTTTACTAATAATGGTGAGTGTAGTACTTGTATATTTTTAAAATTTCGGTAAAAAAATTCATAAAAATTACCATCTTAACCATTTTTAACTGTATGTACAGTAGTTGTAAACTAATTCACACTGTTGTGCTAGCATCACCACTATCCATCCACAGAACTCTTTTCATTTTGCAAAACTGAAATTCTGTATCTATTAAAAATGTTTATCCATTACTCCCTCACCTCAGCTCCTGGAAACCACCATTCTATTTTCTATCTCTATGAATTTGAACTCTAGATACTTCATATAAGTGGTTTCATACAATATTTGTTGTTTTGTGATTGGCTTATATCACCTAGCATATGTCCTTTAGGTTCATCCATGTTATAGCATGTGTCCGAACTTCCTTCTTGTTTAAGGTTTAATAATATTCCATTGTATGTATATGCCACATTTTATTTATCCATTCATCCATCCATGGACACTTGGTTTGCTTCCATCTTTTGGCTATTAAGAATAATACTGCTACAGATCTCTCTTTGAGTCCCTGCTTTCGATTCCTTTGGGTACAAACTCAGAATTGGAATTGAGAGATCAAATGGTAACTATGTTTTCAATTTTTTGAAGTACCACTACACTAGTTTCCATAGCAGTGGCACCATTTTACATTCCAGTAAGGATTTTAATTTTTCCGTATCCTCATCAATACTTATTAGTTTCTGTGTTTTTTTTTTTTAATGGTAGCCATCCTAATAGGGGTAAAGTGATATCTCATCATGGTTTTGATTTGCACTTCTTTAATAATTAGTTATGCTGTTTTTTTTCTGTGCTTACTGGTTACTTGTATATCTTTGGAGAAATGTCTATTCAAGTCTACTCATTTTTGAATCAGGTTGTCTGGTTTTTTTGTTGTTGAGTTTTGGTAGTGTTTTATATATTCTGGATCCTTTATCAGATCTATGATTGGCAAATGTTCTCTTCCATCCGGTGAGTTGTCTTTTCACTCTGTTAATTTCGTCCTTTAGTCCACAAAAGCTTTTAACTTTGATGTAGTTTAATTTATCTACTTTTTCTTTTATTGCATGTGCTATTGGTGTTATATCCAAGAAATCATTGAAAAAATCCAGTGTCATGAAATTTTTCTCCTATGTTTTCTTCTAAGAGTTTTATAGTTTTAGGTCTTACATTTAGGTCATTGATCTATTTTGTGTAGTAGCTGTTTTACCCCACCCTAGACTGTGAATTTCTTGAGCAGAGAGACGATGGCTTTTCATCATTGTATTCTAAGCACTTAGCATCTACCTGGCACGTAGTAAGTGCTCAGTTAATTTTAGTTGTGTGAAACAATTTCATCAGATATAATGAAAATAAACCAAAGATTATATTTTCAGTGATTTGCTAGCTTAATAATAATTAATTATAGCAGTTTCAAAAATTTTAAGTGCTTTGACAATCCACAAAGAAAGCTCTAAATTAAAAAGGCAATGCTGCTTTCAAATCTTTGAAGGACTTTTTGGCATTTTATTTATTTACTTTTTCCTGAGGATGTTTAATGAAATATTTGGATATTTGTCATAATAATTGTGCTCTTTTGGACTTAAGTGCCTTTATCATGGGCTCTGTGCACAGTTAGCTCTGTGGGGAAAATAAAGATTGCCCAAGAAGATTGTTTCTTTTGTCCACACATGGGTCCCTGAAACTCTGGGGAAAGCATGAGGTGAAGAGCTGGCCATGTTTGTTTCTTGTCTTTGGGTGAGTTATTCCACATCTCTGAGTCTCCCTTAATTTCTTCATTTAGAAAGCAAGAGGGGAAAATTAGAACCTGTACATGATTCCTTCTAGTTCTAAAATTATGAAAGTTTAGCTGTTGGTGACAAGACAATTCTAACAGGAGTAGAAATTCAACTATTTCTGGGAACAAACAAAGACAAGGTTTACCACAATCTGATCTCTCACAGAGAAACTTCCTACCACAAAAATAATTGGGATAGTTTGGGGGAAGGCTGTGGATCAGTCCTCAGAGTTATATTCCTGCTTTTGCCATAAGTGCTCGTGAAGAAGGGGGCTTTGAAAATAAAATAAAATAAAGTTACTATTATTGTTGTTGTTGTTGTTGTTGTTATTGAATCAGGGACAGCTCTACATTTTCAGCCTCTCCAGAGTGAATTGTCTTATATATATATGTGGCACAACCAGTTTAAAAGATAAAAGAGCTCTTGGTGACATTACTAGTTAAAAGTATTGAGGCTGGGCGTGGTGGTTCACGCCTGTAATCCCAGCATTTTGAGAGGATGAGGTGGGTGACTTGAGGTCAGGAGTTTGAGGTCAGCCTGGCCAACATGGCCAAATCTCGTCTATGCTAAAAATACAAAAAAATTAGCTGGGCGTGGTGGTGTGTGCCTGTAATCCCACTACTCGGGAGGCTGAAGCAGGAGAATCGCTTGAGCCTGGGAGGCAGAGGTTGCAGTGAGCTGAGATCGCACCACCGCACTCCATTCTTGGTGACAGAGTGAGACCCTGTCTCAAAACAAAAAACAACAACAAAAAAAATGAGTACCACACCCTACCAGTCCCACCTATACTCCATATGCCCCACATGTTTTGTGAGCCAGTTTCAACCATGTTTGAGAGACAATTACAACTACCATCTCCCTGATGGACACCTCTGCAAGAAGTGGCCTGTGGTATACTGGTATCTGATTCTGAGGTCTCTCTTCTACTATGGCCATTATTAGATCATTCTGAGACTGAGTATTAGGCTGTCTTTATGGTGCCAATTAAACAGCAAGTTCTAGCAAGGGCATCAGGGAGATCTGTGTTCTAACCTCTGCTCTTTCTGTCTATGTGAAGTTTGGGCAAGTACTTATCCTGCTGAGAATGGGTTTCTACAGGTCCAAAATAGTAAGGATTTTATCTTTTGTTTTATATGAGGGAGATATATATAAATATATACCTATAATATATATATAAAATATATATCTATAATATAAAATATATCTATATATAGATATATATAAAATATAGATCTATAATATAAAATATATAATTGATATCTGACATATGACATATATGATATATAATTGATACCTGTGACTTCTGATATCAATGATATTAATTGATATGTATCAATTATTATCATATAATATATATCTCTTATATATCATATAATTATATATCATATTGTATATATATAACTTTCAATCTGTTTCATCATTGAATGTAATAGTAACACTGATATATATCAATTATATATCATATAATATATATCAATTATATAATATACATTGTAGATATATAAAATATGTAATCCATCATTTTATGTAATATATAGTAGATATATAATATCTATCTGTATAGCTAATATATATATGATTGGATTGCTGAAAGAAAGGGAAAAATAGAAGGTGCTAATTTTTCTTTAGCGTCTTCTATGTGCTGGTTACTATGCCAGGTGTTTACATAAGTTATCCTATTAATGCTTAAACTGCTCTGTGAAGGAGCCATTGCTGGGCTCATCTTAGGGTGGGATGATTGATGCTCAGAGAGGTTAAGTGACTGCTTTAAAATAACACAGCAGATACATAGAAGAATCAGAATTTCAATGCATATTTGATCGGCTGGATCTAACACCACTGATCTTTCTTGGACATCCATATACTTTGACACAGCACAAAGCTGACATATTCTACACCCATGGGGACCTACGTCCCCCTCCTCTCACTGCTGAAATTGCTAATTTGCTTTCTTCTTTTGGAGTTTCTGAGAAAGAGAGCTCTCAACCTTTGAGTCTTCTGGTTTTTACCTTTGCTGAAGAACAAATATCACCTATTTTCCCCAGAAGTTGTTTTCTAGAGAAAAAAGCAGCTTTTGGTCTAATATGGGTGGCAGACAATTGCTCCAAAGACAAAGATTCAAACATAAGTGAAGCTTCATCTGTGATCTTGCCTTGAAGTCATTTTTCTCCCCCTTTTCCTTTTTTAAATTTACTCTCTAAAAACTTATTCTCTTTGGGGCCCTGGTGAGTATGATAGTGTCCCGATTCCCAGTCTGGGGCCCTAGATTCACAAAAGGCCAAGTTGACGTTCATTCTGCATCTGGCTTATTTGATGCCAGAGGAGCACCGAGGTCTCCTGAGAGAACCAGGAGAGATTTGCCTCCTGCAGAGGTTTGGATAAGCCCCAGCTAATCTCCGTGGCTTCTGAAGGGCACACCTGCTTGTCTGCCAGCCAGCAGCCTCCTCGCTCATTTCCCGTGGGATGGCTGGGGTCAGAGGGCCTCCAGAAAGCCTTTTATCTTCCCCCGCCCTACCAGGCCCCCCTCAGCAGCACCTGGGTCCACACTTAAGACTTCCTTTGAGGAGAGGTCGAGGCGATGTCCCTCCCAGAATGGGGGCCGGTGCCTTTTTCCTTCCTTTTGAGGCGGCTCGCTTGTTTCTTCCTTCTAAATCAGAGTTTGATTCAAACTTTATCATGCATGGCTCAAACTTCATCCCGTGGGGGCTAAGGTGATCTGAATTAGTTTCTGGGCTGCTGAGCTAGGGACACGTAGTAGGTGTTCAGTAAATAAAGATGATGTCTGATTATGATCTGCTTGAGAGTTCAGGAAAGATACACTGTCAACTTTCAATCTGTTTCATCACTGGACTAGAATACTAACACTGATAATATTAAAATGTCAGAAAATTGAAAAGTCACTTTTGTTTAGCTGTGGGAGGCAGGGGTTCTCCCTCCCTCTTTTCCTAAATCACATCTTCCTTCTAAATTATCTCTAGAAGTGGTTAGTAGTGAATTGTAATTATTAATAGTAATAATACTAGTTCTACTAGTATTTAGTAGTATTGATACTAAACTAGTGGTAATACTAATATTATTACTGCTAGTTATCTTTACTAATAAAGAGAATTAATAGTAAATCAGAGTTTGATTCAAACTTTATCATGCCTGCAACGAACAGTAGTAAAGTAATCATCTGGCCTTACAATATCTTTACTAATGAAGATAATTAGTAGTAATTATCCTTAGAAGTGATTGGTTTGTTTTCTGTGAGCATTCTGGTTAATATGGGTCAGAGACTGCTATTTAGCATAGGAAGCTTCTAAGGATTATCTTCTTTCTCTGTTTCTCTCTCTTTCTCTCTTTCTTTCTTTCTCTCTCTCATTTTCTGTACATAAAAATAGAGAAAGAATATTTTTGAAAAGGTTACTACTAATGATAATTTGTATAAGAATGTGGCTAAAAAATCAAATTAGGAAAACTATAATCTTCTCTTCCCTTGAACTCATCAGTTGTTGTACAGGTTTATCATCCCACTCTCTCCTAAATCCACTAATATTTGTTGAGCTTTTAGTCTAAGTCCCTGGGCTGAGTAAAATGCAATGATTCTAGCCCCATGGAAACTTCATTTTAGCTGGTAAGATAGGCCATCAGGGTTATGTAATAATTAATTGCTTGTGGATTGATGCAGTGATGATGAATTTGAGTGTTAAAGAACGAAGAAGGATGAGTAAAGAGACATCAGTTGCTCTGATTATGAATCAGGCACAAAATCAGAAGCTCATATATATTTCATTTATCTTTCCTAAAACCATGCAAGATAGACAGTATTATTCCCATTTTATAGATGAGGAAATGGGGGCTCAAAGACATTGAGTAATCTGGCAGACTCATTGCAGAGCTAAGACTATAATCCAGATGACACAACTAATACTTGAAACTCAAGGTGTAATTTGAACCTGGCACTGGATCCAAACAACCCTTGAATTCCATTCTGTTCAATCTATATGCAAACATGGCTGTAATTGAGGCAGAGAACTCTGTGTAGGCAGTCACTCTTGATATTAATACTGCAAAGTGATTTTTCAAAAAGGAGAACGAATGTAAAAATAATTTGCTAGCTAATTGCTAACTTTCCCTTTCAGTCTGGATTGTTTATGTATCAGGGTATGTGGTGACTTTAAACTATGGGTTTTAATTCTTTTAGCTGGAGTGCTCTACCTCTCCCTCTGCCTGCAGCATCCCCAGTAGCATGTTCCCGCTCCCCTGAATGCTTTGGCATTGTCTCTCCTCTGATAACGTATGTACAAATGGAGACTGCGTACCACCCTTTTCCCCAGCGAAGCACACAAACAGTAAGCAGACAGACACTATCTAGGAGGCTGCAACTCAGGACCATAATATTGTGGCAGAAAGTAGAAAATAAAACAGCCAGTGCTGGGTGCAGGATAATAGCATAATAAGATAAGTGCGAGAGAGTCAGGAGGCGGTAATGGCCCTGGAGATGGAGAAATTCTGGGAAAGTAGGGCAGTATAAAAGCGGAGACACCATCTGTGGGATCCAGGCAGTTGTGAGTGACTCCGAATGACACAATATGGAGATCTGTTCTACAACACAACAAATAGTAGTAAAGTAATCATCTGGGCCTACAATTGTCAGACATTCTTTGTTTGAAATGCCACCTTCCCAGCCATGAATACCAGTGTAGCCATGGTTATAAATGGCAAGGCTATAAATGGCCTCTTCCTCCAACCAATTCAATTTGCAGAAAGTGAGAATAAGAAACAATTTCCTCCCTAGATGGACTCTCCACTGGACTACAGTGTGCACTGCACATGCCCTCAAGCCAACTTATCCAAGTATAATAAACAGATGCATAGTTTAATAAATCTCTGTCCTCCTTCCCCCTAGCCTTCTTAGCCTCTAGTAACCTCTGTTCTACTCTGCTTCTGTGAGAGCAACTTCTTTAGTTTCCACACAAGAATGAGAACATGTGGTGTTTAACTTTCTGTTCCTGGCTTATTTAACTTAACATATTGTTCTCCAGGCTCTCATCCATGTTGCCGCAAATGACAGGATTTTATTCTTTTTTTATGGCTGAATAGTATTCCATTGGGCACATATACTACATTTGCTTTATCTGTTCATTTGTTGTTGGACACTTGGGTTGATTCCATATCTTGGCCATTGTGAATAGTGATGCAGTGAACATCAAGGTGTTGACACCTCTTTGACATATCAATTTCCTTTTCTTTGGATAAATACCCAGTACTGTGCCAGGCATGGTGGCTCATGCCTGTAATCCCCACACATTGGGAGGCTGAGGCGGGCGAATCACTTGAGGTCAGGAGTTCGAGACCAGCCTGGCCAACATGGTGAAACTCTGTCTCTACTAAAAATACAAAAATTAGCTGGGTGTGGTGGCAGGTACCTGTAGTCTCAGCTACTTGGGAGGTTGAGGCAGGAGAATTACTTGAACCTGGGAGGCGGAGGTTGCAGTGAGCCGAGACCACGCCACTGCGCTCTAGCCGTGCAACAGAGTGAAACTCCATCTAAAAAACAAACAAACAAACAAACAAACAAAAAAACCCAGTAGTGGGATTGCTGGATACACTTTTTAAGAAACTGCCATACTGTTCTTCATAGTGGCTGTACCAACCAGATGAGAGAGATAACTTCTAGTGCTTTAGCACACTGTAAGATGACTGTAGTTAACAATAATATGTATTTTCAAATAGCTAGAAGAGAGGATAGTGAACTTCCCAATACATAGAAATGACAAACATTTGAGGTGATGGATATGCTAATTCATCTGACCTGATCACTACACATGACATGTATCAAAATATCATGATGGAACCCCCCAAAATGTAAAAATATTTTGAAAATCTCAAAAATTTAAAAATAAAATTTAAAAAAATCTACATTAATAAAAAGCTATATCAGAAGGGATTGGGCAAGAAACTAAGCTTTACTGAAGGTGTCTATGTGCCAGGCAGAATGCTTGACATTTTGTATATATCATCTCATTTGGCCCTCATAACAACACTCTAAGGTTGATGGCATCATTTAGATTATAAAGATGAAGAGAAAGAGGCTCAGAGACATAAAATAACTTGCTCCACTTTACCCAGTGGTGGATCCAGCATTCTCATTTGGGACTGGGTGACTTTCAGATCAAGCTCTTTCCTCTACATGCATGGTTCTCAGAGGTTGAAGACGCATTATATCTCCTCCTCTCACATTCTTTGCCAATTATTCATTATCCAATAGAGGGGTTTTTTTTTTTGACATGAGATGCTTATCTTTAAGTCTCCAGAAATCTGGAATCAGCTAACCCAAACTTTCAAGTAATTAAAATGATTTTTCTATATTCCAACTTTAGTTGAAAGAGATAAAGAGAGATAAACCCATTAGCTTAAGAGTTTAGACAAAGCATTAACTTCAAGAATATACATTTATTTCAGTACACTTTTTCAGCTTAATCTTCTATACCAAGCTTGTGTAACCCATGACCCGTGGGGCACATGTGACCCAGGATGGCTTTGAAAGTGGCCCAACACAAATTTGTAAACTTTCTTAAAACATTATGAGATATTTTGCGATTAAAAAAAAAATCTCATCAGCTATCGCTAGCGTTAGTGTGTTTTATGTGTGGCCTTAGACAATTCTTCTTCTTCCAGTGTGTCCCGGGGAAGTCAAAAGATTGGGCACCTCTGATCTATACCTCCTACTCTATTGATCTATGACTGTTGAAATTTAGAATGATAACCCAAAGAGGTGTGACAAGGACCTAAATCATTAAAGAGGACCAAGGAAGAGAGTAGAGGAAAGAGTACTGACTGGAAAGTCCCAAGAATGTGGACTTGAATTCCTATGCAGCTACATAGATTGCTGCTCCAGGCAAATTGATCACTCTAACTCCAGTTCCATCAGCTGGAAGGTGGGCATGTAGTATCTCAAAAGACAGTTGTGAGAAGTCGGTGAGATAATGTGTGTATAAATCACCTAGCATAAGAAATGTATTGTACCTGCTCAATAAATCTTACTTTCCTTCATAAAGCAGAAAAATAATTTTCAACCACAAGTAAAACAAAGTGGTTGTTGGTCATTTAGAGTTTTTCCTTTTTTACCGCTAGGGTAGCATCAGTGAAGTGAGTCAAGAGACTTGGGAATACTGAGGCCGTTTTGCCTACAGAAAAGGCAAAAGTGCACTCCCAATATGGAATTTATTTCTTGGCAAGCAGTTCTCTGTCTCCTATACTACTCTTGCTTCTATCAGTGAAGGTTCTCACCATTATATGTCATATATTGACAACAACAACAAAAACACAGAAGATTAATGACCAACAGTAGAAATCACCAGTTTATTGCTTTAATTCAACAGCATAATTTTCTCTGAACAGATTTAGCCAACGGAAGCAAATGGTATAGTACTAGGCTTAAATCTCTATGCTGACTGCATTTCCCTACAATCCATTGTTTTATGGCTCTACCCTATAACCAGACAGCACAATCACCTTTAGAGACACTTTTCTCCTTATTTCATCAGGGGCTATGAATCCAGATAGGTCACATGCACACTAATGACCTCTACCTGTTGAAGACCACGACAACAGGAAATGCTTTGAGAAAGATATTTAATTGTATTTACAAATGAACCTTGAGAGAGGTAACATTGGGGTTAAGAGCACTATCTCGCTTTATAGTGAAGCAGACCTTGGTCCTGGATCTACCATTTATAATCTTATGATACTGGGAAAGTGATTTAATTTCTCTGAGCCTCATCTTTCTCTTTCTGTTTCTTTCTTTCTTTCTTTCTTTCTTTCTTTCTCTCTCTCTCTCTCTCTCTCTTTCTTTCTTTCTTTCTTTCTTTCTTTCTTTCTTTCTTTCTTTCTTTCTTTCTTTCTTTCTTTCTTTCTTTCTCTCTCTCTCTCTCTCTCTTTCTTTCCTTCTTTCTTTCTTTCTTTTTTTTTTTTTTCCAAAACAGAATCTTACTCTGTCACCCAGGCTGGGGTGCAGTGGCGCAGTCTCGGCTCACTGCAAGTTCCGCCTCCCGGGTTCACGCCATTCTCCTGCCTCAGCCTCCCGAGTGGCTGGGACTACAGGCGCCCGCCACTGCGCCTGGCTGATTTTTTTGTATTTTTAGTAGAGACAGGGTATCACCGTGTTAGCCAGGATGGTCTCGATCTCCTGACCTCGTGATCCGCCCACCTCGGCCTCCCAAAGTGCTGGGATTACAGGCGTGAGCCACCGCGCCCGGCCTCTTTTTTTTTTTTTTTTGGAGACCGAGTCTCAATTTGTTGTCCAGGCTGGAGTGCAGTGGCCTAATGTCGGCTCATTGCAACCTCTGCCTCCTGGGTTCAAGGGATTCTCGTGCCTCAGCCTCCCAAGTAGCTGGGACTACAGGCATAAGCCACCACATATGCCTAATTTTTTGTATTTTTAGTAGATACGGGTTTCACCATGTTGGCCAGGCTAGTCTTAATCTCCTGATCTCAGGTGATCCACCTGCCTCGGCCTCCCAAAGTGCTGGGATTACAGGCGTGAGCCACTGAGCCCAGCCTGCATTTCTTATTAGTAAAATGCATGGTTTATGTTATAAGCACTTAACAAATATAAGTCATTAAATACAATTAGCTTTCTGTTTATCCTTCTGTTGACTTCACTAAGCTACCTTATGACCTCTTGAAACTGAGGTATAGTTTATCCCCAGTGATTCTAAAAATAGTTTACAACCTCAGTGATTTCTCCTTGAATTGGCCAGACGGACACAGGTATTTGGGGCTTCTCAGTTGAAGACAACACAATCCTGTGATATCACCCCCGGCTCCTGCTATTTCTTTCCCTATCTCTCTTGCTTATTCCCCTCTCCTATGGAGGGGGTGTCACTAGGCTAATGTCAAATGGCAGATGTGGGACTTTCATCAGGAGCCCTGAGCACAGAGACCATTTTATCTATTTGCAATGATTTGTTTCTTACTGCAGCACTACTCTTTAGCATTATTGATCCCCTCTGCCTTTGACCCTGGTTTGTAGCAGGAGCAGTCAAGGGGGTGGGGGCGCTGGAGACTGTCTGGCGTTGTACCGAATTTAATTCCTCTTTACGTTTGCATATGCCTTCCTGTTCTACATTAAAATGCTTCATACTATTGCAGTGGAGTTGAGGGTCTGCATCTTTTGTGTCATGCTTCTCAATATAGTAATGACTTCTCCCAGGGTCAGAATCTGTTCCCTGCGTGGCTCCTGCTATCCCAGTTAGGGAAGGGGCTCTCAAAGCTTGGGTTTCCTCTCCAGGAAGTTGGGTCAATACAGTTTCTGAATGAAGCAAGGAGGGGGCTGGAGAAGAAATTATTTAATCAGCACATGTAAATAGAAATGACATAATGAGATGGGGAGAAAAGGGGGACTCTAGGCTAAAAGTGGAGATGTCATGTTTCTTCTCCCCTCCGCCCCCCACAAGAGTTGAAGGTTTTCTTGAATTACCTTCTAGGGCTTCAGTGAGAAAGGAAATCTGAAAATAAGCAATTTTTTTTCTTATTTTATTTTACTCATTCAAAGAACAGTTAGGAATATTAGTCACCCCAAATCATCCTTACTTGCCAAACTACTCTAGCTGACCACATGCTTATTCTGGATCCTGCATGATAATCCAAGTCACCTGTCTTTTTTGTTGTCTCAAGACACGTGTCAGTGCCTCTAGACACTTTGAAGCCTAGGGTCACTTAGAAAGGAGAATAATATCTCTGGGGGAAGGTAGGATAGCACCACTTGAATCGTTTAATTTTCTGTAAGGTAATGATGATCATTTGAATGAGTTGCAAATATATGGCGGAAAAATAGGCTTCCGGTCCACAGAGAAGGGATCAATAAAGACCCTGTCTGTGTGGTAAAGTAAATCAGAGAGTTGGAGTAATTGTTTTAAAAATTTGCTCCCAAACCTCTCATGAATAGATACATAAATGGATATGAGAGACAGTCATGCATCATACATAGTCATGCTTTACTTAACAATGAAGATATATTCTGAGGACTGCATCATGAAGTGATTTCATTGTTGTGTGATCAGCATAGAGTGTGCTTACACAACTTTAGTTGGTATAACCTACTACACACCTGAGCTATTTTGTATAGCCTATTGTTCCTAGGCCACAAACCTGTACAGCATGTTACTGTACTGAACACTGTAAACAACTGCAAAACAAGTATTTGTGCATCTAAACATATCTAAATATGGAAAAGGTGATGTGTTATGCTATGACGTTACGATGGCTATGACATCACTAGGAGATAGGAATTTATCAGCTCCATTAAAACCTTATGGGACCACCATTGTATATGTGGTATGTTGTTGACCAAAATGTTGTTATGCAGTAGATATCTGTGTGTGTGTGTGTGTGTGTGTGTGTGTGTGTGTGTGTGTGTGTGTATTTTTTCCCCTCAGGCAGGTGGGGATAGGGTGGTTAGAATGATGATCTTTATTCTAAAATTAATTTCATTACAGAACTAGCAATAAACTAGCAATATTGTCAAAATTGTCAACTAATCAGTGTCTTAAATTATAATAAATAGAAGGTGAAAGACAAATAGTTGACTATCACACCATAGCCCTTAGTCTAGTTTTCTGTATGATACAATCATTTTATTTTTTTGCTGGCATGGCTAGCACCAAGCATCTTAGTCCATCACATACACTCTATTGCTTTAACTTGTTGCTATGGCAACCTCAACATTCTCCCACAGTAAAAAAAAAAAAAATTAAATTTGTATCTATGAATTTGTAAAAAACAACTATAAGATTAAATAAAACCCCAGTCACATTAGTCTGTTTCATATAGCATTCTGGGAAGATTTCCATAATAACAATTATTGCATATAATTTCATGAGCTGCAATCCATAAATAATCTTTCTTGGGAAAGTATGAAATATTCAGGCTCTTCCATGGGCAAATGGGCAAGTACCTTATTCAGTTATTCACCATCTCTTGAACACCTATATATGCCACTGTATTAAATTCATGTATTAAATAAAGTATACTTCAGTAAAAAAAAGAAGACCCAAAAATATATAAAGATTTTTAAAGATAGAAGCCTATTTTCTCCTCTTGTAATTGTCCAATACATTGTTTCTGGTCAGTAGTAGCTGATACAGTGATTCAGGAGTCCAAGTTCTTTCCATCACACGGGTCAGCCAGCTCCTTGCTGTTTATCAACCTCTGCATCCACTTACCTGACAGCAGGCCAAAGACCGTGGCGTGTTATAAAAATATGGCTGGGCATGGTGGCTCACGCCTATAATCCCAGCACTTTGGGAGACCATGGTGGGTGGATCACTTGAGGTCAGGAGTTCGAGACCAGCCTGGCCAACATGGTGAAACCCTGTCTCTACTAAAAATACAAAAAATTGGCCGGGTGTGGTGGCAAGTGCTCAGCTACTCAGGAGGCTGAGGCGAGAGAATCACTTGAACCTGGGAGGCGGAGGTTGCAGTGAGCCGAGATCATGCCACTGCTCTCCAGCCTGGGCGACAAGAGCGAGACTCTGTCTCAAAAAAAAAAAAAAAGAAAATTATTCCCAGCACTTTGGGAGGCCGAGGTGGGTGGATCATGAGGTTAGGAGATCGAGACCATCCTGGCTAACACAATGAAACCCCGTCTCTACTAAAAATACAAAAAAAATTAGCTGGGCATGGTGGCAGTCACCTGTAGTCCCAGCTACTTGGGAGGCTGAGCCAGGAGAATGGTGTGAACCCAGGAGGTGGAACTTGCAGTGAGCCGACATCGCACCACTGCACTCCAGCCTGGGTGACAGACCAAGACTCCATCTCAAAAAAAAAAAGTTACATATATGGAGGCTTTTATAACACATCATATAAATATATATAAATATAACACATCATATATATACATATGTATACATGTATATATATGAAATATAACACATAATATATATGTATATATACGTGTATATATATATGATGTGTTATAAAAGCCTCCAAGTGAAATACCTCACATCTGTTCATTTTCCATTGGCTAATTATTATCCCATGGCCACATCTGGATGGAAATTGAGCTGGAAAATGTAGTCCCTGGCTTGGTAGCAGCTTCCCAGCAGCAACTCAGTGCTAGGGGAGAATTCTGAATTTAATAGATAGCTGGCTAGCTCTGTCACCATGCAGGTAGGTAGAAAGATGAGTAAGACATGCTTGTAACCATGAAGGGTTCACAGTTTTGGGGGGAGAAAGTCATGTAAACATGTACGTGCTATAGTAAAAGGCTGAGCTGAGTGCCCTGGGGAGCAGCTACCTCTACTTGGCAGGGTTGGGACTGCTGGTGGCACTGCCTTTAAAGGCAGCTGTACCTTGAACTGATAAGGAGAACTACCGTAAAGTAATTTTAAAATAATGGACTGGCTTAAAAGCACGTGTGTAGGAGTGGGAGACTACAGGAGGTGGAAATGAAGAGGAATAATTAGATAATGTAGTTGTCCCTGCTGGTTCTTAAGTGATAAGCCTATATTTCTCCCTCGCTCTTCACTTGCCTTATCAAGAGTGGGTGACCTTGATGAGACTTTTTCAACACTGTATCTTTGGTTCCTTTTAATCTCCTGTCAGTTGCTATCACTGTCAGCATGACCTACCTCCAGTGAAAAATTCAGCTTTCCTTTAAGCCTTACCAGGAATGCTAAATTATGAGGAAATGTCAGGATGGGAGGATGCTATAAACACTAAGGACATATTACTGGAGGCGGGGGTCATGGAAGGACACTGAGGTCTCTTCCCTCAACACTACAAGGACTCAGAAGTCTGTATTTTTGCCTTCTGGATCTTTTTACAGTTGGAGTTGATATACTTTGTCAGTTGAGCACTGTCTGTCTCCAGTGCTGACTATTGTTATATTCTAACCCAGTGAATTGTGAATCGAGATTTCCATGCCTGGAGGAGGAATAACCAATTACCAGTGCACCAAAACACACCAAGACCCAGGATATAATCTTTTTGGCAGGTGGGGCAATTGGCGGATTTGTAGTTGTAATGTTCTTTGAGGTCCACTCATGAAACAAATATTCAAGTGAAACGGTAGCCATAAAATATGCTTTGAAACGTTACAATTACTACAATCCAAATGAAAGAAGGTACAGAGTAATTATTATCAATATCTCAAATGGAGAATTTTGGTAGTGATATTTGCAGTGGGTCAAGAGTGTTGCACTTCAACAAATCCCTCTTACCTAAGGGAAAACCAAAGTTAGACTTGTGTTAAGCATTTTCAGTAATTCTATGGGACACTATCAATCATAGTGAGCATGGTAAGAAATTGATATTGATAAAAGAAAAAGACATTACCCTCAAGTATTTGGAGTTTAGTTTGGGAGACAGAACCAAGAAACATAAAGTAATTGACAAAGCATGGATGTAAATGCAGCGTCCACAAGCAGAAGAAATTGAAGCAGTTAGATTATTAGATTAAAAAAACCCTTATCTATGAGTTATTGTATATACTTATGCATTTTGCCATGGAAGAGATTAGTTTTTTCTCTCTTTGAATGCTTTTTAAGAAAAAAGAAGAGAATTTCATACATTTGCTTGGTTTTCAGATCTTGGCTTTTAAATTCTGGTTGTGGCTTGGCTTCTCTTGTACTCTAAAACAGCTCATTAGTCACTTGAGAGCCTTGAGCCTTAGTTTCTATAAATCTATAAATGGACAGTTGAAGTGATGACTTATATCCTACTTTTTTCTACAAGTGTTAGATTCTAAGTGTATGCAGCGAGTGTTTGTACTTTTCATTATGGTTGCCTTTTATATCCTGCATTTGATTGATTGCATGATGGAAGCTTTAATCATGATATGGCCCCTCTTCTCCTCTCCCCCCTTCTCCTAAGCTACTGGTCTTGCTTTCCCCTACTCTTTCTTCCCTAGACTTTAATCTTTCCAAATTCAGTACTTGAATTTTTTTTTGAAGGAATTGAGATACTGAGGAGAGAGATTTGAAGACCTAGACCTCAAAAAAGGCAAGATCTTTCTAACTCTTCTAATTTGTGTCTGTTACATTGAGGACATACTGGTTTATTCTTCCGAATGAGGCTTTCTTTTATTTATGTTTTTATTGATGGAATAGTGACCTACAATTTCTAAAGTATGTTGGGCTCCAAAATTATTTACCTTGACTTTACCCAAAAAAAGTCACAAGCTAAGATTCCGCTAAAGACAGACATTTCTGAGTGATGAACTAGGGCCAAAGAAAGTTAATCAAGGCACATAGAGTCGGGTCCTTTGGGCCCAAGCAGCATAGAGGATCCCTGGAGATGTTTTGATCAGTGAGGGCAGGACTGACTATTGTTTTAGCAATTTCTCCCACGTAATGAACAAGTGGCCTCTCTGGCAGGGATGGAACGTTCCAATGAAGGCTACATCACAGAATAATCTTGCCATTTTCACACAAGGTCATTCAATCATACTTCACAGTTATAAGTGATCTAACTTTCCAGCAATTGAAAGGCTTCTATATATGGAATCCTTGAGTAAAGTCAATTCAGGCTCTGTGTGGGCCCTTAAGTTATATCAATAATAAGAAATGCTGTCATTTTGTTTCTCTTCCAACTAATTTTAAGTTTCAAAAGAGCTCTGAGTGGCTAATATTAATATCAACTAGCTAATGTAGATACTAACCAGAGTTTTGATTATAGCTGTAGCAAACTTTCTACATTTAATGTTGATGCATAACTGCAGGCTCTGGTGATAAGAAAGCAGCCTGCAGTTTCAGAAAGTAAAAGCTCCTTTAGGATAATGTATATAGCTATTTAAGGTCCTCCTCAAATCTGAACTGCCCCTACTCTGGAGGTGTTTATGTGTTGAATATGTACTGACAATCAGTATGGGAAAGAATTGAGACCACTAACTGACACTCCTATCTACTAATAAAGATTGTTATCCTTCTTTTTTTTTTTTTTTTTTGAGACAGAGTCTTGCTCTGTCTCCCAGGCTGGAGTACAGTGGTGCGATCTCAGCTAACTGCAACCTCCGCCTCCCTGGTTCAAGTGATTCTTCTGCCTCAGCCTCCCAAGTAGGTGGGACTACAGGCATGTGCCACCATGCCCGGATAATTTTTGTATTTTTAGTATAGACAGGGTTTCACAATATTGGCCAGGCTGGTCTCGAACTCCTGACTTCGTGATCCACCCGCCTCGACCTCCCAAAGTGCTAGGATTACAGGTGCGAGCCAGCGCACCTGGCCTATCCTTCTTTTTTGGTTTTCTATTTTTTTCTTCTCTTCTAGTCCCAATTCTTTTTTTTCTTCTACTACTCTTTCCAACTCTAATCTGTTCTCCTGTATATAGTCACCTTTTGATTAACTATGACAATTAAAAACCCCAGGCTATCCTTACCGATCGTTATCACACATATTGCTAAACCTAGAGTATGTGTATTGGGGGGCAAACTAATTAAAATTTATCTTCAACAAAATCCAATTTTAGAGGCAGGTGTCTGTGCACACACATGCACGTGGGTGTGTGTTTGTGTGTCTGTGTGCATTTGTGTGTGTAGAGGGGAATTATGAATCAAACAATGTTTTAGAATTATCAATTTTCTTATTTTATTCATAGCAATGCTACTGTAAATTAGAACAGGCAATCTAGTGTAGATTATGCCTTAGGTTTCTACAGTCTTAGAAATAGGTATAAAATGTCTTATTCACCTATTTGTTGTTTTTATAAAGCTCCAGAATGTATGCATCTATTAACAGACCGTATTGTTCAGCATCTTACTCTTTTTGTGGCTCTTCTGGGATAAATTGTATCACATCTCGTGCAAATGGGCTAGTGGCTGCTTTCAAGGCTTACCCAGGTAGCTATTTATCTTGCTAACACTTGGTAAATGGCAGTGATAAATGATCATGTACTTCCCAGGAACAGAAGTGTATTTCCAAAGGTCAAGCACATTTGAGTGATCTGTTGATGATCTGTAAGAGAGGAAACTAGGAGCCAAGGCAAAACAGAACAATAGAAAAAGCTGAAAGTTCCGCAGAGAGCACAGTGGCCCTGAGCTGGGAGGTGCTGAGCAGAAGGACTCTGGTTCTTTCTAACCACTATTCCTTCACAACAGTTCGTGAACTTGGTGAACACATAATCTTGGAATCTAGTGGTGCCAAGGCCTTTGAGAGGGCCCTAGATCCTCTGTAACTGCTTGTATCAGAGTGAAATGTGGTAGAAATCCTGAAAGGATGGTCTTTCATTGTCTCCGAGACATGTCTTAGTCATCCTTCCTCCTCAAGGGCCTTTTCTGTAATTATCTGCTTTGCCACTTAAAAAGCCCTTTACAGGCATTCATGCTGAAACTCACAGCTCCATGAATTGTTGTCTCCATTTTTCAGAGCCTGGGTTATTAGATGCAGCAAGGTTAGGGTAATTGGCCAAGAGCAGACTGTTTTGCTCTGAAATGAAACTAGACATTTAGGATGCCAGTTCTAAAATGTTATTCCTTAATCTTTCTGGATCTGAATTGCAATTCTTTTATGTATGGCTTATGGAGTAATTTATTTATGCATTCAACACACATTTCCTGAATATCATTTTGTACCAGATTAGAGTTGGAGAAATTAAGATGAGTAAAATATGGTCTCCACCCTCAAGGATTTCAGGCAAGAGGAAAAGAGAGACAGAAATGAAAAGAATTATAATACGATATGACTAATAAGGTAATAGAAAAACAAGTGCAGGGAACAGAGCTCCCAACTCTGTCTGAGAACTTGGGAGGTTACAGGAGATGTTGTTTGATCTGAGTCCTGGAGGATTATTGGGGTTTGCCAAACAGACAGAAATGGAGAATGGCATTTTCCACAGTGACTTATCTAGGCATTCTCCAGCAACATCCACACCTCCTTTCCTGAAACTCTCAACAGATGAACTCTCCTTGCTGAGAAGGTTGGGACCATCTGACATGAGTTGCCTCAACTTCCCTCCATATCAAAATTATCTGTATCTTCATCTGTCTTCTCCTTCTTCTACTTGAATCAGAAAATATAGTGTCTTCCTTCTTGCTGAGACTAGGGCTCCCAGCTGGAACCACTGCATGCAAGCTCTCCATGTTCTCTCCTCTTTCATAAATTGTCTCCAATTTTTCTCTACTGATAAGTTCCATTCTGATAACAAACAAGATACTCCTTATCTGGAAGGAGAAAAAAACTGCTTTGAATTATGCACAATCCCACCCTCCTTCCACCTTCAAGTCAGACCTGGCCACCCTTGCCTTGCCATCCTTCCCAGAATTGTCTGCACACATTTCCCTGAGATGACATAGCACACGGATCTTCTCCTACTACAGGTCAGGGACCGAGTAAGCTCTTCTTACATTCTTTGCACCTAAGACACATAAAAGGTTTTTAATAAATACTCCTCCAATGAATAAATAAATGAGGCTTTTGAGTAAGCTCTCTGGGTCTCCTTAAAAATTTGCAGATGGTAGTAGCACTTGATTACTTGGGAACTTCAGATAGGAGTGGGGAAAGATTTAGTTCCTCTGTGAATGTGTTTTCTGAATATGAATGGGAGTGAGCATGTGGTTAGGTATTACTTAGTTGGCTAATCAGAATGCACCTGTCATCTGGACATCCTCTGTCTCCCTGTCTAATTCTCAGACATTGTCTACATCTATAAGTCCACCCAGCTAAGGCAGCAATGATACCAGTGTCTCCAGACCTTTTGGTCATACCTCTTGTTTGGGCAACCTCTAGAAATGAGCTGCCATTCCCACCCCCAACTGCCATTTCCTTACTGCCTTTCCTTTTGCCATTTTTACCAGCAAATTCTGTAAGTGTGATTATGTCCATGGAACTTTTGGATCACCACCTCTTTGAGCCAGCTCCAGTCATCCTCATTATATTTCATGTGCATGCTTTAATAAAGCCCTTTCACTTATTGAAGTACTGTCACTTACTTTAGTTCAATTGGCCATGGCAACAGAGGGAGTCTAATAATAATGTCAGCAATGTAAAATTAATGATGGATAATGTGCTGAGTGTCTGGTACCAGAATCGATACTTTATACATTATTCCATTTCATTCCTAAGTAATGACTAATAGTGCAGGTGCTAGAGTTTGGGCTGACTAGATGTGAATTCTGGCTTCACTTACCAGCTGTGTGACTCTGGATAACGAACTCGCTATGCCTGTTTTCTGATAAGAAAGTGGGGGCATAGTACTGGTATCTATTCCGAAGAGTTATTGTGAGTAGGAAATAAGATAATGCATGCCAAGTAACATGCACAGTGCCTGACACAAAGTATGCAGTAAGCCTTATTATTATTATTAATCCTCACAGTAAGCCTGTTACTAACTGCATTTTAACAGATGAGCAAAGAGAGGCTTAAAGTCTGGATTCGAAGTTGATGTGGCTAACCACCATTTGTACCACCTCTTGTGCACTGGCAGTCATACATTATTATTAGATTGGATTTAAGGGCTTGGGCCAATTGGTCTTTAAAAGTAGTGAACTCTTCTGGCATATTATTTGATTGTTTCTGAATTCTCATTTTCCCAGGTGGTATGTGCCAGGCCCTCTGATCTTTCTCCCTCATCTCTACCCCCCACCAGACTATAGAAATAAACTTCTCAGTTTGCAAGGGCAGAGCAGTTCCCTGCTATGGTTGAGTGGCCACATCCCAGCCGCTGACCTTCCCACCAGCTGTCACACCCTCTACCTGCTGCCAAGTGGCCCTGGAAGATCATCCAAGTGATTTCCTGCCCCTGGAAACATCAAAGCCACCCTCTCCTCCGCCTCATTCTTCCCACTGAATGCGCCACTGGTTGGTATAAATGGAGACAAGTGCTGAGCAGTCTCGACCACTTGGGAAGAATTCAGGTCCATGGGTGGGGGCGGGGCCTCCATGGCTAGGGCAGGGAGGTGAAGTCCCCTGTAACATCCAGGGATGTGGTCAGACACTCAGGCCCTAAAAGCACCCATGAGAAGACTAGTAGATTAGGTGTGTAATCCTGTACCTGGCACCTGCATTGGTCTCAGAGGGAGGCCAGTTGCCTTGAGTTATTATTTCCATATCGTATAATAATCAGGCAACTGTTTTGAGATCATGTCAAAGATAACAAAGCATCAGAAGCCTCTTCTGTTGCTGAAGAACCAATCAACCTAAACTAATACTTTAATGACCACTTTTCCCAAAGAGAAAACAAATTCAGGCAAAAAAAAAAAAAAAATGAAGCAGGGAGCTGAGAAGAAACTTGTCTGGTCAATGAAAAGAAAAAAGAGACGTCTGGAGCCATGGCAATGGAGCAGGGATTACTTTGATCTGGAAAATAGATTTCTTTTTTTTTTTTTCCTCCAGTGCTTTTTCTCAGGCAGCCAAGAGATGCTATTGAGCTTGATTACGGAGGCCCTTTCAGAATGAAGGGGCACCTCAGAGGAGAATTGAATGACTGCTTTCAGGGACAGCTACTTTAATAGTCTCATGTTTGAAAAATATGCAATTAAAGGAAATACTATTACAAATAGCCTCTATTTGTTGCTTTGAAAATACTATCGATTAACTGAAAAATGAGAGAGGTGTGCAAGATTATTATGTTAAGTGTAAACTACAGATTGAAGGAGGGAAACACACACACACACACAAACACACACACGATCTACTTACAAACACCTAAAGAGATGGTGGAGAAAACACATTGTATGAATCTTAAGCTCTCTATTCCTCTACACATAAAAATGACTTTCAGGGAAAGCCTTGCCCACCAGAGTTTTCAGTCACTTTCTTCATGTCACCACTGTTAATAAAAATAAAAGTGTTATTGGTTTAGGATTCCATTTCGTGTAAGCTTCGTCTGCAGCAGTTGGGGGCCTTTATGCGTGAGAATGATGCTTTTTAATGAATGTTCTGTGGGCATTTTAAATGAAACAATAGAGATTCTGGGCAGTTTGATCTTGCATTTTCCACTGATATTTGCCTTCACCTCTCAGCCCCCTGCCAAGTCCCTTTCCATGCCACCTCCTGCCTGCTCATGACATCCCCGCTCCTCTCAGATCTTGCCCTGTGTTAATTGGGAGATATTCAGCAGACAAGTGGATGCGTGTCTTTAGTGCAGGATAAAAGAAGACTTTGTCCTTCCCAAAATAGACAGAAGCATCTCTGGCTATTCTTTTAAGAGATTTCCAAAATCTTTGTCCAGGTAACGTGCCTCATTGTCATGGCAACAGCGGGATGGTTCCTGTCTCTTTCTTTTTTCTTTTTTCCTGGCCTTCATAGATCTATTTAACACTTTTATAACTGATTTATACCTGCCATTTAAAAGTGGATGTTCTATTCATCTGCATACTTGTAGAAAATAAGAAGACTGAAAGTGTAATTACTACTTTTAGGCATTTGATCTTTTTTACTCTCCCGGGAAAAGTTGACCAGAGGTTTATTTGTTAGTCCCTAATCTGTATGCACATTAGCCCAAGATAAGATGGAATTATACCTTTTCTTTTCTTTTTTAAGCTAAAATTTGATAGGCATTTATGATGAACTAGGCAACTGGGCTAAGCCTTTTATCTATTTTTAATCCTCAAAACAAATTCATGTATAAGCCCAATTATTGTTCCCATTTTACAGACGAGAAATGGAATCACTGAGAGGTTGAGTAATCTGCCTAACATCACAGCTCACAAGTGGTCAAGCCAGGAGGCCCAAGGTGACTGCAAGCCCAAGACATGGCTGTGTCACAGGCATTTGAGGTGGTCTCCTCAGAGGAGATGACCTACTATTCTGCCACACATGAAAAGAGAGCTGAGATTGGGGCTAGATTTTTAGCATGAAGGGTTTACATCAGATCTAAGTAAGACTGTCTTCATGGAAAGGATAATTTGACATTAAAATGAGAGGTTAAGGGAGTTCTGGAAACTTCTTTGGAATCTGATGGTGTGGAAACCTGGCAACAGAGGAACAGGCCATTCTAGTTCTCTTCTCTTCTAGAACCAGAGGATCTTTGAGGATTCTCTGATTCCGTAGGGGTGAGACAGACTGATGTTAAAAAGGAGAGTCAGAGACCTGTCTCTTGATGCACAATGGAGTGGACTCTGCTGGCTCTTGAGGCCAGGAAAGCACAATCCCTGGTGATCCAAGTACAACAAAGGCCTCTCTGTGGCAGAACCGCAAACCTCCCCGCAGGGACAGGTGCTTTCCTACACCCTCTTTGGAAAACGGCTAAATGTCCATCTCAGGTGCCCAATGACTCATCTGGAGTTGTCAGGGCCCTGTATTAAATTCCTTTAGTTTCTCTACATATCCTGCTTGAATTCTTCTCATGACCTTTGCAAACCCTGGGCCATCTCCCTGGAACAATCTTTCTCTCTCACTTCAGTGGCTCATCTACTTGAGAGGAAGGATAGCATACCAGTTAAAGGTGTGGTCTCTGGAAGCCAGCCTGCCTGGGTTTGAATTTTATTTCTACCATATACTAGTAACCGTGGGTAAATTATTCTGTATTAGCCCGAGTTTTCTTATCAGTAAAATAGGGAGATATAATAGCATCTGCTTTGTAGAGTTATTGAGAGGATTAAATGAGGCGATACATATAAAGTTCTAAGAAGAGAGGACACATTCAGTAATTCATTGTTATTATCATTATACAATCCTTAAAATTTCAGCCTAAATACCTGACTCATTAAATAACCTTCTCATGGTTCTATAGACTGGGGTGGCTGTGGCTACTTTGTGCCTCTGTCTTAATCTGCACTTCCCTTAGCCTGACAGGATTGCTTGTTTTCTGTCTTCCCCGATAAACTGAACAGGTTACTGGAGGAAGGGACCCTGTCTTGCTCACCTGCATACAGTGTATTGTTGTGTGTGATATTTGCCCTCAGACAATATGAGGAATGGGAAAGCCAGCCTGGACTTGAGTAGGACAAGGAAAAGTTTTGTTAATATCTCCAAGAAATTATTTAGGAAGTTTTCTCTTAACCTAGTACAGTCTTAGGCGTTTATTAGTTGGGGGATGGGGGAGAGAGAGAGAAGGCATGTATTATGAAATGTATGCTTTCATGAGAGACCCAAGCAAAGGAGACATCTAAGACATAATTAACCAATCAGGGCAACACAGAGAGTGATCAGTAGGAAATGGAATTTTATTAGGAAGGCATGTGCCAGAGACAAGGTTTCTGGTGAGCCTTTGAGGATGCAAAGAACGCAGTGAAGCCGAGGAGACTATTTAGGAAAGGAGAGCATGAGGAAGAATGCAGAGCTGGAGACAACCACTGGGCTGAAGCTGAGTGATGAGTGGAGTGTGAGGCTAGACTGGATGGAGCTGGGTTCTGAACTGACAGCTCCATAGGAGGTAATCAGCCCTGTGGTTAAGGGCATGGATTCTATAATCAGATAGCCCTGGTTTGAGTGCTGACTCAGCTACATACTGGGGAAGTGGCCAAGGGCAAAAATACTGAATCTGCCAAGCTTCAGTTATCTTCTCTGCAAAAGGAGAGGAAAGGAAGAGTCTCTCCCTCATAGCCTTCCTGTGAGGATTAAATTATGTGATTCATGAATAAGTTGAAGCCTGGCATCTAGTGAGTGCTCTGCCATTATTTGCTTTATTATCAAATTTACCTCTCTGAATTTTTGATTCTTCGTTTTTCTGACTCCAAAGGTTGATGAGAGACATTTTATTTCCATGTCAACTAAGGAAGAGTTTTGCCTATTTCCTCTTGTTAAAAAAAATCCCAATTGTATAATTGATTGATCAGGCATTTAACTTCATGAATTGTGGGGTTACAATTTGCAAAAGGATTATGCCTTTCGCTAATCTGACAGTCTGGTGGGGTGGGCTGGGGATGTGTGATTATTCCTTTTGCAGCTGAGGCAACTGAGCAATGGAAGTTTAGAGAATTTTTCCAGAGTTATGCAGTTAGTGAATGGAGCACCATTAACATGCTCAGGATTTCTGACACCAGGGTAATTCCCTCCTCTGCCCCCATCAAACAGGTGCGTTTCTTTCTGATGACACCAAAGTCCTCTTTCCTGATCTCTGCCAAATCGTTTTGGAATTTGTATCCCATCATAATTTAAAAATTTGCTAAAGTGAAAATGTAAAAAGGCATTTCAAGGCCAGTGATTTTGCATTCATTCTCCCTAAAGGTAGGTAATTGGAAGAAAATTACAAGAAAAAAGATCAATTTACCAGATAATCTGCCTCAAAAACATCACAGATCTGTTGTACTAGGTAGACAGAGCTGAAGCACAAGACAGCCCTTGTGCTTGCTGCCTCTGCACAGACCACAGACATTACATATGCCAGGAATACTATGGTTCACTGTAGAGATTTTTTGTTATTTTGAGCTCACAGAGCTTATGCTATTACAAATTGGATTTTTAGTTTGGAGTATTTGACTCCATTATGTGATTCCGGCAGAAGACCTTGTCACCCTTGCCTACTTAAGCAGAACATCTTCCAGCAACCAGAAGGGAATCTTTTCAGGAGCGAGGTGAGAAGCTGCTGGTACTGTAAATCCCTTTCCAGGTACTACAAGAGCAATTGAATGCTGCTTCCAACCTAGAAACTCAGTAGATCCTGTGTTTGAAATTACTTCTTTTGAGCCTGCTGGAGAGTTTTTTTTTAAGCCTCATTTCTGGAATTCATGTGATAATAAACTACTTTCATTTTATCTTGAAGCAAATTCAGTAAAAGATCTGAAGCCCATGCATGCACAACTTCTGATTGTCTCTGCAATACAAATGCATCTAACCATTGTACTTGTCATGGCTCTTGCTTTATCTGGGACCAAGATATTTGATAATTCATTACACTGACGAGATTATTGAAGGCACTTTAAAAAATCCAACAATCATCAGTCATAGTTCAGAGACATATTTCACAAATGAAATCCACAGTCTAGTGGAGATATTGCCACTTATATTACATAACCATGCCATCTGTCTCAAACCACAGCTTTGAGGATTTCTACTTCATTTTGTTATGGGGTAAAAGGGTGGTTTTTTTTTTTTATTTCTTGTGTATCTCTTCAGAAGACACAGTACAAGGTGACAGAATGATAGAATGTTAGAATGGGAAAGGCCCACACGTAATAAATAGCCCTGAGGCCCTGATGGTTTCCTACTAAAGAATGTATACACACAGAATCACTATCCAGATTGACAGGGAACCTGTGCTCTTATTGAAGGATTTAGAAAATTCCACGTACACTGTGGCTGCAATGTCTATGCCGTTTTTATTAGTTTATAATTTTCTTTGGTAATCCCATTCAATGATGTTTTCGTTTTACACATACGTGATCAACTACACATTTGAAGACTTTGGTTAGGGAACATGTCAACACACTGGGCCACAGGTCTAGCGAACTTTGTCTAATGCTGATGCCCAGAATCATCACTCAGTTCCAGTCTTGGGTTTTGCTGGATTATTTGCTACCATTAGACTTTCCTGACTCACCTTTTCACATTGATAAAATTGTGTAATACATTTTAATGGTTATAAAATTGGTTTATAATTTAAACAGAAAAAGAGAGCGGGGGGTAGGCCAGAGAATAATTCTATGAAAAACTGAAGTTATAAGTAGTAAGAATGATTTTTCTGTACATAAAGTATAGCAAAGAAACTGTATTGTCATATCAGAAGGTAATCTCTACATTGGCTGAGCCGTACACACACAGTTGAATGAATTCAAATGAAAGCATTAATAGAGGCCATGTCTGTTTATTAATTGATTATAACATTGAAAATATTGTCAACAAACAAAACGTATTCCAGGCTACTTAGCTTATTTTACCCAAGATTCTTTTTCCATAGGTGTAGTCAGAGAATCCTTTGTCAACAGCTCATATTCATTTGTGAAATTTAAAAAATATGTTCATACTAGACAATAAACTTTGATAGAGTCTCTCAAAACAGTTTAAAATGTGTTTAATTCCATTGCAAAAATCCTTCTGAAAAGTCACGGTGTTGAGCTAGTATGTTGGTTTTCTGTTGTTGCACTGGGAAACTTATTTAGGGGAAAGAGTAATTTTTAGAGCAAAAGTATTTACTATGTCCAAGCAAGAAGTTACTGTTAAAATTAACTTCATTTAAATTAGGGAGTTGGATACTTGTTCTATTCTAAAGCAATCTCCCACCACCATGAAAAGTTCCAACATCTATGTATGAATAACTATGTCAGTGCTATCTAGTCCTAAATTAAAATGAAATTCTTACTTGTGTCTTACTGAAATCCTTTTTGTGTGTTATAGTTTAAATTGATGTTTTCTTGATATGGACAAGGGCTGCAGGCATCCCTTGTTTTTCTGTATGAGAATGTTAATCAACTCTACCTTTAAAACATATCTCTAATCCTTATATTTTTGTCTATCTCCACTGCTACCACCCTAGTCCAAGTCATCACTGTTTCTCACCTGAACTACCATGTGAGCACTAGGTAAGCCCTGGTCTATTAGGTTTTCTCCCAACTTGTTACCTCACATCTTCTCTTACCACTTTAAGATCTATTCTTCACGTCGTAGCCAGAGTTGCATTTTTAAAAGGTACCTTATATTATGCCACTCTTCTGCATAAAACTCTTTACTTATACTTAGAATCAAATACAAATTTTTTACTTTGGTCTACAAGGCTTTACAGGCATTCATATGTTTGATTTTGTATGATACTAGCATCTTGGATCTGCAATGATCAGCTTAAAATTGGACAGCTTGCTTAGAATCTCAGTGGTCAGCTGGCCAGGAGAGCTTAGACCAGAGCTAGGAGGATAAACACAGCTGTCGAAATGTGGTCAAATCACAACATCAAGGGGACATGGCAGATTGGGTCCAATGTAGGCTGGCCTCAATGTCCTTAGGGGGTCAATATGGGAGGAGGTATTATAATAAGGCTCTTGAAGCAGTGAGAATACGCCCCAGGCTGGTGGTTCCAGATGTGTTAAGCACCGCCTGGCAGGGTCCAGCTTCCCTGTGAACGCTAGCAAATCACCTGGGTTCAGAATAGGACTGTAGTCCAGGAGAGAACTGGCTAGTATTCTGGAAACCAGTGGTTGGGTAACAGGGAGGAGGAAGGAAGGCTTTAGCTGGGTAGACTGAAGTATACCTCGGGCAGAATGACCTCTTGTGGGCTCATCCACTGGGGTTTCAGGGCAGTGGGGTTCCTTAGAGCTTACATTCATTCAGGGGTAGGTGCAGAAAAGCCCTGTGCTTGATGGTTTTCAGCACCTGTAGCTGGCTGGAGCTGGGCAGCTGGGGGCCCCAGGGTCCACTATTGGTTTTGAGACTCAGGTCATCATCTTTCCCTCTGAATGGGAACTCATTCGCTTCTCATATCTCATTCACTGCAGACTGTGCTGCCACAGTGTTTAACCAGTACTTGACATTCAGGGGAAAATGTCCTCACCCCAAAAATTTTTTTTAAATTAAAGGCTGTGTTAAATTACAACAGTCCCTTCATTCACTCATTGTACTGGCCTTCACAAAGCAACCTTTATTTATTTTATTTTGTTATACTTGTTGTATTTAGTTTTATTTTTTGGTTAAGGCTGCAGTGCTTCCTCAAAGCTCCGTGACTGGGTCAAATGGTATTTCTAGTTCTAGATCCCTGAGGAATCGCCACACTGACTTCCACAAGGGTTAAACTAGTTTACAGTCCCACCAACAGTGTAAAAGTGTTCCTATTTCTCCACATCCTCTCCAGCACCTGTTGATTTATGACTTTTTAATGATTGCCATTCTAACTGGTGTGAGATGATATCTCATTGTGGTTTTGATTTGCATTTCTCTGATGGCCAGTGACGGTGAGCATTTTTTCATGTGTTCTTTGGCTGCATAAATGTCTTCTTTTGAGAAGTGTCTGTTCATGTCCTTTGCCCACTTTTTGATGGGGTTGTTTGTTTTTTTCTTGTAAATTTGTTTGAGTTCATTGTAGATTCTGGATATTAGCCCTTTGTCAGATGAGTAGGTTGCGAAAATTTTCTCCCATTTTGTGGGTTCCCTGTTCACTCTGATGGTAGTTTCTTTTGCTGTACAGAAGCTCTTTAGTTTAATTAGATCCCATTTGTCAATTTTGGCTTTTGTTGCCATTGCTTTTGGTGTTTTAGACATGAAGTCCTTGCCTGTGCCTATGTCCTGAATGGTAATGCCTAGGTTTTCTTCTAGGGTTTTTATAGTTTTAGGTCTAACATTTAAGTGTTTAATCCATCTTGAATTGATTTTTGTATAAGGTGTAAGGAAGGGATCCAGTTTCAGCTTTCTACATAGGGCTAGCCAGTTTTCCCAGCACCATTTATTAAATAGGGAATCCTTTCCCCATTGCTTGTTTTTCTCAGGTTTGTCAAAGATCAGATAGTTGTAGATATGCGACGTTATTTCTGAGGGCTCTGTTCTGTTCCATTGATCTATATCTCTGTTTTGGTACCAGTACCATGCTGTTTTGGTTACTGACTAGAAATACCATTTGACCTAGCCATCCCATTACTGGGTATATACCCAAAGGACTATAAATCATGCTGCTATAAAGACACATGCACGCGTATGTTTATTGTGGCACTATTCACAATAGCAAAGACTTGGAACCAACCCAAATGTCCAGCAATGATAGACTGGATTAAGAAAATGTGGCACATATACAGCATGGAATACTATGCAGCCATAAAAAATGATGAGTTCGTGTCCTTTGTAGGGACATGGATGAAATTGGAAATCATCATTCTCAGTAAACTATCGCAAGAACAAAAAATCAAACACCGCATATTCTCACTCATAGGTGGGAATTGAACAATGGGAACACATGGACACAGGAGGGGGAACATCACACTCTGAGGACTGTTGTGGGGTGGTGGGAGAGGGGAGGGATAGCACTGGGAGATATACCTAATGCTAGATGATGACTTAGTGGGTGCAGCACACCAGCATGTCACATGTATACATATGTAACTAACCTGCACATTGTGCACATGTACCCTAAAACTTAAAGTATATATATAAAAAAAAAAAGCTCCGTGACTGGTGAAGGTTTTTGATAAGACTTCGGTGGTAACAACTGAGTCTGTATTTTTCTTTGAGCTTAAGGTGGTCTTTTCCATAGCTTCTGGTTGGCCTGCAGAATCACCTCTTCACATTTCCATTACTTCTTTTCTCATAAACAACATTAATTATTTTGTTTTATTTGAGATGGGGTCTCGCTTTGTCTCTCACGTTGGAGTGCAGTGAAGTCCATATGACTCACTGCAGCATTAAAATCCCTGGCTCAAGTGATCCTGCCACTTCAGCCTCTCAAACAGCTGGGTCCACAGGCACACACCACCATGACCAGCTAATTTTTTTCTTTTTAAATTATTCGTAAGGACGAGGTTTCACTATGTTGCCCAGGCTGGTCTTGAAGTCCTGGGCACAAGTCATCCTGCCACCTCAGCCTCCTAAAGTGCTGGGATTACTGGCATGAATCATCATGACTTGCCATTAATCCTTTTAAAATCCTTGAGTTATCTTTAGGGTTTGTCCCTAACATGCTTATTAGATCATATCCACTCTAGTTTCTTTATCATTTTTTTTTCTTGCATGGATACAGAAATGCTTCCTCTGCATTTTGAGTCTATATTTTCTGCTTAAAAAGAAATTAAACTTTCAGAATAACTCTAAGGTAACAAAGACTGTTCCTTTTCAATATCTAATTTCCCGGTTGAGAGAAAAACATGAGCATTCCTGGAAAAGTTACATTACTCTTCTTCAAGAGAAAGATTTTGTTGTTATGGGGGCTGGCATCATAGGTGAGCACAGCAGAAGGTGAAAGATTGGGCAGCTCCTCTGTAAGAAATGACAGTTTTGTTGCCTTGAGGTATTCTTTGGAAGAATTCTCCAACCTTGGCTCTGTCATCTGAAAAAGGGAAGTAAAGGCAAAGAAGAGAAAGGGAGTTGGATTGTTTTCATAGTTGTCAACAATATAGACAGAATTTTAAAGCAAGCAATGGTACCTTAGAGTAGGTTAGTAATTGTGGATGTGGAGTTCTTGGAAATCACTGAGAAAAGGAGAGAGACAGTCACTTGCTTAACTGGCTCAGGCAGTGTAGGTGAATGAGATGTGCTGAAGATAGAACAAAACATAACTAACAGGAGAAGGGAAGTTGCAGGATATCCTTCCACGGGTAGGCGTGAAACAGTGGCTGGGCTGAGCATCTTCTAGAATGGAACAAGTGTGTGTTATCCTCCCTCATCTCTCTTGCCCCTGTATCTCCCATATAGAGACTTGGAAGTATAAGTAAGTGTGAGGTAGAAGGATAGTACTTTTCCAAAGTCAGAGGTAATAAATCTTAAGAAGATGTAAATCAGCTTGGCATCCCTTGGCAAGTCTTGGTGACTCTATTTGTCAATGGATGATAATATGCAGTACTGTTCAATAGAATTTTCTGCAGTGATGGAAATATTCTGTATCTGTACTCTAATAAGGTAACCTTTAACCACAAGTGGTTTTGGAGTACTTAAAATGTGTCTAGTGTGATTGAATAACTGAATTTAAAATCTCATTTAGTTTTAATTAATTTCAATAGCCGCATGTGGCTTGGGGCTACCATACTGGACAGTCCAGGATAATAGTGTAGCACAGTGCCCACAATGGGGAAGAAATCAACAAATACTTATTGACTGGCAGAATAAATGAGAAGGCAAATGAAAAAATAGTGAAAACAAATGAACAAACAATGAATAAATAAATGAATATCTATGTGCCTCACAGGGTTGCTATGAAGATCAATGGGTTGAACACATGTCTGAGAAACTGTACAAGCTGCCATTCTAGAGTAAAGTACTATTTGGAAATTCATGCGTAAGTGAATGTTACTAAATTATTCGTTGATGGAAATCTATCAAAAGTGTAGCATAGATATTGTTATCTTCTTAAAACTCAATTTCTCTTGGATTTCAGTTATTTCTTTAGTCAAGCAAGACGGTATCAGCAGGATGAACACCCAGTATTGTTATGAACATTAACTCCTGAGAATAGCTGTATGCCTAATGCCAGTTCTTCTTCTTCCCACGTTATCAACGTGCACTTCTCTTATCATGCTTAATGTAAAAGCTTCTTACCCCCGTTCCCTTCTATTTTGTTATTTATAATATGATACATTCCAAATCAGTAAGTAAATAAGCTATTAAGAATTACATGCCAGTGAGTAATGGGAAGGCTTCCATTGGCTAACTACAGAAGAAGATGTATGAACTCATATTCAGTGGGAATAGATGAAGACTGGGAAAAAGAAGACACTCTTATGACAGCTAATTCAGAATTCAGATGTTTTTGCTCTCATTGCCTGGTTCAGATATTATCCAGAAAGCAAGAATTGGCCTTTTATATGGTTGTGTCTTATTGGGGTTTTATTTGCTTGTTTGTTTTATTTCTAGGCATAATCTAAGTTACATATTTTTCTAGCCATGGGACTGTTACACTTTTTATAGGTTTTCTCTTGCAAAGGGATGAAGTGATGATTAGTGAGAAAACCAGATTAGACATTAGGCAACTTGAAATCTATTCCTGGGTTAGACAGGAACTTCTATTTGACTTTGATCCAGGGTATAAATACTTCATTTATTCTGCCACTTTATTTTGCGGTTACAAAATTAAATAATTAAATTAAGCATTGCTGACAATCTTGTTTTATTAGTAAGAATTGCATCCTGTAAGTTTTTTTCAGGAAAGGTTCCGATTGATGTATGAGAAAATACAGGCGTGGTCATTATTGGCCACTAGCCTGTAGGCTTTGCGTTGGCCGGGACAGTGTGTGCCCAGCACCTAGGACAGAGATGGGTGCATATTAGAGCTGGATGACTGGCTAGTGAATGAGTGATGGGTAAATGAACAAACGTGTACAAAAAAGCCAACAGTGCGCATAGCTTGCCACTATGTTTTCATGGGATTAGGTGATTACCAATTCTTAGCTAGTCTGGGGAATTTTTGCTGACCTTACTTGATTGTCTGGGAAGGCTTTCCCTGGCACACTCAGATACAGCTGTCTGTTCAAATATGATCCAACAGGAGCTTGGTTTGTCAAACACCAGAAGCTGGTAGACTTGGTCTTTTTCACATCTTTAAGCAACAGGAAATGAGTATTACAAAGAGTTGCTCTGAACCACCTGCTGGCAGTCACTATTTCCCTAGAGCCAGTTGAGTTAGAGATATCTACTAGATGCAATTTGGTTTATCTGATTTAATTGGCAATATTACTGGATGGCTGGAGGGGGTTCACCTTCATCTCTGTGGCAGAATCTGGCTAAGTCTTACATGACAAAGGATTTGAAGGTAGCTGCTCTAGGGCACGTGGGCTTAACTGTGAAGGTTGCTAAATTATCATTTCCTCTGGGTCTCATAGAAAGAGGAACAATAAGTGGACAGGCTAGAGCTGTAGTCTTGATAGCTAGCCCTAGGAGTAGGACAACTAGAAGTGGGATAGTCACTGCACTCTCCTTGTCCAGGGCTTCTGGTTGTTGGAGAGCAAAGAGCTTTGGTCTTAAATGTGGTCACATTCACATTGTTGTCTGATGCAGTCACAGATAATTAGTGGCAAGTGTTTTATTTGTTGTTCTTTGAAGGACAGAATTTCATGAAAGTCACTGAAAAATCAAATCAAATGAAATATTATTCACACCAGGGACACAATTAAAGGCCTTAAAAGAATAGTGCCATTTTGTTTGGACTTCATGAAGCCATCAAAATGCTAGGGAAGGAAGAGCCCTTCTTCTACCTCTTTTCTTCCTTTTCCATCCCAATCTTGTACCTTGAAAATTTTGATGTAGTCCAAACTCTGTAAGGATCAATGTAACTGCAGCATTAGGGGACTCATAAGAGAGAACAGGCCAACAATAGTGGTGATCAGCAAATGAGATCCATGAGTTCCAGGGCAGCCAGAATTTCGGTCATGAAACAGAGGAGAGACATGATTAGCAGCATCAGAGGGGAAGCTCAGCCCTTTAGGACAAAAATGTGAACTGCCAGGGGCCCAGAGATGGGCTTAGAGAAGCTGAGCGCCCCACAGATTTGCCAGGGGGACACTCAGTGTGTATCTCTCACCCTCTTCCATTCTAACATTCTGGCCCTTTGAGGTCTGAGAAACTGACTTATACTTAATTACTTATTCATGTGGCTGCATTGTCGCCTGTGTAGAAGTAAGCATCTTATCTCAGATTTTTCCTGATGCCTTTGAGAGAGACAGAAGGTGAGATGAAAGGAAAAAAAGACATGCCATCACTTACTGCCCTTGAGGAGTTTCAGTCATGTCACAGAAGCTGTAGGCACAATGTTGACAGAAGTGCCAGAATCGTCAATTCTAAGAGAAAAGGTTGGATGGAAAACTTCACTGAAGGCTTGGCTGAGACCTTGATTCATATCAACTGTTATTAGAGAAGAGCTCCTTCACAAAGCTATGCCATGGCGCCCCTGAGGAGCATATTTTTCAGGAATGTGGACCTGAATATTCATTAGAATGTACTTTCATGTGTTTTCTCATGACTGAATAAAAAAAAAAATCCACAAGTGCCCTCAGAGAACCTTTTCTATAAGATGTAGCCAAAGCAGGCAGAGGTCTCATACAAGTGTTCTGAGAAGAAGATGAGGGCATAAGATGCCAAGAGTTGATTGAAGGAGTATACATAACCCACACTATTAAGAAGTCACACTTGACTGGTTGCAAGCTAATGAATGAATTGAATAAAGTAAAACAAAAGTAAAGCATTTAAACACATGTTAACATGTATGCAAGCACACACACACACACACACACACACACACACACATGCACATATTATTTGACTCAAAAGTCTGTTAGTTTCCATATTGGAAAAACTTAACCAATCAATTCATATTAATTAGAAGGCAAAACAGATATAGGAGAAACTGATTTCATGCATCTGATGTCAGAGATGGATTGAGCACCAAATAGTCATCCACATATTGGCATTGTTGATAGGTTTTTGGAATATCAAAAATATAGGTCCTCAAACTACATATGAATAGTAAGTGTTTGGAATAAGAGTTCCTCATATTTTAGAATCATTATGTGCTTCATCTTGACTGAAGAGTTCCATTAAAGCCAAGAATGATGCTTTTGAGACAAGAAAGCAAAGCAGAGATTCTCTTACCAAAATGTAACCAAGAACTGCCTTGGAGTTTGTTTAAATGGCAGATCCCTCAGCCTCATAAAGAGAGATTAGGATTCAGAAAGCATCGAGTAGGGCTTCAGAATCTCATCTTTGCACAAGTGCTCAGATGATTCTGGACCATTGATCTATGGTCACCATCACACTAATGGAAAATATTAATTTAGCCATTTCCAATGTATTTATTCTGTGAAAACTAATTGGAACTTCACATGTGCCAAGCACTGTGTCCAGGAGACACAGTGAGATAAATAATTACACCGTTTCTGTAATCAAGAAGTTCAGGGTTGAGTGGAGCTTAAGTCTTTAGAGGGCAATTTACTTGTTGCTACCTCTCATTGTATTAGTCCGTTCTCACACTGTTATAAAGAAATACCCAAGACTGGGTAATTTATAAAGGAAGGAGTTTTAATTGACTCTCAGTTCTGAATGACTGGGGAAGCCTCAGAAAACTTACAGCCATGGTGGAAGGTGAAGGAGAAGCAAAGGCACATCTTGCATGGTAGCAGGCAAGAGAGAGAATGAGTGCAAGAAAAACGACCATATTTATAAAACCATCAGATCTCGTGAGAATTCACTCACTATCATGAGAACAGCATGGAGGAAATCACCCCCATAATCTAATCTCTTTCCTCCCTTGACACGTGGTGATTATAATTTGAGATGAGGTTTGGGTGGGGACACAGAGCCAAACCATATCACTTATCCTATATCAAATAACATTAATACCATAACAAACTAAACTGAGGGCAGACATGTGTCTCATTTGTGCCCACGGGGTTTTAATTTATGGAGATTACCAAGTGGTGACATGGGGAAGCTCATGCCATGGAAAGAACATTTTTCTCCCTTGCATTCCCAGAGAAGGGCCATGTCATGCTACACAAGTGCACATGGGGAGCACGAGTATTGGTCACAAGGCAGAAAGTGGAGAGAGGAGAATCTAAGCCAAAGCCTCTCTTTATGGGGTTTCCAAAGGAAAGGCAAGGCAGGGCAGAGTAAGCAGTTTTGGACTGGCTAGTTTGAATAAAATTCTAGAGGGCTTCGGGCTATAGGGGTAGTCCTTAGATGCCTAGTATCTGGCTGTCTTTGTCATTTTAATGTTGCTATAACAGAATACCGGAGGCTGGGTCATTTATAATTTATAAAGAAAAGAGATCTATTTGGCTCATGATTCTGGTGGCTGGAAATTTCAAGGTTGGGCAGCTGCATCTCATGAGAGCCTCATGCTTCTTCAACTCATGGTGGAAAGTGGAAGGAGGGAGAGTATGTGCAGAGATCACATGGCAGGAGAAGAAGCTAGACCCTTTTTAACAACCTGTTCTCATGGGAACTAACCTATTAGCAAGAGTGAGAACTCCCTCACCTTCTCAGAAGGACATTGATCTGTTCATGAGGGATCCACCCCACTGACCCAAACACCTCCTACCAGGCCCGACCTCTCAACACTGCCACACTGGGAATCAAATTTCAACATGAGTTTTGGCAGGAACAAACCACACCCAAATCATAGCACTGGTCCTGGGATGATTTAGGGCAGAAGAAATATTGGCTTTGTATGTGAGAGTTAGATAAAGGGGGTGGTCGGCTTGCATATGAGAGACATGCACTCAAGTAACTTGTTTACTATCTTTAGGAATTAGCTAACCCTGGAAGGGACAGTCTCTTTTTGGGTATGTAAGACCCTCAAATGCCGTAACATCAAGAATATAGAAAATTTAAAAACGTAGCAAATATAATTGGCCCTGTGCTGAATGGATGCCAAATAGACAAATACAGAATCTAGGAAAATGCAGAATAACACAATATTCTCTAATCATGTTTATTATATGCAAATACCTTAAGAAATGGCAAAAGCAAGGTTATTTGGCATAAAGCAATTAAATGTGAATGTTGTATGACATAACCTGCAATCTACATCCACCATCTAATAAAGCATTTTTCTAAAATAAATTTGGTAGCTTAGATTTGATTACTTAATACCACAATCCAGTTCTATGCTGCCTGGGTCTTATCTCATCTCTTTGAATTCTTTTCCAAGTGGTAAACTAAAATTTTTGCATAGAATGGAGAATTGAGACCACTGGTTTACCACCCACTGGAAAAAATTAGTGCCTAAATCCTATAAAACAAGTTTTGGCTAACCAAGACAGAATGTGATAATCCAGGTCATTTATGAAATACGTTAAACTATTTGTGTGAGCAGGCTTAAGGCCTTATCTTGGTACCATAGAAAGTATATTGTTCTCCATTTTGGGACTATGGAATCCATGGCACCAATTATTTTAAGTAATCTTTTTTTTTTTTTTGAGATGGAGTCTCGCTCTGTCATCCAGGCTGGAGTGCAGTGGTATGATCTCGGCTCACTGCAAGCTCTGCCTCCTGGATTCATGCCGTTCTCCTGCCCCAGCCTCCCGAGTAGCTGGGACTACAGGCGCCCACCACCACGCTCAGTTAATTTTTTGTATTTTTAGTAGAGATGGGGGTTTCACCATGTTAGCCAGGATGGTCTTGATCTCCTGACCTTGTGATCTGCCTGCCTCGGCCTGCCAAAGTGCTGGGATTACAGGCGTGAGCCACCGCACCTGGCCTTAAGTGATCTTTTAAGGTTACACCGAAAGTTAGTTGCAAAGCAGGGTATATTTCTACTCATGTGTACTCTCTATTAAGAATTTGCTATGAAACGTCCTTTATGTTTTCCCTTGACCAAGTTTCCTGGGGGAGGTGGGAATGACTAAGATATATGTCTATGAAAGAATGAATATTGATGATATATTATGTAAGGCTCAGTGAAAGTTGTGAATTCACCAGATGCTTGGAAAGTCAGCAGCTTCTCTATTATGCATTTCCTTGGCTTAAGCTTGGAGGTTTTCCAAAAAAACAATTGCAGAAGCAAGAGGGAGGACCTGGTATGAGGAAGTGTGTGTGTGTCTGTGTGCATGTGCATGCATGTGCATGTGTGTCTGTGTGTGTGTAAACTCGAACTTGTTTAAATGATAAATGTGTGAGCAACTTTCAAATCTTCCTTAAACTGAATGATGAGCTTGAATTTTACAGGAAATCAAATTAGAAGCTGAAAAAAACCTGGATTCTTACTTCTAAGCAAGCTGCCCTCTAGGCAGTCATTTATACGGGAACCAGGTCCTTACTGCTAAGTTTGCTTAGCAACACATTTTCTTGATGACGGTTCTCAAAGCAGAGGGAAGTGAATGGAGGTTTGATTAACCACAGGCCATAATGGCTATATCAGTTTCTTTTGTAAGTGAAAGATTGTCTTTGCATATTCATAAGGGGGGTGTCTAAGCAGCACCGCTGGAGCTGTCAAGGCCTCTAAGCTGTGTTGGATTAGTAAGTGTATGGGAGGCCTCCCAATGGGTGGCCCTGGGGACATTTTTTCACAATCAAGGAATTCAGATTGTACAGAATTTACTCACTGTAAAAGTTGTTAGGCGTAGAAGGAGGTTATAGAATTTATTTTTCCCATAGATCTTTAAGGACAGGACAGAAACTCACTGAATAGATTGCATTCAATAAAATCCTAAAGCCTTTGAAATTAACTATTACTAGGATGGAAGAGCTAAAGGAAACGTAGAAACTGAGAAGCATGAAAGTCAATCCAATTATCTCAGCAGCTGAGGGTGGGGGTTAGTATATAAATTGAACATCGTGTGGGATTAAGGATACATTTTGTATTTTAGGATAATACAGATTTCCCTAATAATATACTACTGTAATGAGCTTGGCCATTACAGACCTACCCTGTTAAATATATTAATACCAGACTCATCTGAATTAGGAAAATAAATATGAGGTTTATGTTACAGTTTGAGTATCCCTTATCTGAAATGGTTGGGACCAGAAGTGTTTCAAATTTGAAATCTTTTTCAGATTTTGTAATATTTACATACGTAATGAGATATTTTGGGATGGGACCCAAATCTAAATATGAAAATTCATTTATTTCACATACACCTTATACACATAGCCTAAAGGTAATTTTATACAATATTTTAAATAACTATGTGCATGAAAAAAAGTTTTGACTGTGACTCATCACCTGAAGTCAGGTGTGGAATTCTCCACTTGTGGCACCTTGTTGGCACTCAAAAAGTTTCAGAATTTGGAATATTTAAGATTTTGGATTCTCAACCTGTATTTATACCAAAGTCAACCAATTGTTAAATAAATTTATACTAAGTCAACCAATTGTTGAGATAAAGTTTTATTTCATTTTATAATTTTTTTCTTTTAGAATTATTTTTAAGTGCATTATCTCATTTTACCCTCCAAACAGGTTTAACTAAATGATAAGGATCCAGGATAGATTATTTATATCCTGTTTTAGAATTATTGGCAAAGCTAAGATTAGAATCTGATGTTCTTCCCACTAACTTCACATTGCTTCCTTCCAAACACTTTCTAATTTTGGCATTGTCTAATTCTCCAGCTTTGCAAAAGCACTATTATGTCAAAGACTATTGCATTCTAGAGACTTGGCTCCAGAGATGCCATCATGGCTACCTGTCTAAGAGTAAAGCAGAAATGGATTTCAGTGCTATAAGTTCTACTCTAGCCTACATTTCACAAAATCTAAGAGCAAGGAACACGTTCACAAACATTTGCAAGAAATAAAACGTGAAGGAAAGATTTAGACTCTTACAGCAGCTTTAAAACAATTCCTACTCAGGGTGGAGACTTAACTTAGTGAATACCCATGCTGAGTATTAAAGGTTTTTCAGAGTTGGTTTTGCCTGTGAGCTCCTAAAGACCATTTTCTGATCCTGAAATTCAGCTTACAGGAACCTTTAAACAAATGTATTCTGCATTATTCTCATTATTCAATTATGACAGTCTTTCCCCCAGCATTTTAATTAGCACTCATTTACTGAGAATTAAACTGTCGTTTTAGTTGAACTCAAAGAAGTACCCCAGGGACATGCATTCCACAAGATAATAAAAGCACCATATAATTCTGATGCTTCAACAATTTAGACTGAAGCCACGACAGGGCTTCTGTCAGCCATTTCAGATGGAACTTAATCATTGCCGTTTAGGCAGGGGAACACCATCATTCTATATCTGAAAATTTGATACCTAATCATGTTGGATCAGGAAAATCTGCTCTTTGTTTCCTACTGATGCTATGAAACAGAAAAGTCAAAAGAAGAGCTCAGCATGCGAGTGTCAGACATTTGGCTTCCAGCCCTGGTTTTCCACATGACCGTGCTGTTTTCTAGGTGGTATGGGCCCTGTTTTGCCACAGGTGCAATGAGTACTGTAATACGTGGTCATCACAGTGAGCTGTGATTGTGGCTTCCACTGCTTTCTAGGCCTGCCCTTACCTCCTTGGGTCAGTTGCTGTTTCTTGTCATCTATAATATAAAATATTTCATGTTTGATTATGGCAGGAAACTCTACCAAGACTGTGAGATAGAGAAGGACTGTGGAATTTCTCATTGTTCTTTCTGAAAAAAATGCCAATTCCTTCCATTTCTGTGGGTTCAAAATAGAACCAATAGTTTTCAGCCCACTTGAGATGTGCAAAACCTTGGTTCATCTTTGCAGACTTTCATGGTTTCTGTTCTGTCAGCCAAGGGATTGGCCTGTTTTGAAAAGCTGGAAGTCCATAGTTGATTAAAACAAGCATAAAATCACAGGACTTCATGATTGTAGAAGAGTCACAACCTGAGTGATCCAAAAGTGTCTACTGTCCCACTGTTCCTATTTTATTTTATTTTGAGATAGAGTCTGGCTCTGTCCCACAGGCTGGAGTGCAGTGGCATGATCTTAGCTCACTGCAAGCTCCGCCTACCAGGTTCAAGCTATCCTCCTGCCTCAGCCTCCCAAGTAGCTGGGATTACAGGCATGTGCCACCATGCCCAGCCAATTTTTGTATTTTTAGTAGAGATGGGGTTTCACCATGTTGGCCAGGCTGGTCTCAAACTCCTGACCTTAAAAGATCTGTCTGTCTTGGTCTCCCAAAGTGCTGGGATTACAGGAATGAGCCACCGTGCCCAGCCACTCTCCTCATTTTAAATTGAGAAGACTGAGAGTCAGAAGAATTAGATGACTTTCCCAAGGGCCAAACAACTAAATTTGTGGGAAATGCAAACTAGAATCCAAGTGCCCTGTTTCTATATGTATATATATTTGATATACCTATGAAATTGTATATTATTAGTAGGAAGAGAAGGCACTCTGGAGTCCAAATGTCTGGATATGAAATCCAGTTTCACCACTTCCTATTGAGCAACTTCAAGAAAATGTCTTAAATTTTATGATTGTATCGCTTTCAAACAGTGTCTAACACAAAGCAAGAGCTCAAAAATATTGTTTGCTGTTATTACTGTACACCAGTTTCCCATGTGTCCTTACAGCCACAGCAGAGTAGCAAGTAGACATTTGCGTCTGTCTCCCAACCCGTATATTCTGCCATGTGGAGTACCAACTCTTTGTGCTTTGTATCTAAACCTCACAAAAACTATACAAGGTAAGCGATATCAATCCATTTGTAAAATGAAGAAAAGGATACAGAGAAATAATTTGTCCAAGGTTTCACAGCCAGCAAATCAGGATTAGAAGCCAATTCCTTTTGATTGTGAAGTCTGGACGGCTTCCATATATGCCATGTTAATATCATTTGTAGTTCCACTTCTAGGCCTTTTAGATGTTGGCTATTCTCATGGAGTTTTATTTTTGATGTAAGGAGGGTGGTATGCATCGTCTCAGAATGTGTTTTGAAAGTGCATTCTACTATTGTCTGCTGAGACGGCTTAACCTCTAAACCTTCTCACCTTTTACAATACAGATTAATCTCTTTTTTGCCTCAGATTTCCTGAAAGGCAGTTAGGTGAAGAAGAAAGTTTAGAAGTCCTGCGAGAAGGAAGGGGGGATTTCTAACATAAGCGAGAAGATCTGTAATTTTTTTTTTTTTCTTGAGGCTGTATTTGGCTTTAGCAGGAGAAAAGGAAAGCTTCTTTGAAAAATAGACAAGAACAACTTGATGGAGGAAAAAGTAAGAAAATTTATTTTTTTTCCTCTCGCAAAGTTCTCCAGTAGCATTTGCTCTGCTCTGATTGATGGCCTACCTTATTGATGTTCCCTGCCGAGAAATATGCTGAAGTCCAGATCTCTTACAAGAGTTTCAGTTAAACCCTTGTTTCCTTTTAGTTCAAATGAGTTCTCCCACTCTTGTGTGTGATTTTGAATTTTCTTGGCAAAGCTAAAGGGGGAAAAAAATCCATCCTGAACAGATGAGCATCTATTCTGTTCCTATCGATTGGAAAGAAGGAGATTCTGCTGCATGCTTTCCTCAGGATTAAAGAGTTCTAATGTGTGTCTTGCAAGTACGAAGTTGCAGGAAGCAGCAAGAATGGTCTATCAGAAGCCAACCTGAAGCAGGCATTGGAGAGTAATTCTCCTAGGCATGGTCAAAACAACAATTGACCCATCAGCCAATAAACATTTACTTGTTCTAGGTGCTAGAGAACAAAAGGAGTGAATGAAGTGGCATCTTTGCCTTTATGTGTTTGCCCCTTAGTAAGGGGAAGAGCAGTAAACACATACAAAAATCAAAGATGAGATAGTAATCCTTTTACCACCTATTGTATAATAAGTTGTAGTTCACTAGACGCTTTCCTATGCATTATTTATTTAATCTTCACAGGGCCCCACTGTGGTTTCCTTGGTAGGCACTAGGCTCTGGGGTGGGACCACATTCTCTTTGGCTGTTTCTCTCTTTTTGGGTCCATTCACCTTGGGTTGGGTGAATCACCCTTTGCCTTGAATCACCCTTTCTTCCTGTCATGAAGGCGAGTCTCCTCCTGTATCACCTCGGGGTTATCCTCTTGGCTCTGTCTCCACTCTCTCCCTGGGTGAGCTCACCTAACGCAGTGACGTACATGCCATCACTATGACGATGCCCCAACATTCATATCTTCACCCCTGCCCTCTCGTCTGAGCTCCGGATTCATGTACTTAACTGTGTAAGTAATGATAGATGAGGCCTTTAATTAGATGCCGCATAAGAATCCCAGTATTGAGATGTCCAACATAGAACTCTTGATTTTCTCCTGCTCCTAAACTCTTTCTCATTGCACCCAACCTTCATCCTTCCTGGCATTACCCCCAAAGAAAAGGGGCCTCTTCACCCACCTGTGGGCTCAGGCCAGAAACTTGGGAGTTGCCCTTAATTTCTGCCCTTCCTTCATTCCTGTTATTCAGTCTATGAGCAAGTCCTGTTGATTCTACATCTAAAATGCACCTTAAGCTGTTTTATTCTCCTGGTCTCCTCTTGCTACCATCCCAACCCAAGTCATCTTATCTACTGCCCATCTTATTGCAGTGGCTGCCTCGCTGATCTCTCTGCTGCAACCCCATCCCAACAATCCATTCATCAGAGAGTAGCTAGAGTGATCTTTAAAACACAAAACAAAACCAGTTCATGTCTTTTCCCTGCTTAAACCTTTTAATGACTTCCAATTCTACATAGAAAATATTTAAACTCCTTACTCTGCCTTAAACACCACATGGAATCTGGCTTCTGCCCACCTGTTTAGCTCTCCAACCTCATTCCCCGTTCCTGTGCCCCTTGTCACTATTACCCAGCCCTCCCTGGCTCTGTGACAGTTTCTACGACACTCCACGCTCTTTCCCACCCCGGGAGCTTTGCACCTGTTGTTTTCTTTCCCTGTCTGGCTCTGAGCCTGGCTGCTCCTCATTTTTCATGCTTCAGTTTAAATTTAACCTTCTCAGAGAGGCCACTCCTGCCTCTTATTTCTTCTCTATCACCACATCTGCTTGATTTTCTTCTTAGAGCTTATTTTTGCCTAAAATGACTTAAACCTGGAAGTGGGGGTAGTCCATGTAGTTCAGGCTTGTTTCCCAAATATCTCTTCTCTGGGGTTAGATACTAAGCCATTTACTTGCTTGTTTGTATCTATAGCTCCCATGATAGCATCTCCTAGAATCCAGTCTTACCTCAATTTGTAACAAGGCTAATTATGTATCCAAACCGCATAGAGGCAAGCTTTCTGTTAACCAATCAAAATTCTTTGCACCTGGCTGGACGTGGTAGCTCACGCCTGTAATGCCACCACTTTGGGAGGCCACCTGAGGTCAGGAGTTCGAGGTCAGCCTGGCCAACATAGTGAAAGCCCATTTCTACTAAAAATACAAAAATCAGCCGGGCGTGGTGGTGCGCACCTGTAATCCCAGCTAGCTGGGAAGCTGAGGCAGGAGAGTTGCTTGAACCCAGGAGACGGAGGCTGCAATGAACCAAGATCACATCACTGCACTCCAGCCTGGGTGACAGAGCGAGACTCTATCTAAAAAAAGAAAAAAAAATCTTTACACTTTACTTTGGGCCCAGTGACAGTGAGGGTTAGGGGTGGGTGGGTTTCGGGTTAAGTGACAAATAGCATATCTGCTGACTGCCTATGATGAATGCTTTTTGCCTAAGTAAATTCCAAAGCTATCTATCTGATTTTGGGTTAGCTACTATTTGTGTCTGTCTTCTTTCTTTTTAGTACAATGGAAAAAGAAACTGCTCACCCTCATGTAGACACAATAGAAGGACTACAGAAGTATTTGGGCCTAAAAGGCACACTTGGTACTGCTCGGAACAATTCATTCTGGTTTTATTCCACAGTGATTTTAAACCCATCAGAGGCAGCTTCTCAGGACAAACATTTCGTATTTCTACTTGCTCTCTTTTCTTGCTCACAACATTGTCATCATTGTTAGATGCCCACTTTAGAATAACCTTTACTGGAGAGAAAGTGAATAAGACAAAGGAAGAAAGATAAGACACCAAAAGAGGCTGGTTGGGTCGGAGTGCAGGAGAGGTCTGTATGAACAATCTCTGCTCCTGCCTGTTTTAATTATCTCCCAGCTTAGTTCAAGGCTAGCTTCCTGTAGTTGTCATGAGCTGTGACTTCAGCTCATGGTATTTGAGTATATTGAAATTTAACACCACCAACATGGTAATGATGCTCAGTACCCCAGACTAATTAAAGCCAGCCAATGGCAGCCATATGAGCCCTAAGTGAAGAAGACGATACCTGAGAGAGAAAGGAAGAGTGGCAAGAGCAGAATAAGGGAGAGCAAGAAATCTAAACTCTGCACAAGGTACAGAATGTCCACGTTTTGGCCAGGGTCTATTTTCCCATCCTTGTAGCTCTTAGGAGATGCTTCTGCTCTGGTTTTGCTTTTTTATAGTGAGGGTACATGATGTGGCTCAGTTGGGAAGTGTCTTAAAAAATAAACACTCAAGAAAACCTCATTCCGTAGCAAAGAAAACCAAAGCCTAGAATAGGAGTCCAGTGAAAAACTTAAGATTCACCCAGATCATTTTTCACACAACCGTTTAAAGTGTGATTCTCAGCAATGATTAATGAGTCAATAACTAATCTGAAATGTTGATGATCAATCACCAGTGATTTTTCTCAGGGGACAGGCTTCTGCTGGCTATGCCAAGAAGGTTGCTGCATCAACTCAATGGTAGACACAAAGTTAGGGTTAATGTCATCTCTGTTGATTCTCTCTACCTCCCCCAACCCACAAAGGATCACAACAGAGGGCACCATCCCACCCAGTTCCTTAAGCTGAGACCCCAAAAGTCATCCCAGACCCTCTCATTCTTTTTTTCCTCACATCCAATCGATCAAGGGACTGTCCACTTGCTGCCATAGCAACTGAATTCATCCACTGTCCATCTCTACACCACCTTGGTCCAAGCCGATGCTCTCTCTCCTGGGCTACTAGGCAGGACTCCTGACCAGCTTTCTGCTTCCACTCATGCCTTTCTGCCATCCATCTTCATAGCAGCAGAACATTGTTTTTAATATAAATCTCATCATGGCACTCCCCTCCTTCAACCCTACAATTATTCCCATTGCATTTATAAAAAGTCCAAACCCATTGCCCTAGCCTGTAAGTCTTCACATGATTTGGCTCCAACTAATATTTTGGACCTCATCTTGTACCTCTCTCCTCTTTGCTCACAACACTACAGCCACACCGGCCTTCGTTCTGCCCCCTGAATGTGCTAAAGTCATTCCCCCCTTAGGACTTGTGTACCAGCTATACTCTCTAGAGTGCTCTTCCCCAGACACCTTCTAGGCCGACTGACTTCTCATTTGAGACTCAGCCTCACCTGTCATCTTCTCAAAGAGACTTCTTGCCTCTGCTCCCTTACACAGACACTGTCACCCACAGTCATCATCACATTACTCTGCTTTATTTTCTTTGTGACAATTACCATCTTCTGAAATTATTTTATTGTTTCTTGTTATTTTTGACTCCATCTTCTTGAATGTAAAGTGCACATGAGCTAACAGACTGTCTTCTTACCTATTTTTTATCCTCAATGTCAGGAACAATGCTAGGTGCATAGAAGGGGTTCAATAGATAGTTGGTGAGTGAATAAATGAATGAAAAAATGAAGCTCCCCACCATTTGCATCAACACCATAGCAGCTATCACTTTATATGTGCAGGCACATTACCCCAATTAATCGTTGCAATAACTAATGATGAAAACATTACCATTGCCAATTTATAGATGAGAAACCAAGGCCCAGAAAGATAAGGAAACTTCCCCAAGGTCCAGGGACTAAAGGGACTGAGGATAAAACCAGTGTGTCAGACCCCAAAGGCTCAGTTTTCCCAATCTCACACTGTGGTTACATTGTATGGATAATACAGCTTATGGGGGATAATTCATTCATTAATCTTTTGCTAGCTATTTACTCAGTACCAACTATGTACTAGGCACTGTCTTACATGTTGTGAATATTGCAGTGAACAAGATAGAATTCTTGCTTACATTCATGTGGTACTCTAATAATTATTTGGCTAATGCTTATAAAAGTTACTCTGATTATATTAGCCTGCTAGAGTTGCCATAACAGAGTACCACAGATGAATGGTATAAATAACAGAAATTAAGTTTTTCACAGTTCTGGGGGCTCAAGTCCATGATCAAGGTGCTGGCAGGGTTGGATTCCTATGCAACCTCTCTCCTTGGCTTTCAGGCAACCATTATCTTAGTGTGTCCTCACATGCTTGTCCTTCTATCCACACACATCCTTGTTGTCATTTCCCTTCTTATAAGGACACAGTTTTATCAGATTAGGACCATACCATTATGACTTCATTTAAGCTTCATTGCCTTTTTAAAAGGCCCTGTCTCCAAAGATAATCACATTGGGGGTAGGACTTCAACATATGAATTGCTGGAGTTGGGGGGACACCATTCAGTCTGATCATCTGAAAATATAAATCTTTTATTTAAAGGCATAAAAAACAGTTGAATTTCCAAGTGGATTAATATTATCATTGTAAAAGTCCTAGCTAGACTGGATTCATTTATATTAGTATGTGATGCCTATTATTACAAAGTCCAAGACCATATTTTATAAACAGGTGCAAAATCAATTATTCCTGAGAAAGACCTGAAAAAATATTGTTTTAAATAAGAAAGGCACAAGCACATATAGAGTTCACGTAGCATGAGATGGCTAGAGAGGAACAAGTTTATCTTTCTTTTTTGAAACAAGATCTCTCCGTTGCCAAGGCTAGAGTGCCCTGGTGTGGTCATAGCTCACTGTAGCCTTGAACTCCTGGGCTCAGGTGATCTTCCCACTTTAGCCTCTCAAGTAGTTGAAACTACAGGTATGCACCACCATGGCCTAAATTTTTTTGTTTCCAAATTTTGTAGAGACAGAGTCTCGCTATGTTGACTAGGTTGGTATCTAACCTAGTGGTCAACCAAGAGTTCCTAATCTTTGGAACTCCTGGCCTCAAGCAATCCTCTCGCTTTGGCCTCTCAAAGTGCTGGGATTACAAGCTGAGCCACCAGGCCCAGCCCAAAAATGAATGAAAAGATGAAGCTCCCCCTCCATTGCGTATACCTTGAATATTGCCAATGCTGTTTTACTGTTCAGCTCTTCATGAGTGAGTGAAAGACTTATGTACATGTCAAATTTTCATATCATGTCTTCTACTGGAAAAAGTGTACAAAGAAGGTTCTGGATGGATAGTGACTGAAGGTATGAGGGATGTTCCAGCTGGAGTTAAATGGAAAGTGGAATAAACTTCCACAACAGATTCTGTAGAGCTGAGTGATCTAACAATTGGCTAAAGCCTCACTGTATTTTTTACCCTTTGCCTGGAATGCCAGCATGGATTATTAACATTGATGGAAGAAGACAATGGCTTAATTAATTTTAAATAGTTCATTAAAAAGAATATCTTTATATTTGGGCTTGAAAAAAGTATTCTTTGGCCATTTTCCAGTATTAAAACTTTTCTTAATTTTTATTTTCTTTAGCATTTAAACTGAATAAAACTATAAAAGCGCTAAAGGTCAGGGAGATCATGTTACTTCTTTTGGTTTGTGCACAACATTTAGCATAGAGGCCTGAACAGGGTTATGCTCAACAAATGTCAGGTTTTTCGAAAGATTTTGGAAAGCCTAGTTAATATGACAACAATTTGAAAAAATGTGCATTTATTAGAGAAGCAGCATAAGCAGTGGAAACAAAATGCGTAGAAATCGAGCTGGCTTCTGGTCCATATGCTGCCCCTCACTAGCTGTGAGACTTAAGTACAAGCAGCCTTTCCACCCCCATCAAAAAGAAAGCTCCAGGTCTCTATTTCCTCATATGTAAAATGAGATACCAGGGCTGGCTCCAAGTTCTCTCTGTCTTATGGTGATGGGTGATGATTGCCCATTGGATATCAAATAGGGTTGCCAGATTTTTCAAATAAAAATAAAGATATCCTGTATTTTATGTCAACCCCAATATAAGAAGTTGCACTGAGAGGCTCCTGGGGGACATAGAGTCATCATGAATTATCTGAAGTGTGCATAATTTACTTATATTTAATAGAGACTTGATTGCTTATGTTAATTTTGGGAACTTGCAGCATTTCTGATCAGTTTTAGATTGGTGGAAAATGCTCTCTTTCTAACTGATATAGCCTGGGACACAGAACTTGGAGGAAATGAGGTGACTAAGCAGAACGGAAACAACTGCAACCAGATGGTTCCCTGGCCCTGCGATGGTTCCCTACTAGGGAAGGAACCTGCTGGTCACACTCCCTTCACAAGGTTCTGCTGGAGTTGACAAGGCAGCTAAATTTTTGCTATGCCCCTCCCTTTCATACTCAACCTTATGTTATCATTCTGGAAGAATTTATCTACATTAACAACAATGTGCTTTTGTTCGTTTATTTTTGAGATGGAGTCTCGCTCTGTCACCCAGGCTGGAGTGCAATGGAACCATCTCGGCTCACTGCAACCTCTGCCTCCTGGGTTCAAGTGATTCTCCTGCCTCAGCCTCCCGGGTAGCTGGGATGACAGGTGTGTGCCACCATGCCCGGCTAATGTTTTTTGTATTTTTAGTACAGATGGTGTTTCACTGTGTGAGCCAGGATGGTCTCGATCTCCTGACCTCGTGATCCACCCGCCTCGGCCTCCCAAAATGCTGGGATTACAGGCGTGAGCCACCGCACCTGGCCAACAATGTGCTTTTATTGAAGAAAATACATCCATCAGGTTCTCCTGGATCTTAACCAAACTCAACCCCAGCCAGGCCACATTCTCACAGGACCGAGGAGAGGGAAGTCGGTGCTCAGGTGTTTCTGGGTCAGGGAAAACCATCACTTTGAAAATCTTGAGAAATATTCCATGCGACAAGAAATCTTTATAGAAACCAGCAATTTATTTGTTCCCTGTACCAGGACAGTGCTGCCCTTCCAGCATTTTTCAGAACTGACTTCTCATGGTTCAGGTCAGACATGCTAAGTAAATTAGCAGGCTAAATTGTCCAACACCATAGCAAAGAAAATGTGAGAAGAGCATAGCAAAATGAGGCTTATGGGTTCTGGGTTTTGGGGTCATAAATACAGGTTAGGAGCTTCATACCAATTGCTTCTATCCCTTGACACATTTCCATTTTAAGGTTAAGTAGGTTTAATTACACTGCTCCTTTTCCCATCCTTGCTTCTTTTTGACATTACATAAGATATTTTAGGAACAGAGAAAGGTTAATGGGGCTATGATGGGGCCTAGAATTAACTTTCTTAATTAAGCCTCCAGAAGACATCTTTTCATTTCTTTTAATGACCTGTCTTGGTTAAAAAGGACCCAAAGCTCCTGCAGTTCCTTGTGGGTCCTGCTTGTGTAAGACCTGCACATTGCATCACATAAAAGCTTTGTCTTGGATGATGTCTTCGATTCAGGCAACCGCTGTCACCAACATTGGGGCAGAAGTTGACAGGAAATGGGAGGAAAATCTGACCAATGTTGTGACTTCTGAAAATTCACCTTCGTGGGCTTGGAAACTTCTAGTCCAGAGATCAGCTTATTTTTATAGAGTAGATAGTAGAACTTGTTCTTCTGCAAATTATGTTTATCAAGTATTTGCAAATTATATATTACTATTTCAATGTACCAGATAGTCAATGAACTACAATAAAAAATCCTGCCAGGAATCTTCTCTCAAACCCATCTTCATTCTCCTAATTTCTACCTAATCTCTTATTAGCTAGGAATTTTTAATACATGTTTCTCTAAGGTAGGGGTCAGCTAAACATTCACTTCTCCCCTCTGTTTTCAAATTAAGTATCTCTGAGGGGCAGTCATCATTTATGAGGTTTTGAAGAACCCATTTCAACATGATCAGAATTCTTTGGTATTTAAGGACACTCCCTTGTTCCTAATTCTTTTGGTTTAGTTTATTAGTATCTCATTTACATTTCCTGATATTATTGGAGTAGAATATATATGCTATTAATGTTCTTGCTCTTCCAAGATGGTAATTCTTTCATACTCAACCTTATATTATCATTCTGGAAGAATTTATTTACATTAACAACAATGTGCAGTATACGTATTCTAGCTATATATATATATATATATAGCTCTCTCTATATATAGCTGTCTATATATCCATACATAAATATATATATAGATAGATACCCAGGTCACACTTGGGAAATTCTGATTTAAAGGGATGGAGTAGGATAATGAAATCTAATCTATGTTTCTCAAAGTTCTCCAGAGGACTCTAAAATTACCATATGTGTGTCTGGAAGTGCAATCTGCTTTAGAACTCCAAGCACAGCACAATAGATGGTTTCAGTTCCCACTTCAAGTTGTCTGTTCTACCTGATCCCAGAACTCACTGCAAAGGGGAATCGTTGCTAAAACAGCTTTTTCTGACATTGACCTCAACACTGAGAATGAAATAGAGAGCTGTTATTATCTGAACTATGCAAATGTGAGAGTAAGTGAGTGTGAAGTTCATCGAAAAGGCTCGTTAGGGACAAATAAAATCCTGAGTCTGGTGTTTCCATGGATTCTCTCTCCCAGGTAATGGAGCAGTGACGGTTTGTTTCTTGTTCTATGTAGATACTTCAGTTTGTTAATGGACGCCCTGTGTTTTATTATAAGGAGAGTTTATGGAATCTGCATGTCTAAGAGAATACTACAAAATGACACATTCTTTCAAATAGTGCCTTGTCTTTCCTCAGCCTTAATTCAGATATTATAGACCATGGATGCCTGTCACCACTAGGCCTTTTACTCATATTACTGAGTTTAATTCTTCTATCAGCATTAATTAAGCACCCATATTAATAGAGTAGAGAATAAATGAGCTTTAGTCTATCTTTTCCTTTCCTATTCAGGACAGGGCTGGGATAAGCAGGTAGATCTGTAATAGTTGGTGGCAGGGGACAGGAGGTGGCAGGGGAAAGGGGGAAGCGGACATGGGTGTGCAGGTCTAACCGCAAGTGTTCAAGGCATAATATCGAAAGGGTAAGACAGTCCACAGCAGTCAGCATCATGGAGTATGCAGTAATTAGGCACAACGTAATGAGGAGAAACCAAAAAGTAGACAACTTACAAAGCTTTTGTGTGCCTTTGTCTTCCTCATCTGTAAAATGTGTATAATTCAGTGCCTAGTAAGGCAATATGTTGTGGTGATTAAACTTGTAAATACGTGTACAGCACCCAGAATGGTACCTGGCAAATAGTAAGGTTGCATTAATGTGAAATCACATTATTATTATTACTGCTTTCATCAACAGAAACTGGAGTATAAGGTAGGTTCTGGGCCTCAAGAACAGGGAAGGGGAATATGAGGTAGGAGGTAGGGTGCAAGTGTAGCTTGACCTCTGAGAAAGAATGTTGGGCTGGGGCTCTTGAATTCTTTCCTGATCAAGGCCCCAATCATTTGTGGAGACCCTCTGAACTAAGCTTGAATCAGAGGATTCAGTGAACGCCACTGTGGGGATATGGAGGAGCAGAGGCCAAGACCAATTTTTAGATCTGTTCTCTCCACCTAATCTGGCCCCTTGTCTTTTTCCCCTCTTGACAACAACATCAGGCTCCAAGAGAAAGAGTTCTAGGACCATCTGGCAGAGTGGCTGGTGTTCACTTTAACAGTCCAAGTCACTGGAAGGTAGGGCACAACATGGTTGTGCCTTAGGCTATAATTCTGCTCTTCACTAGATGTCACAGGTGATCTGGTGTTTGATACAGGATTTGAGATAGGATTGTTTTCCTTTATGGTAGTGGCAGAGCTCATGTAGGTAATTTTTACTGTTAACGTCAGTCCAATTCCTTAATATCCATTATTGGAGAAATTGAAAGATTCATCCTTTGAAAATAGTTCCTAGACCTGTGGAGGCTGCATAGTTTTCACAGTTCCCAGGGACAATGGGATAGCTATTTTGCACAATGACTATATTCATTTAGTTATTTAATTCATCAATATTTATTGAGAGTTAATATACTATATGTTAGCAATGGTACTTGATACTCAAGATACAAAAAAAAAAAAAAAAGAAAGATATGACATGGTTCCCGGCCCTAAGTTCTTCTAGACTAGTACAACAATAGACACATTTACCAACACTTCAGTTCAGTGAAAGCACTGCTTATAGAGCAAGTATGAAGTGCTATCAGGCTCTGAGGATGGTCAACTCTACCTTAGTGGTAGAGAGTCATGGTCAAGAAGAGCGTCACATAAAAAGCATGACATGATCTTAGAAGAAGAGGTTTATCTGGAAGAGAGAGAAAAAGGAGAAATCCCAGCAGAGAGGCTGCCTGGGCAAAGGGGAAGGCATGGAGTGTATGTTGGGAGGTTGGAATAAAAGTAGGAAAGTAGAAGAAATGGGATTGGGCAGGTAGAAAAAACCAACATGACCAAAGACCTTGCATAACATACTTGTAGGTGTTGACTTTATCAGATACCATTGGTGGACTTCAATATGATCAGAGCTGCCTTTGAGAATATTCTGACAACAGATTGGAAGACACACTAGATGAGAGGAGAACATGACATAGGGAGGCCTGTCATGCAGTTGAAAGACTGTTTTAATATCCACTTTATAGGTGAAAGGATGAGCTCTAAAGTACAGCAGTGGGAACAAAAGGGAGTACTCAGTTTAGAAAACAATTTAGGAGGTAAAATCAAAAGGCCTTGGTGGCCAACTGAATGTCTAGAAATGAAGGAGAGACTCCTTTTTTTTTTTTTTTTTTTTTTCCGAAACAGAGTCTCACTCTGTCACCCAGGCTGGAGTGCAGTGGTGCCATCTCAGCTTACTACAACCTCCACCTCCTGGGTTCAAGTGATTCTTGTGCCTCAAGCCTCCCAAGTATCTGGGACTACAGGCATGCACCACTACACCTGGCCAATTTTTGTATTTTTAGTAGATGTTGGCCAGACTGGTCTAGAACTCTTGACCTCATATGATACATCTGCCTCAGCCTTCCAAAGTGCTGGGATTCCAGGCATGAGTCACTGTGCCTAGCCAAAATGACTCTTAATTTAAAGCCAACATATATACTAGCAGCTATAACAATCCACGATGTATAACCTCCTTCAAGTCCTCATTGGTGATTCAAAAAAATTATTCTCTATATTAGTTCATTTTCATGCTGCTATAAAGAACTGCCTGTGACTAAGTAATTTATAAGGAAAAGAGGTTTAATTGATTCACAGTTCCACATGGCTGGGGAGGCCTCGGGAAACTTACAATCATGGCACCAGGCACTTCTTCACAGGGCAGCAGGAGAGAGAATGAGTGCTGGGTGAAGGGGGAGGCCCCTTATAAAACCATCAGATCTCATGAGAACTCACTCACTATCATGAGAACAGCATGGGTGGAAAAGACCTCCACGATTCAATTACCTCCCACTGGGTCCCTCCCATGTCACATGGGGATTATGGGATTACAATTCAAGATGAGATTTGAATGGTGGTACAACATCAAACATTATCATTCTCCAACAGCTCTTAAAGGAAAAGATGAAAGTGATAAACCTGCTGGGGCAAAAAGAGAATTCACTTTAAGGAAGCTTTGGATTTGTTTTTCTTCTCTATTTAACTGTCCAAAACCAACGTGGTCCACTAACTGAAATTTTATAGATGGAGCTCATGGTGAAGCCAGAGGATCATGGTCTTTATCTCTAGATCAGTGCTTCTCAAATTTAATGTGCTTACAGATCAACTGGGCATCTTGTTAAAATGCAGATTCTGATTGAGTGAGTCTGATTCTATGAAGCTTGGGAGTCTACCTATCTAACCAATTCCCAGGTTCTGCTAATGCACTTGACCACAATTTGAATGGCGAGGCTCTAGCTTGTTTCACAAAGTGGGAAATACAACTTGTTAGTCAAACAAAATAACGCAACCAGATTTCAGCAACAGAGGAAAACAGCACATCTCTCAGATTATGCTGCTGATGTTGCTGTGGATCTTTCAATCTTGTGTCACATATTGTCTGAGTGTGGCCACACAAAATGGTGTCTGTCCCAAGAAGAGAGCCAGTAAAATTATGTACACTCTCAGCAAATAAGATTATTTTGGTGACCTGAAAAGAGTCCCAAAGAGTTTTCTCACCATGCTGGCCCTGGCATGTCCCACTGAGTAATCAAGACCTGATTCAAATCTGAAAGTAACTCCAGCCTACTGGCCCTCAAAAAGTCCTACTTAGTCAAAATGGGGTAGAATACATTTTGTTAAACTTGCTATGGGGTTAAGAAATATTTGAGCGTAAGAATTACAAGAAGCTGTCTGTGGAAAGCAATTTGTGGGTTTCTCAAAGAACTTAAAATAGAACTTTATTCAACCCAACAATCCCATTATTATATATATTCTCACAGGAATATAAATTGTTCTACCATAAGGCCACATGCACATGTGTGCTCATTGTAGCACTATTCACAATAGCAAAGGTTAAATAGAATGAACCTAGATGTCCAGCAACAGTGGACTGGATAAAGAAAATGTGATACATATGTACTATTAAATAGTATGCAGCCATAAAAAAAGAATGAAATCATGTCCTTTGCAGCAACATGGAAGGAGCTGGAGGCCGTTATCCTAAGCAAACTCACGCTAGAACAGAAAACCTAATACCACATATTCTCACTTATAAGTGAGAGCTAAACATTAAATACACATGGACACACAAAAGGGAACAATAGACATGGGGCCTACTTGAGTGTGGAGGGTGGAAGGATGGTGAAGATCAAAAAACTATCTATTGGGTACTAGGCTTGGTACCAGAGAGTTTGGTGAGAGTTTTAATCATAAAGGGATGCTGCATTTTATCAAATGCTGTTTCTGCATCTATTGAGATGATCATGTGATTTTTGTTTTTAATTCTGTTTATGTGGTATATCACATTGTATTAGGGTTCTCTAGAGGTACAGACTTACAGGATATATATGTATAAAATAGGATATATATATCTATAGGATATATATATATACACACACACACATATATATATGTATGATGAAACAACCTGTACACTAAACCCCCACAACACACAATAAACCCATGTAACAAACCTGCACATGTACCCCTGAACCTAAACATTGGAAAGAAAAAAATAATAATAAAATAAAAATCAATGTAAAGCACAAAAAAAAGCTGTCTGTAGCAATTGCAATATTTATATACCTGTCACAAGAGAAAAACAAGACTAGAAATTTCTAAACTGGCTCCTTCTTAACTTATGAGTCAGCACTCATCCACGTTTGGGCTCTACTCACTGACCATGTTGTGCTTAAGTTATGGTTTGTTTACATATGTCAACTCTTTAATCACGACAGCGTAAGTGCTAGAAACCAGGACCAGATGCTGGGGTTAGCATTGCCCAGTGGGAGACTGGCACTGACAAATGGCTTTGGGTGGCTCAGTCCCAACCTGGCTTGCTCTGGTTGCCTGAAATAGAGAGGAAAGGTTGCTGGAGGGAGGCTGCAGTAAACTCTGAAATTGAGATGAGTCTGGGATGAGGAAAAGTACTGTCTTGGGAAACAGGAAACTAATTTCAGCTCAGTAACAGTTGGTTATATAATTTTGGAGAAGCCATTTTGCCTTTCTTGGTCTCAGTTTCTCTTTTTGAGAAATTAGAAGGTAGGCTATATCCGTGGTCTTCAAACTGTTCTTTGCAGAGCCCTGCAGATTTCATGGAGGTACCAAGAGAAGCAAGCCAGACCTGCCCAGTTTCTTTTCCCTCTGAATCATGTGAATTGGTAGGTCCCCATTGTATTATAGATGCCCTTGGTCTCTGGTGTCATGGTTACCTTTTTCTAGTCCATATAAGTATTCCTGTTAGTGAGACCGTCTATTTCTGTTTTGAACTTTGTACAAGAGTCCTTTCTGTACTCAGCACTGATAAAACATTGGAGGATAAGAAGCTACTCCTCTTTGAAAGAGTAACTGTAATTCTGCCCTCAGGAATCTTATGATCACAGATCACACACATGAAAAATACTTAGAAGAAAGCTTGTTAACTATGAATGTGACAGCATCTGACTATTATATCTCAACGGTATAACTCGTCTTAAAGAAATTCATTGATTGCTGAAAAATCATCTCCAAGATTAATTTTAATAAACCAACTCAGAATTAGCATACCTTTAAAAAATGCACTTATTTAAATTCCTGGACAATAAGCTGGGCTTGCTTAGCTTGTGCAACCACTGGGCTTGTCTTTGTCTGAAAATATTTATTCTAAGTAGACTATAATATTAGCAATTCATTTAAAAGAGGTTTACTTTCTTCATTAGACATGGTTGTGTTTCATATGTGTTAAAATTATTTCTGCGGACTGTACTAAATGGATGTGTTACTATACCATTGCTTCTCTAACCCTGATTGTCCCAGGGTGAGTTTCCTTCAGCAGAATGTGCAGGTATCCAAGTGCTGAAGTATCTAGCAGCAACATTCAGTCAAAGTGACTCTTTATATATAACTTGTACATACAATGAAGAACTTTAAAAAGGATTTCTCTTCGTAACACTGACAGCAGTGACTTGAAAACAGCAGGTGTACTTGTTGAATGACTGAATGACCATTCATTCATTTATTCAACCCATGAAGTTGACCCTATGGCAGAGCTTTGTATGAATTTCTGTTTTCTTTAGAGAAGTGAAACTAAGACATGCATCTCCTAATAGCTATACTTGTATCCTGATTCACTTGGCCAGCTGGGGCTTCATATTTATGTGACCTAGAAGATCAGCCTTCTTGTGGCAGAGGCTACACAATGTCACTCCATTGTTCTGATTCCTCAATAGGATTCTCCCTCCTTGGTTCTTCCCTGGACCAAGGACAGAAGAATCATTCAACACAGAGGCTATTGACAAAAGGGGCATATTTGGTGCAAACAGGGGTAAGTCATGATTAGTTCATAAAAACTAAATTCTCAAAAAATAATATGAAATCTAGGAGATTCTCCACCACATAGGAAGTTGTTCTTTATTGGATTATGTCAGAATATACAAGTGCATGTGCACAGTTTTGAATTTGTCTAGTTTCTTTTTCATATTAAAAACAAACACCTGATTGGAATTTGACATCAGAAAATTAGTACATTTGAGCTCAGCTCCCCATGGGCTTGAGAGCATCTTCAGAAAGAAGGCTTATGTTCTGGCAGATGGGGAATTGGCATTGTAAAGCATGGTATATGAAAAAGGTGACCTGCAAACTGATAGATTCTAGGAAATCTGTTCTGGAACTCTAAGGGTAAATAGGTCCAATTCACTCACTTAGCTAAGAAAAATATGGGTAAAGTAGCATGAGACACTAGGGGAAACATACTGGGAGAGGGGAACAGAGGACTGGGGTTTTCTTCTTACTTGAGCTTGAGGCTCTTTGGAGCTCAGCATACTCATTCATAGACCAAGGACAGCAGTATCAGCTTCTCACTTGTCAGTGATCCTTAGAGTTTGTTGAGATAATAATGATGATAGCATGATAAAGACAAAAGTATTACATCTGTAAATGGTTCACCATGATATGGCTATTGCAAAAGCACAAACATTGAAGCCACACAGACCATTGCTCTCAAACTGTGTTACTTACCATAGCAAGTACTATACCTTGATTAAGGCATCAAATTTTCTGAGCCACAAAACTGTGGCTGCACCTTTAGAATGGAGATAAAGTTGTTGGAAATATATGTAATTTAAATACATAAAATGCCATAACTTACCCAGGAATATTCAATTTATGATTATCATTATCATCCTCACAGGTAATTAATAAGAAGTCCAGTGGCTCACACCTGCGATCCCAGCACTTTGGGAGGCTGAGATGGGCAGATTGCTCGAGCCCAGGAATTCAAGACCAACCTGGGCAACATGGCAAAACCCCATCTCTACAAAAATACAAAAATTAACCAGATGTGATGGTTCATGCCTGTAGTCCCAGCTACTCTGGAGGCTGATGTGGGAGGATCGCTTGAGCCTAGGAAGTCAAGGCTGCAGTGAGTCATGATTGCTCCGCTCCACTGCACTCTGGCCTTGATGATAGAGTGAGAACCAGTCTCAAAAAAAAAAAGGTCATTTTCTAAGCATTTGTTGATTCAATACTGCCCACTATGTACACTGACAATTAGACATAATTTAATTTCAGCTCATGGTATGAATGGAGACAAAATGAAATCATTTTAATGCACATTAAGGCAATATAGTGCCCTTAAATAAAAAGTTGAAGTTCATAAGGGACCATCATTAAGATTTAACTTTGTAACAAATATTTTGTTTTTGTTTGTTTTATTTTTAGATTTGCATAATAAAACATTCATATTCTTACCCAGTCTTCCTTGTGATGAATAACATATTTGGAAGATGGCCACACTGTGGAGCAAAGCCGGAACCCAGCTAATAATGTGTGGGCTCCATTTAGTGTCTAACTGTAGTGTATAGACTTTGAATTTTATTCTAGGCGAGATGAAACCCATTTGGAAACTCTGAGCAAAGGAGTATAATGAACTAAATTTACTTGAAGAGACTTATTCAGCCAATGTGCAAAGAAGAGATTGTAAAAGGGGCCGGGCTGACAGCAGGGAAACCTTTGCATCATCATGGCATTAATAAAGGAGACACATGATAGTGGTTTGGACTTAAATGGCTGTGGTGGGAGGTGGTGATAAATCGTTAGATTCTGGGTCTGATTTGAGGGTAGGGCTTCAGAATTTACTGGTAGATTATAGTTTGGTGTGAGAGAAAAGAGAGGAGTCAAGGCTGACTCCAAGGATTTTGGCCTCAGCAATAGGAAAAATGATGTTGTCACTTTCTAAGATGAAGACCAGGGGCAAGAAAAAGAAGTTTTGATGGGAATAGCAAGGGCGCAGTTCTACACAACTTAAATTTGAGATGTATATTATATATTCAAGTGAAGGCGCAGAGTGACAATTGGATTATGAGTGTAGAAATGTTGGTGCAGGAAATAGAAATTTGACAATCATTGGCATATAGATGGTATTCAGTGTCAAGGGACTAGAAGAGATCACCCAAAGAGTGAATGCAGAGAGGAAAATAGATGAGATTCCAGAGACTGGGCCCTAGAGAGCTTCAGCCTTAGGGACCAGGATGGTGAGACGGAACCAGAAAAGGAGAGCAAAAGGCAGACCGACGGAAAGAAGGAGAGCCAGGAGAAAGTGGCGTCTCAGAGACAAGGAAAGAAAGTAACAAAAAAAGATGTTTTAAGGAAAAGGAATTGGTCAGCTGTGTCAAATGACACTAGTAAGCCAAATAAGATGAGGACTGAGGCCTGATCTTTGGATTTGGCAAAGTGGAGGTTTCCTTGATAACCTTGAGAAAAGTGATGCTGGAGAGATTGGAAACATAATCTGGTTGAAATGGGTTCAAAAAAGAAAAAAAGATAAATGGAGACAGGATAGACAACTCTTCCAGGGGTTTTACTCTAAAGGAGAGGAAAGTAGTGGCGAGGGGAAGAGGGAATGACTCGAAGAAAATGCCGTGTCTAAGCAGGGATGCTATTAGAATAACTATGGCATGGGCACTGAGCAGTCAGAAGGGATGCTGCCTATAGGTCTGGAGCAGGGTCTTGGAGGACTTTGCTGGTCCTGGCATTAACCTTTTGGTTTCTGGATTATAGGCTGTCCAGGAGGTCCCAGGGAAGAGGCTAGGTTGGAAAAGGTCAGAGGCAGATACTCGGGAGGCTCAGGGTAGCAGTGCTCACCAACCCATCCAGAATTCTTTCAGTATTTTAGCAATCACCATAATAGTGCTCATGGGCGCTGGCTGAACATCAGCCTTGGATCTATAAAGAGTTGTGTGTGTGTTTTTTTTAATTATCTTTATTTTTAAAGATGAGGGATATTGCAGCATTTTTTAATGATGATGAGAGGGGAAGATTGAAAATTTGATGATGTAAGAGAACAAGGTGAGAATGACAGGAGATGCTTGAGTGGGCGAATGGCGCTGGGACTTGTACACAAGCCAAAGCGTTGATTTTGATAGAAACACGCCTCGTTGTTTGTTCCAACAGGAAGGAGCGCAGAGGGCAGGGGTGCAGGTATAGCTTAGCTGCTTAGTGATGGGAGGTAGAGGGCATGTGGAATTTCTTTCCTGGTTTTCTCTGAAAGACAGGAAATGTATTCACATCCATTTTTTTCTCTTCCTCAGGACCACTACCTATCCACATTTTAACTGACATTCATGTTGAATTCTGGGGAACTCCAGTTACTAGGCCAGTTTTTCATTCAGAATCTGTGCCTACTCAGGAGACTTTCATCTGTGGGACTTCGGTTCCATCTCGTTCCATGGATGATGATCAGAGCCCCCTCTCTTTTCTTCAAGAGCCAGGTAATTTACCATGTGATGAACCCCGGCCCTTTAGCACCCTGAAAGACCTAGCAGGGAAATATTTCTTGCCTGGCACAGTGATATATCCGGGGCCATCGAAGAACCTGACTCAGAATAGGTGTGCAATAAATAATTGTTGAATGAATATAGGAAGGAAGGAAGGAAGGAAAGAAGAAGGAAGGAAGTAAATCAGTTTTTGTCTAGAAGGGCCACCACTAATCTAGCCTAGTTAAATATGTCTCTGCTCGGGAGGTTTGCATCTGTTTATGACTAATTTCTCTGTTGCACGCTCGGCACTCCAAGATTTTTGCCAAGACTCAGAGATTCATCCAAAATGGCTGAAGGATGACAGTGTTTGATTGCTCGTCTCTCTCTCTATCCCCGAAGTTAATATGATGCTTATCTGAGTGCAAAGGCACAGACAGGGAGAAATTTAATGCAAATTTAGCCAAGAGTCTAGTGCCACTTCACAAAATATTGATTAGGTGTCTGATTTGCTCTCCCCTGACAATGGCCATAGGAATAAGCCAATGAGGTGGGCTTCGCTCCAGCTCGTCATGGTCATTCGATAAAGCCAGGCAGCCAATGAGGAGCAGCTACCTTTCGATTGGGCGAGAGGCCAGTGAAGGGGGAACCCATCTTAGCAACAGCAGAAAATATCGCACATGCCCTTGCACACAGGCACAAACACAGACACCGCGCCACCCGCCCTGCTGCAGTGAACGGTTGCTGATTACGTCTCCTAAGGCTTTTGTTTTGCCACAGCCCCACTTCCAAAGGACAAGTTTCTGTTCACAGATCACACTGCTTACCTGGTCAGACAGCCCATAATCCCTTTTTAATGGAATGCAGGGGCAACGGTCCTCTCTCTGCCCTCTCCAACACACATGTTATTAACGGCAAACTTTGATCTGCAGGTAAACGGCACAGGCTTTGTTCTTAGAATCCCTTTCATGGATCTGGCCACACCACTGCCCTTCCTGACCCAACATGCGGACTGAGGAGGGGGTGTGGCGTCGGGGGCGAGCCGAGGGGTCAGACTGTTGTTTGTTTTGCTTCTTGTAAAAACTGCAGAAGGGATTTCACCAGGCTGGAGCAGGCTTCCGTGTCATTGTTATTCTTCTTACAGGCTTCCCCTTTCATTGTTCGGTGGCCTCCACACCCAGGGCCCAGGAAAGCTTTCCTGTTTTCAGTGTGACACTTGGCAACGTCTTTCTTAGCCACTGGGTTCCAAACATTTAGCATTCTCATTTGACTCCCCTCCTCTGGTCTCCACTGTGTTTTTATGTTTCCTGTACAGCTGCCCTTGTTCCCCAGATGCCAGGGGATGGGGGCTGTCTGCCCATCCTTGGTTTCCCCAAATTAATCTCTGCCATGGCCTACTTGCCTGGTTTCTATATTCTCCCACCCCCTATCCTGGCTCCAAGGCTATTTTGAGGCCAGTGGTAATGGTAGGTCACTGGGGTGCATTGTGCTTCCCAGCCTCATTTTTTTTTCATCCATGAACTTGGCTTCTTTGCTCTGACGGCTGGTTTCAGCATGAATCTTTGATCCAAGAGCATCTGACCACGGATTAGCTCATCCTGCCAGTAGCTCTCACTCATTTTCCCTGCTGACAGCTATAATTCTGCCTGGGTAGGAAAGCCTATCAGTTAGGACAACCTACACTCTAAAAGGTGTGTGGCTATATTTTAGATGACACAAAATAAAGTTGAGCTGCTACCACAGGAATTTTTTAGACCAAGAAGGAGTGGTGTCTAGGAAATGGTAGCCAGATGTTTTCCATATGCTTGACTACAAAACAAGGGGAAATGGCATGAAATGGAAGCAGGAGAGAATTAAGTCAGACATGAAGAACAACTTTCTGAATATTAGAGTTAACAGAACCTAGAATGTATTACCAAGTGACCATTTGTCATTTCTTTCTGGGCTAGCTACGATCCCCGTCCCCTGGGGTTTGTGTAGGTTAACTCGTTCACAGATGCAGTGATGACCCATGTGGCTGTGTGGTGCGGGCTTTGGAGTCAGACTAGTCTACATTTAAGTCGTAGCTCTGCCACAATCTAATAACGTGTTAGCAAATTTCCTTTTCTTTGAGACAGAGCCTCACACTATCTCCTGGGCTGGAGTGCAGTGGCATGATCTTGGCTCACTGCAACCTCCGCCTCCCAGATTTAAGTGATTTTCCTGCCTCAGCCTCCCAAGTAGCTGGGATTACAGGCGCCCACCACCACACCCAGCTAATTTTTTGTATTTTTAGTAGGGACGGGGTTTTACCATGTTGGCCATGCTGGTCTCGAACTCCTGACCTCGTGATTTGCCCGCCTCGGCCTCCCAAAGTGCTGGGATTACAGGCATGAGCCACCACACCCAGCCCTGTGTTAGCAAATTTCTTAACCTCTCTGGACCTTTTAAAAAATCTGTAAAATGGAAGTCACAATATCAGCCATATAGGTTTAAATAAAATCATTGTATAAAATGCCTAACTTAGGGCTTAGCACGTAGTAAGCCTTCAAAAATGTTGAATCTTCCTCCCAGTTCTAGAATATTCAGAGCTTCAGTCCATCAATAGACCTATGGTATCAGTATTATTCATTCATTAAAAAAATTTTTAGTATCTACTTAGAACTTAGCATTATGAGGTCTACACATGGTTTCTGCCCTTGACAATTTGCGCATTAGGTCAGAAAATAAGCCAAACAAGTTATGAAATGGTACAACTGAGGCAACGCCAAATTAATGCCAACAGAGGCAGTACATGTAATATGAGTGGGATGTCTACCTGGGTTAGAATCATCTGAGAAAACATTACAGGAAAGTTGAGACTTTCCTACTAGAGCCTTAAAGCGTGGCTAGAACTTGGATAGGTTTAAGGGATGGAGGTGGGGAGAAGTTCCAAGTTAAGATAGTAGCATTTGGCAAGCTCTTAAAAGAAGAAATAGGCCTGGTGCTGTGGCTCTTGCCTGTAATCATAGCACTGTGGGAGGCTGAGAGAGGTGGATCGCTTGAGCCCAGGAGTTTGAGACCAGCCTGGGCAATATGTCAAGATCCCAGTCTCTACTAAAAAGAAAAAAAAGAAAAAAAGCCGGGTGTGGTGGCATGCACCTGTAGTTCCAGCTACTCGGGAGGCTGAGGTGGGACAATCACCTGAGCCCAGGAAGTCGAGGCTGCAGTGAGCCATGATCATGCCACTGCACTCCAGCCTGGGTGATGGGAGTGAGACCCTGTCTCAGAAAAAAAAAAAGAAAATAGGAGAAGAAGAAATTAGTGTGGTTTTTGAAGCAAGACGAAGGGAGAGTTGGTCAGCAGGGAAATGAGACTTAAAATAAATTGGCAAAGAGCTCAGCTGTTAGAATTAGGCTTATTTTGGTTTTAATTCAAGAACTTCCACTTGTGTCCTTGTGACTCAGTTCTCCTAGCTGTAAAATGGGCATAATAATAGTGAGGATTAAATGGTATTAAAATGCAGATAAAATGCTTCATGTGTGTCTCACTGCAAAAACCATGCTTTGATATACACATACTGCCTTCATAACAGGGTAGCCAGGCAAATATTTTTAATGTGAGAGATGAATATTCAAAGGGCATAGCTATGAATGATGGCTGGACGGAATGAACCCTGTGCTGCTTAGGACCTCTATGACAATGACTTTTGGTGTCCTGTCTTCCAGGCAGCTGCTTATGCCCCTACTTCTCTCTCTGTGGATTGTGATTCAGCACATAAAATTTTCCCTTTCATCTCCCAATTTGCATGCTTATATTAGACATGGATTTGGTTAGACCTGCATCTGTTGAGATGGCTCACCAATAATAGAAGCCCCACAGGGACTAGTGCGGTCTGGTTTCAGGAATGGGTCTAGCAAGTGAGGTCTAAGTCAGGAAGTTATTAGCCGCAGAGTCAGGGAATATATTTAGCTGTCATCACTTTTTAATGAAAAATAGCCTGGTGACATGTACATTCCAGCACTCTGATGTAGACAGTTGAGCACCACGCTTCCTCCATGCACTGGCTCCTCCCACAGAAAAAGGTAAGTATCTTCTCCATGGTCCAAGGTCTCTGGGGTATGTCCAGAGACGATGAGAAATTTCATCTTCAGAAGGGAACAGGCACTGTGGTATCCTGGAGCTGGCTCTCAGCAGCTCATGCAAACCAGTTGTGTGTGTGATCTCTTCCTAACTCCACCTTTAGTAATGGAAGGTTGGTGAGAGTGTTTGCAACACGGAAATCTGCAAATGCTACAAATCAGGACTTTTTCTTCCCTGGAGAGCGGCATGGTGAACGTTGACCATCACACCACTGAAAGAGAGGTAGGGTGAATTTCCAGTTGGTGATTCCTACAGATAACCATTGTGGGGTAGGATCTTCCATACTCTAGATTTTGTTCTTTCGTTCTTCGTTTTCTATCACATGACATTCACTTATTTCATTGCTCACATTGAAAGGAAACTTAAGAAATAATGGGCTCATTTTAAGAGCTCACTCTGCTCGACCTAAGTTAAATTCTTACTCCCTAATTACTTATCACATGGTCTTGACCATGTTTACTTAACTGAAGCCTCAGTTTTCTCATCTGTAAAATGGAGCTAATAATAACATCAACTATTTAAGGTCTGTGTGAACATTCAATGAAATCTTCCATGTAAAGCACTTAGTACCTGGCACGAAATAACTAGGCACTAAATGTAGGTGATTGTATTTGACAATATTTATCATTCTGGTTGAGGGACACAATGAAAGTTGACCAGATATAGGCTAACCATGTTCTGTCATGCTTGTAGTAAATGCAGATGTGTAATAAGGACATTATTTGACACACAGTTATCGGAGCCATGTAACAGTGAATTCTACTAGCAGTATGCTACAACACTTAATTAAAATGTTTAATTTATTGCTCTGGTGTTTTTGCATTTAAAAAATGTGCAAAACACAACACAGCGCAGCCCCCACTCCCTTAAATTGGCATAATGCACAAATTATACATTCAGCATCTATGGCAATATGCAAATAAAGCATCAACATATTTGCAGATTCATCATCACAAAGCATTTATTTTGCACTTATTTTCCATATGCACGCCAGAATAACATGATTTTTGATGCGTAGAGTTTCTACCCTTTTGGAGTTTGTGGTATAAAAGAGACAATACTGAGCTCTGTCTCATAGGTAGACAGACAGACAGAGAAATGAAAGAGAGGGAGAGGGAACAAGAGAGAGAGAGCAGATACTCTTAAGGCAGAATAATATTTTTGTACTGAATTAGTTCATAGAAATGTTATTGATCTATGTGGTGACATAGAAATTCATTTTAGATGAGTATGAGATACCCTATTTGGAACCTTATACATGGGCAAGAGATTTCTATTAAATTTGGTTGCATTTGTTGACTAATTTCAATTTGTTTTCCTTTGAATTACAATTTTCTTTTTCAAAGTTATCTGAACCAGAATGAGGAGCTAACTTAGCAAAGACCAGCAGCAAAGTTCACCTAACATTTGGCAGTCTATTTACTCCTAGAAGTCTCCTGATTCCCCTGGTTCCAGTGGTAGCTGGAGATTCAGTGGTTCTGTATTGTGAGCTTACAAACTTCAGGTCAGCATCCTCAGTCAAGATGCATTAGAATCACCTGGAATGCTTATGAAAATGAAGATTCCTAGGCCAAAGTCCAGACCTGTGAATCATGCCTATAGGACCTGAAAGTTTGCATCTCATGATGAGCCTGAGATCATGGTAATCCACCCCAGATAACTTCTCTAGATCCTACGCCTTAACATCACTCATATCCTACGCCTCCTTGTTACTTCTACTGCTGCTGCCTTAGTTCAGACTTGAGCCTGGCTGCTGTAACAGTCTCCTAATTGGTCTCTGAGTTGTCCTCTTTACTGCATTCAAAATAAACTGAGCAAAATTCCAATCTTATGTCAGATCTAGCATAAAATAGCTCCCTATTTTCTATAAAATAGCTTATTCTCTTTGCTAAGACAAATAAGGCCCTCACCAGCCTTTCTCTTCTGCCTCATCCACTCGGTTTGTCCCTTGGGCACTCCAGACATGCTGCAGGATTTTGCACTTCTCTAGACACTCTCTGCTGTTTCACAGCTCCAGGCCTCTGCTCTTGCTAGAGCATCTAACTAGAATGACCACCCCTCACCCCATGGCTGACTCTCTGGCAAACATCTACTTGTCTTTAATGTAGCAATTCAATAATTACCTCTTGCATGATCTTAAGTCAAAATTATATTTTTATATATATTATATTATATTATATATTTCCTAATCTATTCCTTTTTGTGTGTCTGGTTTTGTTCCCCAATTTGTATTTATTTTCATGATAGAACTTACAATATTTTACTGCAGTATTCGTTGACATGCTTGTTTCTCTCTTGAAGCCACAACCCATGCCTTAGGAGTCTTGGTATCTCAAGAAACATATTAATGTTTTCCACAGTAAACGAATGAACTAATGAACTGTGAAATAGAGAGCCTGAATTTTTTTCCCAACTAAATTTGCATCTTAGGATTTGGCTGCATCATCTTGGTGATGCAGGAGTTTTGTCTGAAGATCTCAAACAAGATAAAACAATTTATAGCTTCCATGTGGAAGTGGGCTCAATTCAGCTTTACTAGTAAATACTAAAACTGGATGAAGCTCATAAGATATTTCTTCTTTCCAAGATGTGGAGCTAAAGGAAGGGAGAATGAAATAAATGAAACCAGTGTCTTTGTTACATAACTCTCAAAGTGCATTTTCGTAAATGAACAATCTATATGGCAAATCTAACTGATCTTTATGGAGAGTTATTTTATTTAATTGGTTGATTTAATTTCCTAGCAAACGAAAGCTGAAAATACTATCCCTGAGAACACTTACTTGTTACAAATCCCTTCTGTTATCTAAACCTCATTTATTTCAATTAATTTCCCATCATTCTTTGTCTTTAAGAGTATATAGTATGATTTAGGTATTTCACAGTTTTCTTTCAAGGTTGCAGTTCAAAGACCAAATGTAACCAAAGCTGAAGACTTTCAATTCCACTATCTAAAGCAATTTCAGAAATCAATGCTTGCCTTCATCTGTTGCTGGTGGGAATGTAAAATGAAACAGCCACTTTGGAAAACAGTTTGGCAGTGTCTTAAAAAATTAAATGGAAACTTAGCATAAGACTTATCAATTCCCCTCTCAGGAATCTACCCAATTTTTTGAAATGAAAGTACACATCTACATAAACACTTGTACATGAATGTTCATAGCAGCATTGTTCACAATAGCCAAAAAATGAAATCAACCCAAACGTCCATCAACTGACGAGTGATGAAACAAAATGGAGTGCATTTATGCTATTCAATGAGAAAAAAGATATAGAATACTGACACATGGTGTAACATAGATGAACCTAGAAACATACTAAGGGAAAGAACCCAAGCATGGCTGGGTGCGATGGTTCACATCTGTAATCCCAGCATTTTGGGAGGCCTAGGTGGGCAGTTCACTTGAGGTCAGAAGTTCGAGACCAGCATGGCCAACATGGTGAAACTGCATCTCCACAAAAATTACAAAACTTAGCCAGGCATGGTGGCATGCACTTGTAATCCCAGCTACTCCGGAAGCTGAGGCAGGAAAATTGCTTGAACCTGGGAGGCAGAGGTTGCAGTGTGCCGAGATGGCGCTACTGTCCTCCAGCCTGGGCAACAGAGCAAGACTTCGAAAAAAAAGGAAAGAAAGAAAAAAAGAAAGGAAGGAAGGAAGGAAAGAAGGAAGGAAGGGAGAAAAGGGAATACATATTGTATGATTCCACTTATATAAAATGTCCAGAAAAGACAAACTTTAGACAAAGCAGATCATTGGTTGCCTGGGATTGTCAGAAGATGGGGAGGGGTAGGGCAGGAGCAGGAATTGGTGACAAACAGGCTTGAGGAAATTTTGAGGGGTGATAGGAATGTTCTAAAACTGGATTGTGGTGATAACTGCTAAGCTCTATAAATTTACAAATCATCATTGAATTGTATACTTAACCATGGGTGAATGCTAAGGTATGTAAATTATACTTCAATAAGGTTGGAAAAAATGGTTGAAATTACCACTTGTTTACCTTCATATTTTTATTTCCAGTGATATTACAATTTCATAAACCTTTCCCAGGTTATATAGCAAAAAAGTCTTTAATCACAGAATCCAGATTTTAAGTTAGTTTCTTTTTTCCTCCACAAAACCCTGAGGCCATACCAGTGGAGACATATTCAGACTGTAAAAAAACTTTTTTCTCCTTCAAACTAATTAAGTAAGCACTGATGACATCAGCTGTATTTGCAGTGCACCTGATAAAGGCCATGATATTAATTAAATTGTGGAGTGATTAGAAATGTAAATTACCAGGCTTGGTTTAGCATGGAGCATTGCTGCCCAGCTCCAGGATAGTGGAGGAAATAAACAGCCTCATCTCAGTTAATGGAAGCGTCTCCAGTTGAACATGAGTCTAATGAGAAAATAATATTAACTATGAATGGCTAAAACTTACCTATTCATATGGGGCAGCATTTCATTTACAGAGGAGCACCTTTCTAGTTGTGAGTGCATTGAGAAGCGCCGTGACAGGGCAGAATGACCCCTGAACTTTGAAGTTAGACAGAACTGAGTTCAAATTCTGCCTTTCTTACTTACCAGTTGTATGATCTTTGGCTAATTTAATTTAATTTCCCTGAACTTACATATCTTCATCTAGAATATGAGGTACTATTCTCCATCTCAAAGGATTTGGGGGCTGATTAAGTGAGATCACTTATGCATCACTGGGCCTAGCAGGCAGGAGATGCGTAACAAATGGAATCTATTCACAGGATGGCTTAGATAAGGCAAGGAGTCTTGACTCTTCATTCATTCACCAAATATTAACTACCATTAATAAGTATCTCCCATTCATGTATTCCTTCAATTCAGCAAATATTTTGTGAACACGCGCTCTTTTTCTGGTAAAATTCTTAGTGTTCAGGATGCATCAGTACATTTAAAAAGATAAAAATCCGGCTGGGCGCGGTGGCTCACGCCTCTGATACCAGCACTTTGGGAGGCCAAGGCGGGCAGATCACGAGTTCAAGATATCGAGACCATCCTGGCCAACATGGTGAAACCCCGTCTCTACTAAAAATACAAAAATTAGCTGGGCATGATGGGGCTTGCCTGTAGTCCCAGCTACTGGGGAGGCTGAGGCAGGAGAATCACTTGAACCTGGGAGGCAGAGGTTGCAGTGGGCTGAGATCGTGCCACCGCACTCCAGCCTGGCAACAGAGCAAGACTGCATCTCAAAAAAAAAAAAAAAAAGACAAAAATTCATGCTATAGCAAAGCCCACTTAGCAAATAACCATAAACATAATAAATGACTAAATTTTATATGTGAGATATAGTAATAAGTTTTATGGAAAAACAACAAGGTAGAGCAAGAGGGCTCTAGAGTGAGGGAGGCAGGGGAAATGATGGGTTGCAATTTAGGGTGGTGAGCGGAGGGCTTATTGAGTAAAATGCAAACCCTCAGAGGAGGTGAGAGAGTTAACCACCATCTAGCAAATAGCTAAGGAAGAGCCTTGAAGGCCAAGTACACGTCCAGTACAAAAGCCTTCAAGTGTATCATACAGCACCTCTTCAAGAAGCATCAGAGAGGCCGGTTACCATGCCAGACACTAGATACTCAGCAGTAAACTGAACTTTCAGAACCTAGTTCAAATTCGGCCTCTGTCACTTGCCTGTTGTGTGAACTTTGACTGGTTATTTAACTCCTCTGAGCATATAGCCCTTCACTTATAAAATGAGATTTGCATATCTATTTCAAGGGGTTATCTGTCTCAAAGGAGTAAAGCATTTATTTACCCCACTCATCTCTGAAGCTAGAATTTATAGGTTGTGTTTCAACGAATAGGGACTGTTGTTTTATTTCTGTCTGGCTGTGATTCATTTATCTGTGTGTGTCTTCCTCTTAGGCTGAGCCTGCTCCAAAACTGCAGCAAGGTTGGTAGGGGCAGCTAGGGTATGGGGCAGACTGAAATAGAAGAATGATTCTGAGATGTAAAAGAAGATGTAGCCATAAGGGAGATAAACATTAATGTATTCATTCAGCAAATAGTTACCGAACTAGGTTATAGGCACATACTGCATTGAGAAGAACATGGAACATGATAAAGATTTTTCAATACTGGGATGATAATACATTTTATGCATATATCAATGTGTGTGTGTGTGTGTGCATATGTGTGTGTAGTTTTTTTCAGAATCAACTGTGCACCAAAGGTGACTCAGACATTTATGAAACTTGCCAGAGATTTCTGGTGAATTGTTTTGGAGGTTGAGAGAACAAGAAAGAGACATGCTGGCTCCTTCAGTGTTAGTTTTCCCAAATATTTTTCTTATTGCTTCTGGCTGGATATGGGGTAGTGGAAAGAATACTGGATTCAGAGTCAGAAGATCTTGGTCCAACAGCCACCCCTTCAAGATTCAGTGGTGTGACGTGGGCTCGTCATTTAACTCCTCAGAGCTTTATTTTAGTCATGTGTATAATGGAAATGAAACATCTACATTGTCTCCCTCCCAAATGCCAAAGATCAAGTGAGGAAATACATTTGAAATCATTTGGTAAGGTATAAAAGCAAACACAAGGTGCAGTGAGGTGCAGGTCGTTGTTGAAGAGAGTCTGATGGGAACTGGGGGACGGTCAGTTATCTGTTGTAGGAAAGAATGGCTTTGGCATTTCTCCACAGAGGAGACATTTGGTGCTAATTTATGCACATTAGTTAATTTTGTTTTGCTGGGGGCTCAGATGGGACTCCCTGATGGATGTGCCATCCATGACAGAGTCAACAAAACCACATGGCTCAATACTGTGATCCTTCTAGGGCTGGAACTAAAGGAGACAGGCTCTTGAGAGGCACAGGTTTGGCTGACAATTTCAAAGTCATCTGCTCAAGGAAACCCTGCTGAGGCCTAGAAAATGGGATGCGTAGAGAAAACTCTTTTTCCTTAAACACTGTTGGGTTCATTGTCAACCCAGCTCTCCAGCCATCTGAGTTTAACATTCGAGGCATGTAGGAATACAGCCACAAAATGGTAACCGGTGGTACTGTGCTCTTCTTCCCAAGCTCTGAAACCATCTGCGCTAGCTGAGATTGAGAGGGAGAACAGTGGCAGACTCTTCAGTAGGAGAAAAACATTCTTAAGAAGCAAGCTTAAAGCAAGCTATTGGGGGGAAAGAGAATTATTCAGGAGAAAGACAGCACGATGCTAAAATCATGTGTGTCTGGTTAGAGCATACATTGAGGGTGAGCAGAGAAGAATCCTTGAATTCTGAGAATCATTGACTCTTATCACAGGCGTGATGATGATAAACCATAGATTCTCTTGGATCTCTGTTTATATCTATTAGTCTCACTCCCCACATTGTGAGCTGATCCTAAATAGGACCAAGGTGTTTGCATATTTTCTCTCTCCAGTGCCTATCCCCGTGCCTGGCATCTCACAGCTACTCGCACGTGGGATTGAACAGAATGGTTTCACCTGCCCTTTCCATACACCAGGGCTGGCTAGGGAAGGGAGGCTATCCCTGCATTTTCCCACTACAATCTTTAATAGTTAGGGGAAGATTTTCATTTAGTTAAATTCTCTTCTTTGGTATTCATTCATTTAAAATGTGCCAGGACGTAAGCACACTGTGACCTCTTCCTATAAGGCGGAGCTTCCTAGAGGTGCTGTGTGGTCTTGGGGGCACCTGGAACGGCCTACAGGGGTGCCCTGAGTTCTTCATGATTGCATGCTTTTTGTAGTGGTAGAGTATGAAAATCATTTGGACAACCATTTAGAAATTTTCAAGTGTATTTGAACATACATCGCTTTGTCTATAAACTCGCTAGCTTCTGTGATGACTGTTTAGGTGTATGCGACTCTCTGAACGGACACTGCCACCAGAGCGTGTTGTGCGACAGCTGAAGTACATTTCACTCCCTGGAGCTTCCTGTTAAAATGTCCTAGTATGAGTTCAATTTTTTCTTAGTCATGATTTATTTATTCTCAGGGAAGTTCTTCGCTTTGCCTGCAGTATAAAAATATTAGATTATTTTCTGATTTAATTTGCTCTTATATTTTGTATTGTTCTAATAAGGTAGAAGGCATACGTGACTTTTATCTTTACCTTTTACAATCAGATGTTAGGCATTTCTAAATAGAATACCATTAACTGGGAGACGTTATGCAAATTTCACATTTAATATATTTATATAACATTTTATATTTTAAAATAATGAACAAAATAATTTTTATTAATTTTAAATCATATTAATTAATTTTATTACTAAGCCTCATACTGAATCTCCCAAATTCTTTCCAATTGATCCCTGTCATTCAGCTATTATAATTTTCTGTGCCTGTCATGAAGTGAAAAAAGGTAGGGCAGCGTTGTTACAAATTATCCTTTTTGCCATTTTTCGCCCTGGGAAGTGGATGTAAATGGAAAACAATGTTAGTCTTGGTAGAAGGGACTTGTTAAAAGAATCCAAGATGTTTCTATTTTCATGTTTAAAGCTCCATTTGACAAGATAGTGAAATAAAGTGGGCAACTTTAACTTAAAGGTGTTTCTCGGTGATGGGCACTCTGATAGGATTGGATGTGTTTCTGCAGATTTCTGCCTTCCCAGCTGGATCTCCCTTGTTTTCTGCAGGAGAGAAATGGTAGAAAGAGACAGTAGGAGCTGAAAAGGTAAATGTCACAACACCCAGCCTGCCATACTTTGAAATTCAACATGGATTTAACAGATTGCAAAGTGTCTTAGTCATGTAATTCATGCAATTCGTTAAACCACATTTAAATGAAAAGTAAGTGATATTCTCCTATTTAACAATTAATTGAACAAGTGGTATTATATTGAATTGAAACACTTAAACTTGACTTCTATTGAATAAATACAGCCAATACAGGACAGAAAAAGAAAAAATCTCAAAATGGATCTGAAACTGACCTTAGATGACTCTTCCAGGCTGCTAACAGTGTGTGCAAGGAGTGTCACCTTTCTTCTGGAGGGCTGGGGAGAGAGGCTAATGCTGAGAAAGTGCACCTGAAGCTTTGAATGGTTGCCCTAGGGCGGGGAGGGGGCACAAGGCACGAACTCAGTGATCTCAGGAATAAGACTGCCATAGTTAACAAATGAGAATATGATATATGAAGTATCTGAGACATACTACACTAAAAAACTATTTGTTGTTTGTTCAAAATTCAAATGGAACTGGGCAGTTCTGTTTTTATTTGGCAACCCTACTTAGTTGGGAGGAGCTGTAGGGAGAGGTATCTGGGAAACCATTAAGAAGTAGAAAAAGGCCGGATGCAGTGGCTCACGCCTGTAGTCCCAGTACTTTGGGAGGCAGAGGCAGGTGGATCACAAGGTGAGGAGTTCGAGACCAGCCTGACCAACATGGTGAAACCCTGTCTGTACTAAAATTACAAAAAATTAGCTGGGTGTGGTGGCATACACCTGTAATCCCAACTACTCAGGAGGCTGAGGCAGGAGAATCACTTGAACCCAGGAGGCAGAGGTTGCAGTGAGCCAGGATCACACCATTGCACTCCAGACTGGGTGACACAGCGAGATTCCACCTCAAAAAAAAAAAAAATTAGAAAAAAAGGAGTCTCCCAGCTGGTGAGTGAATATTATAATAAAGACAACAACAAAGACACAAGCATCATTCCTGTGCCATGTATTTGGAATGAGATTTGTATAGGACTTCTAAGGGGCAAAGTGATGGTCAGGGAGGGCTCTAGATAACATCAGAACTTAGTTTTGAAGGAAACTGGAAATTCCCCCAAAAGGATGATGGTGGGAGTTGAGGAATGGCATTTCAGGCAAAAAAAAAAAAAAAAAAAAAAAAAAAAAAAACATGTCCAAAGGCATGGAGTAGTCAAACAACTGGAGTGTCCTTCTCCATGAAGCCTTTCTGGTCACATTCAGAGGGAATTCACCTTGCCTTTCTCTGTTCTGTCATCACCCTTTGTTGCAGCCTAAATCACATAGCCCTTATACTGTCTGCTACTGGGACAACTGTGATGTGGGACCCCATAGAGCTGGCAAGTGGCAGGTGGCTCATGGAAAAGACTCCAGACTTGTCTACTGTCCTAGTTGAGCAGCGAACCCAGATGCTTTTTGCAGAATATTGATTGAGAGCAAACACATCAAATGTTTCAATGATTTTTCAAGCAAAGCAACATTTTGCTATAGTGTATGTATATGTACTTAAGTAAACACTGAAAATGGATTTATATACATCAGAGCTTAGGCATCTACTTCCCACGAGAGAAGTAACAACATGAAAGTAAACCAAATGGAAAAATAAGTAATATTCTTTGCATTCCCTGAGATTTATCCCAAAGCCAACCCTTACTGCTTAAGTGGATGAGGGAAGATTCTCCATTGCATATCTCAGCAGTCTACTGCTTGTGCCCGTTATCTTTTGGAGGGAGGTTGTCTCGTATCTTGTGTGTAACGCTTTTATTCTAGCTTTTAGAATCAGCTGCTTAAAATTCCTCGACTTATGGTGTTAGGTAAATAGATAAGTAGGACTATGCTTTTTTGTCCCATTTTGGGCACACAAACAGAAGAACCTTGGATACTTACTGGAGGGGAACTTTCTCCCTTCTTCCCCCAGTGATATGCTTTGGAGGAGAACTTATGCAGAGATTGGGGCAACAAGAAGGTGCCTTCTACTAGCTTTAAGAAGGAGATAACATTTCCATTTTTTGTTTAAAAATGTTGATTTTCGAGGCTTTACTAACTGTAATAGGTGAGGTTTTTGTTGTGAATATTCTGTTTGCGTTTTGTTGCTGGAGGGAAGGAGAGGCTATTTGGAGAATGATACCTGGCTCATCAGCTGCCCTAAGGGTTCAAAGTGACTTGAGCCTTTCCTCTCCAGGAGCTCTTATATTGCTCCTGAACTTAATGTTATGTGTTGTCTTTCTCTTTCATTTTCTTTGCACATTTCCTAAAGTTCTGAAGTCCTTGACCATCGAAGGATTTTACCTAGATCTCTGACGACCTACCTTGGCTTTTCTTTACCGGAGAATTGCCCATCTATGGTTCTTTGCTCCATCTGTGCAATTTGCCCTTTTCAGGACTTGAGGACAACATGGTCGCCTTTGCCTTGCTTGGCTGTGGTTTGGGGTGGCATTAACACCATGATTTCTTTCAGGGCCCACTGAAGGTTGGTTTCTGCGCTCCTGCGCCACCTGCTGTCACCAGCTCCAAGTGCAGGCTCCCCAGTCGCCAGCCCTGGGCTCCCGGCCCCAGCCAGAGTCCAAACCTCAGACCAACCAGATGTTACTTAGGCTGCCAGATTTCTGTCTGGGCCTTATCTGTACCGTCTTCACTGGCTCACTAGATCAGAATCCCAAATGTCCCTGGATGACTTGCCTCAAGTCACGCAGACCCTGAGCTCTTTGGCCAGAAAGAGGAAGCCTGTTTGATTGGGGGTTGCTGACCAGTGGCTCCTGCCAGCTTTCTGAATGTGTGGCCAGTGGAGGCCGGCCTCTCCTTAGCAGTGAAAATGCAAATGGATTTCTTTAGAAATGTCAACAGACACTTGACACTTATCCTTTAAGGTACTCCCCAACGTGTCTCCTGACTGGGCCAAATTTAGTTTCTCCCAAATTGCTCAGAAATGGAATGTTTGCTTTTTACTTTTTAGCACTCTGGGCTTTTCTACAAACTCATAAAAGTTGGTGATTCTAACCAAGGGATCACAAGAAAGTGGGGTGCTACTTTTTATGAATTAAATTCAGTACCCCCATTATTCTCTGTTTTAGGTTGAAGATCTCTTGATGTCAGGGACTTATGCATTTGCTCCCTCTCCATCACACACAGCCTGGCACACAGTAGGTGCTTCACACAATCTTGTTAAAAGGAGCAGACTCTATCTGGTCAAAATCATTCTTGGAAGTTCTTTTCTATTTGTTTGTTAAAAGGAAAAATGGCCAGAGTTGAGACTGTGAAAGTTCATTCCTGATTTCAGACCAAAAAAAATAAAGCTGAACCTGAGAGAAAAACAATGATGAGTGCAAGTTGTGATTTCTATGATCACTCTGATAAGAATGAGGATCGTGACCGGCTGTGGTCTCCCAAGGTTTGAAAAAAGAGAAATATATGCATGCAGGAGAGAACTGAGTTAGATATGAGATAGAACTTCCTAAGAGCAGAGGTTATGGGATACCCTTATAAAATACAAATGGGGGTTTATGCTAGCAAATACTCTAGAGAGAGATACACATCCATGTAGTTCAATAAACACTTATTAAATTCCTGCATTATGCCAGCACTGTATTAGATACTGGAGTAAAAAAGATTGTAAAGTATAGTACCTGGTCACCAAGAAGACAGAGACTAACAAGCAGACAATTTCAATATAATTTCCTGATTGCTAAGAGAGAAGTATATGTGCCCAGGGTGTTGTGGGAGAATATGAAAGTGCACTAATTCAAGCTGTGTAGTCAGGGAAGGCTTCCTGGAGGAGGTAGTGCTTCTACTGAGTCTTACTATTGGGTGAGAGATATCTAGAGAAATAAATGCAGTCAGCATATTCCAGCAAAGGTGGAAAGCTAGATTAGCTGATGTACAAACATCTTCAGGTCACAGAAACTCCTTTTAGTCCTTCTGAATTGAGTCATCTGGGAAATGCTGTTGTCCCACAAGAAATGTCTTACAATTCTGGCAGCCTAAAGGGGCTCAGTTTTCTATTGCATGTTCAGCTTGTCACCTTGTTAGGACAGCCTCTTATAGACTTAGGAGGGAAAGAGTAAAAGAGGGAATCTTATTTTCATTTGCATCCAAGGATCATGATCCATTAAGCAGCCTCTGTGCTCTAACATTCAGGGAGCTGCAGGACTGGCATATCCTTGATGCATCAGATCTGATATATTTGTGTTCAAAGGGAACAAACCAACTACTACTGATAAGTTCTCTCACAGCAGCTACTTTTTGAGTTCCAACAGGTTGTTGTACCTAGCCCCATTGTACAGGTGGGGAAACTGAGGCTGAGGGGCACAGAGTCACTTTCTAGGCCCTGGGGAATAACTATTGGCTACTGCATAGTAATTTAGCTTCTTATTTCTCACTGTACCTTCCCAGGGTGGGAACCTCTGAGAGTCAATTTTCCCAGAAAGAGGCACTTTCGAAATGGCAGGCCTGTTAGTAATGGCCTGTTTCCACTGGGTATCCTGCCCATTGGGCTGGCACTATGGGAGTGGGGGTTCCCAGCCACCCCAGGGAGGTCATTCAATCCCAGCCATGGCAGCTGGTGTCCTTGGTGCCCTGGACCACCATCAGAGAACGGAATCTGCGGGAAAACAAAGAGTGCAGCCGTGGCGGCAGACCTGAGCCCTCCACGCCTGCTTGCCCAGGGCAGGTCCCAGTGGGGTTAGTGCCAGGGGCTGTGCTGATTCTCCACCCCCTTCCCGGCCCCTCGGCTCATCTGCTGGCTTTCAGAACTCCAGCCATCCTGAATGGGTCTTTGTGCGCACCCCAGGAGCTGGCTCGGAAGAGCCTGATGGAAATGCTGGACAGAGACATCTCCTCTGGATCCAGGCACAGCCCGTCATGGTGCCATCTTGCGGGAGTCAGGCTTTTATTGTTTCACCACGTTGCTCTATCTGGGAGTGGGTTGGGACCTGGTGAATGGGAGAAATATTCTGCACCCCTGACAGTGGGGTCATGGGTAGGGCCGAGGGGATGGCAGCACCTCTGTCACTTTCCCACAGCTCTCTTTCCCACGGTCAGTCTTTGCTACTTTGCCCCCCTGAGATGATTGTGATAATATTAATAACAAGAGGCATCGTTAATGGTCACTCCCGAGGTGCCAGGCATTGTGCTGAGGGTTTCATTCCATTGAATACGTGTTCTCAAAGATCCTGTGGGATGTGTTGTCTTATTATTCTCATTTTACAGGTGAAGAAACCAAGGTTAGGAGATGTTAAGCTACCTGCCCAGGTAATTCTGAACAGGAAGATGAGCACAGATTGGATGCAACTCTGCCCTTACCTCCTCCTTCCAGCCTTCAAGGTGTCTCTTTCCAATCATTGAGGTCCTAAGGCCACTTGTACTCTCATTCCTAAGAAATCCCTGAGCTCCAGGGCGCCAGCACAGACAAAAGCCTGGTTCTGGCAAAATGTGAAAAGCCTCGTGGCCTCTCAGATTCCTTTTTTTAATGCTGTGCTTTTTTTTTTTTTTTCTGAAATCAGGGGTGTATTTTATTTTATAAGATAGAAGAAATTGTAGATGTATAAGGAACACGTTGGAGTACAACTATAGATTGAAAATTGTGTTAAAGGACCTTATCTCCATCCTCAAAAAACAAAATGGTTTTATGAGACAAGCAAGTACCACATAAGGGCTGGAGTGCAGGATGCATTTCAGATGTCAGTGGTCCCAGCTCTGTCACCGCCGGCACTGCTCTGGCCAGGCGTCCTCTGTAGATGCAGGGATGAGGGTTAATTCCAGGTGTCTGACTCTGAGGCTCTCTTTGGCTGGGTTGGAGAGTAGGCAGAAATCTTGTTTTTATTTTTTTAATAGACAGAAGCAGTGGTGATAATGGCATCTACTCACCTGCCTGGCTTCTCTTCTATGTATGACAAGAGTGTCATTTAGGAAGGGTGATTGATATAGCTCTCTTATGGAGCAAACTCGATGACCCTTTTAGGGGAATGAAGTTTTAACCATGACTTTTAGAGCAGCTCTGTTAGCTGAGCCAAACAGCCAACTGGGAAGGGCTGTGAGTATCTCTCTGTTTGGAAAAAGGCTATAAATAATCTATGGTAAACAAATAAACAAAAACACCAGAAGAAACACAGGTTAGATCTTCAGAAGAACTTCCTAGCTGTGCAGTGTGGTAAGACATCAGGCAAAATTGTAAGTTGTGCCCCAGAATTTGCTGAGCTCCCCTCCCCTCCCCTCCCCTCCTGTCCCCTCTCCTCCCCTTCCCTCCCCTTCCCTCCCCTTCCCTCCCCTTCCCTCCCCTTCCCTTCCCTTCCCTTCCCTTCCCTTCCCTTCCCTTCCCTTCCCTTCTTCTCCTCATCTTTTTTTGAAAGAAAGTTAGCTTCTAACTCTCTAGGCTGTTATCTGTATAGCCCATACCATTCCCAAGTTAGAGGAATGACCATTGACTATCATAGGCCTCATATAGAGAACCTTTATATCCATCATTAACACATGACAAAGACACTCTCTAGAATTTGAATCCTCAACATTGTGTGTGGTATAGTGTGTTATTCCCCTCAGTGTGAAAAGTTAATGTCCATTCCTAGCCACTACTGCATTCAACCCCAGAAATATCAATGCTCTAATGATGGGTAAACTGTCTGAGTTGTTTTTTCTATTAATTATTCTCCAAGTTGCTTTCTACAGTCTTTTTTTTTTTTTTTTTTTTTTTGAGATGGAATCTCTCTCTGTTGCCCAGGCTGGAGTGGTGCAGTCTTGGTTCACTGCAACTTCCACCTCCCGAGTTCAAGTGATTCTCCTGCCTCAGCCTCTCGAGTAGCTGGGATTACAGGCACACACCACCATGCCTGGCTAATTTTTTGTATTTTTAGTAGAGATGGGGTTTCACCATGTTGGCTAGGCTGGTCTCGAACTCTTGACCTCAGGTGATCCGCCCACCTCGGCCTCCCAAAGTGCTGGGATTACAGGCGTGAGCCACTGCACCTGTCCTCTACAATCTTTACACTGCTCTCTGATATCCAAGGATCTTTACCAGAGCATATTTCTTCATTAGACTATTGCTATCATCGTGGATTATTATTACAACTTGATTGTGGTGATATATAATAAATGTTTTATGATTTGAGGAAGGGAAGTATAAGTGCAGCAGAGAAATACCCATCACCATCAAGATAATAGTCTGTAGAGGGTTAAGGTCCTAAGACGTATGGTGTTGAACAAACAAAAATCATAAACAGCCATTAGCCCACTTCCAACTTCAGCCCCTTTCAACTCACTATGATGTCATGCTCTGGTGTTTTTCTTGGGAGTCACTTGTTTCTTTTTTATTTGCTAGTCTCATTTCTGAGAGTGGAACTTGCTATTAAAACAAATAATAGTTAAAGATAGTAGAGTTCAAGAGCTTAGGGGATAATTCAAGGCAGACACTGGAAAGAACTTTTTGATTGTGACAAGGAGAATATATCGAAGAAAACCTTGTTTAAATAGGGCAAGTGAAATTTACCTCTGGGGCATGGGCTACTTGAAGTTTGAGTAACTTTCTAGGTCTCAGTCCTTTAATTATGGGGTAACATGTGAGTCATAGGACAATTTCTTCTTTGTGAAGAAAGCTGTCAATTTATTTGTTGGACTTTGGTCAGTAGGCAATGCAGAATCACTTGTGACCAGTGCAGGCAACAAAGAATCACCATGAGTTTTGGAACATAAGAGTGACATAATCAGAGACATGTATTAGGGAGACTAAACTACAAGTCACATGTAAAATGGATTACAGTGGATAGATCCTAGCAGTAAGAAACCAAGTAAGAAGATATAGCAATAGTCCAATCAAGAAAAAATGAAAACTTCACTGAGGATAATTGCAGTAGGAATAAAAGAAAGGGACTAATTCAAGAAATACAATGGAGAAAGAATGGACAGAGCTTGGCAACTAAGCAGCTATAAAGGAGGGGCATGCGTGAGGGAGGAATTAACTATGACACAATCAGATTTCCCCAGAGAGCAACTGGGCATTTGTCCAATGGCCAATGGGAGCAACTGAACTTTCTGCACTTTTCTTGCCGACAAACAAGCAGGGAGTAACAGTGGCCTGTTAGCTGTGCAAACTCCCCCATAACCTCTCATGATGAGGGGAGTATGACCCTGTCATAGGGTGAGTCAAGATTAGAAATAGGGCAGTGGATGCAGGTTTGTACTTCCCTGACGGGTGATGCCATTTGATGCGTCCCATTGCCCCAACCCTTCATGGTGATAATATCTAATACTCAGGTTGCTTTTAGTTAGTGGGGCTCTCTGCACACAAAAGTGAGGAGAATTCTGCAAAGAATTGGGAGAAAGAAATTTAACAGAAAGTGCCATGGCAATATCCTGCACCACCCACTGGCAGTGTTGAGTGACTTTTAGTGTTTTAAATTAGTTCCCACCCTCACTTTTTTTGTACCATTTTCCTACTTATAAATTCAAGGCTGTGGTACCAGATTTCCTTGGCTTTAGCAATGAAATGGAAATGACTTTTAATTAAGTCCTGTGTTTATTGCTGTGATGCCACCCAAAGGCAGTAGGCATTTGGAAATGTAGTGAAGATGTGGCACATTAATGGCCTTCAAGATGAAAGATTTTGGTATGGGACTATTGGGCTTGTCTTCTTGGAGTCTCCCTGTGGGCCTCTCAGATTACCTGGCAGTATGTTTGCTGACTCTAGGACAAGAAAAAAATATTCTTTTGCTAAACAAAGCCCAGGCAACCAAAGCTTTTTCTTTAGAGATCTACCTGGGCCCAGGGGGGTTTCCTCTTTTTATGACCCAGATTGGTCCCTAGCCAAAAACCTATGAAATTCCCTGAAGATGAGCAGCTCTTGAGTCCTGCTATATTCTAAATGAAAGACAAGAAACTTGACCCTCTCACCATCCCATTTGGTTTCCCACATTGAAGACTGCTCTGAGTTTAGGATGTTCTTTCCCTTCTTGGTATGGAAATGTGAACCTCTACTATTCATTAGCTGATATAGAAAAACCAAGCATCCTTGTAATTAAGCCAGGCAAATTTCAGTTTGTAAAATTTCCTCAAAAGCATAGACATGTGGTTACTTCTGATTGCCAAGTACCCAGTGGGGGCTGAAAGTCTCTGGGTTGAGTGGCACTGGGGGCTCTTGGTAGAGCCCCCTCCCAGGAGATTGACCACCAGAGACCCTCTTGTCCATCATGCCAGGCTTTTTGATAAGGATGTTAGAACCAGATTACGTTCCTAGAATTTATTTATCCATCTGCAAATGAGATTTGCCCTGATTTTTTGCCTTTTAAGTTAAAAATGGCAGTTTTTTACCTTGTGACCCTTTAGTTTCTGTCTGAGTAAGAAAGTTCTGCTCTAAATGAGTGCTCTCATATCTCTGGACACATGTAGGTCATCTCATCTGTGAGAATGAGTTCAAATTTCCCTTTTCAAGAGATCCTGTTTCCCCATCTGAAGAATGCCTTCAGACTCAGAGCACAGATCTGCAATGCCGTGGCCTTACTAGCCATGAGTTAATGCCAAGAATCAAGGACACACTTCTTTCTGTGATACATTTTTATTGTGGGAAGGACACTATTTGGTTTTCTGGCAAGTACCTCTCAGAATTGGTCAGTTCTCAATGATCTGCACCAGATTAGGTGCTTTATTATTCATGGATAATTTTAAATTCCAAACTGGCTATGCCACCGCTTGACCTGTTCTCATTAAGATAATCTCTCAATGTCTTCCTCTAAGCTAGAAATAGCTAGGGAATGTTATGTATTCTGATGTAAGCATAATAGAAAATAAACAAAGAGGTGAGTTTGTTGAAAAGTCATGGTGTAACAATTTCAAAATCAGGAAAAAAAAACAACTTTAGACTAATCTAAATAATTCTTTGGAATTGAGTTATTTCTACCCAAATATCATGATTACTTAAAAAAATCAAAGTTATGCATTACTGACTCCATCTTCCTCCCAAAGCCAGAACTTACGAGAATGTGATTGCAATACTGAACCCTGAACCTAGTTGAAGTTCAGGAATGAGAGGGTACTGACACATGTAAATACTTCTTTCAACTTGTGATCCCGTGGGGCTTGCACTAAAAGCCTCTCTAGCCCTTTCTCAAGACGGTCTTCAAGGGAGCCGGCCCTGAGCCATCTTGTCCGTCCTCTGAAATGGGATGAAGCCCAATTAGGCGAAGTAAAAACAGAGTGAAAATAGGTTGCATCTCACCCTCTCTCTGGGAAAACTGTCCTATGCCTACTCCACCTTAAAAGCGAAACGTGCACTTTTTGTGTGCAGAGACAGCACGAAGTGGGCCCCCTGCTCTTTTCAGGGAGGGAATGTAAGCAGATCTCTGAAGAAACCACTTGGCTCAGCAATTTTAGGGCTTGTTGTAATTGGCCTGGCCTAAAAGAATTCAGCAAGCTGTACCTGTGCCAAGGAAAATGCAAACGCTTCCCTGAAACAGAGGCGTTTAGAATGGAGGAGAGGAGCTGGGCTCATCTGCGAGCTTGAGTGGAACAGCAGTGGGGACAGGAGAGCTGCGACATTGGAGAAGTTCCAAAGAGGCTGTTTCCTTGCTTAGCCACGGGTGGAAGTCACATCCACTGAACTGTCACCTGGCAGGGTGAGTGGGGTCTGCCGGAGAAGGATGTAGAATGGGAGGCCTCCTCCTTCCATTCTCATCCTCCTCATTGCCCTGAGGAGTACAGCCCCCAGTGTGGCCAGTTGCTCAGTGGTCCTCTTCTGAGTTCAGCCTCCACTGCCCTTATCTGGGCACTGGGGACTAGGAATGTTCTTTCTGACATTCCCAGGCCAGGACGATTCCTACAGACTGACTGCTCCTGATTCTTTGTGGCGTCTGACATGTCTTTTCTGTTAAAAACATAAAACCTAGAAATGATTATTTGGATATTCTGTTATTTTCCTTCACAGCACCCTATAATCCTTTGCAGGAGTTTTACACTGGGCTGTGCTTCTCCCTTTCACCTGTTACTCTGTGACCCCTGGGAGGGTTGGCCTAGTCATCCTAGTCGGGTTCCTCATGCTTACCATGGTCTTTGGCCAAGAGTAGTTACTGAGCAAATGATTGTTAACTGACTAGTAGTAACTCAGGTTACTGTGGAACTTGATTTCTACTTCTATCCTGTATCTTGAGCATATAGGAGGTGTCTAGTCAACACTTGATGGATTCAGATTTTTCTCGTGAATTAACCATCTTTTGCAGCCAGGAAGGTGCCCTTTGATTCTCTCTCCTGAGAAGTGACCTAGTCGGGAAATGGAGACACCAAGTCTTATGATGGGTCTAGCTTTCTTCCTGTTTCTTTCTACTCAGAAGATCTTTCAGTGCCCGGCCTCCTTCTTCCTCCTCAGCATTTACCCTTTTTCCTGCCTCTCATCGCCCCTTGAGACCCCGTGATGGTCTTGGAAATGTCCCAGATATCTTAGACCTCCTATGCAGTTTCTCCCTTCACATCTTCCTACCTCTAAATGTTTCTCCCTTTTCCTTCATCCCTAAACTCTTTTTGTCTCCTTTGTCTGAGCTCAGTGTTCCCTCTGCTCAATCAGAAGTCAATTCTCGAATGCTCCATTTCTCTTATCTGACACCCTCATCGGCTTTGCACCCTTTTTTGCAACTCTGTCCAGGATAATATCATGAAAGCAACTCCAAACGCATACCACATACCAGCCCCGCCCAAAGCCCCGTAGTTCCTTCCTTTTTAGCAACCTGCACCCTTTCAACCGCCCCTACCCCTATTCTTATGCCTTCCCAGCCTGCCATGTAAGGCTCACACATAGACGCAAAAGATTGCAGAAAAGGCAACAACGTCACCTACAATTTTTACTGGTACTGTGTGTCCCAAGTATGTCTCCTCAAACTGTAGGTAGGGCTTTTAAAATTTACTGTAATTCTGACTTCAAGAAATTCTAATTAGCTTTAGGTTCTGCCTTGTATTCTGGTACTATACCAAAGGTGCCTTTTCCCTTGCATCCATGTCTTGCTGATTGCATTTTCTATGTGTGTGTTTTGCTTATTCTTGAGCCCAATCAGAATGGCCTCCAATCAAATTGACTTCAGAGGCTGAGTTCAAACAGAGATCAGACAACCACTCGATCAGGGAAGATATGGGTGGAATTCAGACATTGGGGGAGATATTTGATAAGATGGCTTCTAAACATCATCTCTTTTAAAACCTGCGATTCTCCTTAAACTGATCATTCAGTGTAAGAGTTTTGCCTTTTCTTGTGTGTTTTCCACTATACTAAAGGCCATTTGCCCCACCTGGGAGATACCTAACTCTTGGACTTACCTGTGATAGTTAAAGAAATAGTGCTGTTCAAGGGAAAGAGAGGAAAAGGTTGCAAGCACACTTTGGATTTATCTGATCATCTAATGTGTTAGACCAGGAGATCCCTCAGCAGGAGTTAAAATGCTCTGTGTGAGGATGTCACATGCTTCTTTTGTCTAGTTTCTCCTTTTGGATCCCAGATCGTTCATAGACTCAAATAGTCCAAGAGCTAGAAGGATCCCCAAAGGTTGTCTCAGTGCAGGCAGCCTCCATGGCTGGCCCTGCATTTGGCCAAAGAATGTCCAATGACAGAGCCCTCACAGCCTTCTCCAGACACAAAGTGACCTTTCCAAATCTGGACTAAACTACCAGAATATTTTTCTTATAGTGGATCGGAAATATTTCTCTTTGACGTGTCTCTCCATTAGTTTCATTCTATTTCCTGAAGCTGGGTGGAGCAAATCCCACCCTTTTCTAATTAAGAGTCCTTTAAATATTCAAAGACAGCAATTACAGAGTTGCATCTTTATCTGCCTAAATATTTCCAGTTCTTCAAGTTCCTCATGACACGGTTGCTTCATCTTTGTTGTCCTATTGTCTGGGTCCTGCATTTTTCCTGGTGTCGGGTGCAGAGCAGAATGGAATGCTCTGCCAATCCAAAGGGGAACAAGACTCTCCTTCCCTCACCACTCATTTTCCTGTTTCTCCACTCATGACCCCGTGTCCCTGATGGGGACACGTATGCTCCAGACCCTCTGATACTTACTCCTGTAGAAGTAATTCTGGATTTTGATCCCATCTTTCACAGCGGGCTTGTCACTAAAGGTTCTCAGTTTTAGATCTGTTTGCGTGAAAGGGAATGTTTTTGCTGCTTTTCTTGATTTCTCTAAATCCTTATGGCTGTTTTTTTGTTTTGTTTTGTTTTTTGTTTTTGTTTGTTTTTTTTTAACTTGAGTTTGTAACAGGGCTTAATTATCTTCAGGGCAGTTTAACCCTTTCATATTCAGCCCTAGGCCCAACATAGGTCTGAGAAATATTTAGTGAGTTTATGGTTCATAGCAATATCATCATTGACATACTTTCTTCTGCTTTGTCATCCTCCTCCTCATCATCATCGTCATCATTTAAGTGGCACACAACTTCTTTTGCTTAAAGTTATTGCTGTCTTTTGTCTTTATTCCTGTAATACCAATGTTAGTTATGGAGAAAGAGCTCATAAAGTAGCTGCAGCAGAATCAGAGACTCGTGCAACTTCAAGTATCATTTCCAATGCACTAGTAAGTGGAGCTAAGATCAGAACCCAGGGTTCCTGACCTCCTCCTGCACCGTATGTCTAGACTATGTCCTGTCTCTGGAGAAAAGTGGGAGTGACACTCACTGATCATCCTCAGTACAGGGCATTGAGCCACACCATTAAGGAGTATTGATTGGCTCCCCCTCTGTGAGAACAGTATGCTGGGTGTGACACAGACAGAGAGACCCAGACCGAGTCTGCAGGAGAAAACTGGTCATGATGTCAAACGTGGAGGAAACAACCAATAGGCCTAGTGGGATGCTCTCTATTTATCAGCACAGTTACTGGAATCCAAACAAAGAAACTTTCCAGAATGACAACCGTGCTCTGCCACTGAACTGTAGGTGAGCATGTGGTTTGTGACGTATTATTTCATTCTGCCATCATACCAGTTGTGAGATCTTGCTTGTGAAACTAAGTTAACTCCATTTTATGGACAAAGAAACTGAGGTGAGAGTAGTTAATTGAGCATAAAATAAGTAGCAGAGATAGGTATCGAGTCTAGATCTGTTGAAGCCTAGAGCTTGTTTTGCCACGTCATATTGTCTCATTGACTCTTCCAGCAGTCCTGGCAAGGGAGTCCTTAATTTCAGCAAAACAAATCTCAGACCAATTTCCACTGGACTCTATTAAACTCCACTACCTTTCTGATGTTGGTGGCAGCTCTATACTGAACCATACGTGAAGATTGAACTTGGAATAAAATAATAAAGCTCCATTTGTTAAAAACCACAGCTACTTCATGAGCTGTTTCTCCATAAGCAACATAGACACTACAGTAATAAAGATTAAAAAACAAAACAATAATAACCGTAAGCAAAAGAAGCTGTATGACACTCAAATGAGGAGGAGGAGGAGGAGGATGACAGTGATATCTGCCAGGGTGGGTTAGTATAAATGAGACCGTGTTCCTCTGGAGAAAGATACTATTTGGACATACAGTCTGTTTTCACTAAGGTGGGGAGCAGTATGTGTCCAGAGCTCTAGAGGGACCGAAAGGCCAAGTGTCCACGGTGGCAAGAGAATCCAGGAGACTGGACCATCAAGTCTTTTACTCAGAGACTGGAGACCACGCCTTACCTCTCGGAACAGCCCTGTGTGAACCTCCGACTTTATGATACGTTGTGATTGTGATACAGGACTTCCCATGCAGCGCGTAAGCCATGCAGGCTTATTACTCACACCACACTCACCTGGACCCAGAGACCTCCAGGCACTGAGGACTGCGTCTCCCGGAAGTATTTCCCTGAGAAATTGCAGAGGACCTCAGTCCTGCAACTCACACAGAGGCTGTTCTTCGTGGCCGGAACCGGACCCCACGCCCTCTGGGGCACATCCCTGAGTGCGAGCACTCTTCTCTCGCCCTCCTCCCACCCAGGCACCGTCCCAACTGGGCACTGCCTTGCTATGCCCCACATCTCCCACAAGGGGGAGCCGCCGGAGGGCAGCTGGGGCTGCGGAATTTTGGAAGCGCAGAAGTTTTCTCCTCCTGTCCTGTAACTGGTTTTCACTCACTCAACTGAGAGATTTCTTTGTTGCAATGATGGGGTCTAAGATAACACTTCTGGAGGCTGCAGGCGAGAAACACAGCTGATATCATCTTTTATTGTGTGTTGTTATTTGCCTAGCATTATAAATTAAGGAGGAATAGTAACAAAGAGCTTGAAGACATGCACAGCTCACAGGCCCCGGGTGGAGGCTGGCGACATCAGACAGACAGAACCAAGACATCTGAGGGGCAACCAGGAGGTGCGTGTGGCTGCAGAGCACACAGGTAGGTACCCGCAAGAGGACAGTCGTGACGGGGGGAGGAGCGGATGGAGCATTCACAAAAGGTGGTCAGCAGAGATTAAAGGGGAAAGGCAGTGCAGAGGAGTTGGGAGATGGAGGGAGAGAAGAGGGAGGAGTCCCAAAGGAGCGCAAAAGAAAAAAATGTTTGCAGGGTGTGATACAAAAGGCTGACCACGGAGTGGGAGAGGGAGGGTTTGGAAAGTGAATCAGAGACATAAGAGGGTTTGAAGTTGGTTCCAACTCGGCCACCCCAGAAACTTCACAAGGCAGGAGAGGATGGGAGATTGACACAAAAGGCTCAGTTGCACAAGAAAATTCAAAGTGAGTAGGTGTGCCAGAAAGTCAATCTAATCATTCTGGTTGTGTGTCGTATAGCCACACCCACTCCGGACTTTAACCCAAACTAGAAGGAATTCTGGTCTGAGTGTGTTTTCAGGTCCTCTCTGCTCGGAACTCATGTTTCACACTTTCCCTTTCTTCCTTCGGCTCTTCCACAGTCGCTCTAGGTAATGGAATAGGAGTCAGAAATTCCGTGTTCTAGTCCAGGCTTTGCCACTTGCTGGTGAGATTAGCTTAAGAAAGGAAATATCTGAGTTTCCTTTTCCTTTGTCTATAAAAGGAAGATAATAATATATTACTTATGAGCCCTACAGGGTTTTTCTGAGGGTTGAATAAGTCAGATAGTGTGAATGAATGCTCTTAATAGATTACAATTGCTAGTTAAATAAAAGATGGCATTAATAATAATTAATCAGTTAATATATTCTTCCTATCCTCAACAGCGGGTTTGCCTACTGAGCTGTGGAGATATATATATATATATATATATATATATATATATATATATATATGAAGAATCAGATAATATATAACATATACGTTATATAGATATATTAGCCTTAACCTCCTATCTGTGAGAAAATTTAGAATTTATGACTCTATTTCCACAGCACATGTTAGAGTAACCTCTTTGGGAGATAAATAGGAATCTTTGTATACTTACCTTTTAGCCACCATCAAATGTTCTTTTCCCCGACCTCAGCTACAGTTTTGTATTTCTCAAACATGCAGATAATGATTGATGGTGTCTGCCTGGCTACCTGACTGATGAGTGATTTGTCTGTGTCCTGGACACTGCTGCCAGAGCAAATGTCACACCATGTCTCAGGCACATGATCAGACTAAATATGCTTGGAAGAAGCAAATAAGAGACTCTGTTAATCAGTTAATCATCCCATCACTATATTCACTGCCTGAAATGTGTTTGCTTTTTTTTTTGTTTGTTTGTTTGTTTTTGGTCTGGGTCATTTGTTACTTAGTTCCTTGAAATGTCTTGGATGAAAATTGGGTTCTGCACACTGGATCTGGCTGGTTGATTCTGCCTGCGAAGACTGAAGTTGGCTTTGATGCCTATAGATGCACTCACCCTTCGCTCGGGTTCCAGAGGCCATGTGGTGTATGGGGAAGGCAATGTAGATGGTGGGAAAATCACTTGACTTCTCTTGCTCATCTGTCAAATGAAACTGTTACCATCCTTCCTTCGTGCATCCAAATATAGATGTAAGGAGCACATGTGATTATACTGCACACACCAACAGTTCCTGACTATCCAAGTGCTGTATAATTATAAGGTTTTATAGTCATTATTCTGCTGCATGTTTCTTACTAGTGATTTACCCGTATTGCACAATTAAAATTATTTGAAAAGCTGTCTTTCCCCAGCTGTTAATATAGTCCCTTACTTTTTTTCATTTCCACCAATCAACTGATAAATCAAATATTTATAAAGATGCTAAATTTGTCATATACCTACTCACCATCAAAAAGTTAGTATCCTATGTAAGTCACATGAATGGATGCGCAATGTGTACATAGACTATTTGTATTTTTCTAAAAATACTAAATACATATATACATCCTTTTTTCGCCCATGTGCCTATTCCCCTTTTAATAAAAATATATGTAAATATGTATTTGAGCAAGAAACATAATACCTACATCCACACACACAGCATCTTCGCTTAGATAGCAGATTTAATGGGGGAGAGGAACAAACGCATCACTCTATCAGCATTGCAGCTATTTCAGAGTCCAGAAGTGACCACAATGCACAATTCATGTGGTTAAAAAAATGATGGATCAATTTCTGCCCTGTTCCTAGTAATGAATATCAATATCTTGCCTCTTCTAGACAGACTGTCAACAGCTTCAGATGTTTTTAAATGAGTTTTTAAAAATAAATTTGCGAAGTCAATTATTTTGAATCTCATCTGAAGCAATTAAAAAACATCCTGACATTTAAGGTGATATTTTTTCCCAAGTAAAATAATTATAAATAATACTAATTATGAGCAAATCATTCAGTTACTCTCAGTCTGGTTCAACCTTTAGGTTAATAAACCAATCCATTAAAATTCATCTTGCTCAAAGGACCAATTTGTTAAAAAATGTAGCGACCTTTCACCACAAGTATGATTGATATTTTCTTTAACAATAATCAGAGCTGTCTTTCCCAGAACAGAGTATGGTCAAGTGATAGGTATAGAAAACTAGGGTTCTTTTATACCTCTCTTGGTAATACTTCTCAGATAGGTACAGAATGATATTGATGATGATGAAGATGGTGGTGATAATGTACAAAATTAAAACTCTAATGTTAAAGAGAGTACCTTAAAAAGATATTTGAAAGCCTCAAGGCAACTGTTCACAAAACCCAACTATATTACTCTTCATGCCACAAACAGAGTTTAGATATTCCCCTCTGCCTCTAGTGTTTCGTTCTCACCAAAGGAGTAGGGCAGAGATTTGCAAATGTGTCCCATGGGCCAAATCTGGTCCACTACCTGTTATAAATAAAGTTTTGTTGGAACAAAGCCCATCCATTCATTTAGATATTGTCTTTGGCTGCTTTCCTAATACAGAGGCAGAATGGAGTTGTTACAACAGACACCACATGGTCCACGAATCTTAAAATGTTATTATCATTCTCTTACAAAAAGCGTCTGCCAACCCCTGTGTTAGGTAATGAAAAAAAAAAAACAATTCATCTTTGAATTTATAACAGTAGCTAATCTTTGAACAGCACTTTAGAGTTTACAAAGTCTGACCATGTTATGTTGTAATAGGTATTATTATCTTCACTTAACTGATGAAGAAATTGCCGACTTTTCTTCTTCTTTTAAATTATACTTTAAGTTCTAGGGTACAAGTGCACAACGTGCAGGTTTGTTACATATGTATACATGTGTCATGTTGGTGTGCTGCACCCATTAACTCGTCATTCACATTAGGTATTCCTCCTAATGCTATCTGTCCCCACTGCCCCCACCCCATGACAGGCCCCGGTGTGTGATGTTCCCCACCCTGTGTCCAAGTGTTCTCATTGTTCAATTCCCACCTATGAGTGAGAACATGCGGTGTTTGGTTTTCTATCCTTGTGATAGTTTGCTCAGAATGATGGTTTCCAGCTTCAACCATGTCACTACAAAGGACATGAACTCATCCTTTTTTGTGGCTGCATAGTAGTCCATGTTGTATATGTGCCACATTTTCTTAATCCAGTCTATCATTGTTGGACATTGGGTTGGTTCCAAGTCTTTGCTATTGTGAATAGTGCCACAATAAACATACGTGTGCATGTGTCTTTATAGTAGCATGATTTATAATCCTTTGGGTATATACCCAGTAATGGGATCACTGGGTCAAATGGTATTTCTAGTTCTAGATCCTTGAGGAATCGCCACATGGTCTTCCACAATGGTTGAACTAGTTTACAGTCCCACCAACAGTGTAAAAGCGTTCTTATTTCTCCACATCCTCTCCAGCACCTGTTGTTTCCTGACTTTTTAATGATCGCCATTCTAACTGGTGTGAGATGGTATCTCATTGCGGTTTTGATTTGCATTTCTCCGATGACCAGTTGCTGACTTTTCTATAGTCACTCAGCCATAAAGTGGTATAGGGAGGACTTGACCTCTAACGAAGGAAGAATGCTGCCCCAGTGGCGGCTTTCAAGAAGCAGGAAAGGAGATGGCTCTCAAACTGCAATAATGGCTGTCTGTCTCTTTTATCCACCTAGATATGACCATTGCCCAAAGACAGTAGAGAAAATAAAACTCTTGACATTCTTTTCTCTCATTATCTGAACTTGGCTGGGGTGATTTTAGCCTTGTCTGCTTCTATGTCCTTATTCTCATAACCAGAGTTATACTAATAAACAGAAAGGAAAGCAAAGTGGTTTGCAGTCAAAGCTAAACTTTACTGCATGAACTTTCACTTATCCATACTGAAAGGAATGCATCCACGCTGAAATTGGCACTGTGGCATGAATATTCCAAAACAGCAGATAACAGAAAAGTCTTTGTTTTTGGAATACACTATCTTTTTAAAAGTTTGCATTTTGAAACAGTAAATCCTCTCTTTGTTATGTTTCTTTTTTATTCAAGTTAATATCAAAATTATATTTTCCCCTCGAGCTTAGGACATCTATTAGCAAAGTGGGCCCCAAAGTGCTAGATATGAAGAGGAAGGAAGCCTGGAATGAAAACCTTGCCTTTGAGATTCATAGATATAAAACAACAGTTGTTTGCTGGGACCAAAGCTTTTCTTAATCTCATGTTTTCTTGGAAAGGGGTGAGGGATAAAATGAGATAAATAAGAATAAGAAATTTTTACATCGAACCTTTCCTGAAGATTCCAAGACAAAGATAAGGATTTAAACAATTGAACTAATTCAATTTTTTTATTCAACCAACTTTTATTTTGAGTGTCCATTGCGGCAGGCACTGGTAAGAGTTGGAGTATCACATTGACTAAGAAAATTGATTAGAGAAACAAACATGTGCCTATGTGTTATTAGAAATAAGCAATGGGATGGGAGTACAGATAAAATCTTAGGTATGCTCAATGGAGAAGTCATTCTTCCTTAGACAATCACGGAGGACATTATGGAGGAAGTGGCATTTTGTGAGACTTGAAGAATACACAAGTGTTGGGCATCTGAAAATGGGAGGGGTGGCATTCTAGGAGGGAACAAAAGCATAAGAGCAAAGAGCAGGATTTGGATGTGTTCCGAAAATTGTTCGGTGTTTGTGGAACGTATGGTTATATGGGAATAGAAGAAGATGAGGGAGGTAAAACAGGATGGAACCAGATTCTGGAGGGCCTTGGATTGTAAGTTAAGAAGTTTGGTCTTTATTCTGTAGATAGTGAGAGCCATTGATTCTTTGTGTGCAGGAGAATTACATGATCACACCTGTGACTGGGAGTAGAGTGTGACCGATATTGGAAAAGAACTTTGAGGCAGGTCACCAGAAAGACGCCAGGTGAAAAAGGTACCTCCTCCGCCTTGCGCTCTAATTTCAAGACTGCTTCTCTGTCACAACCCTGACTATTGTAGGTTATAGCACTGGCTGAGGACTTTCTGAGGGCATTTATTTAATGACATGCCAGTGGCATTTACTCATAAAACCAAAAAGCCATTGGGGCCAGAAATAGGGGTTTTGGTTACTTCCCCAGACAGGATGCAGTTTGGGTGATTATACATGTGATTCATCGAGGTCGGGAAGCAAATCCTCTACAAACAAACACCCCTCCCTCCAAGCCCAGTGACTCATGGCTTCATCAGTTTGATCCATGGAAAGCTCTTGAGTCCAGGCAAAATTTGAGGTATAAGGTTAGATCACAAATCTTTAGCATTTATCATGACAAGAGAAATATTTTTATTCATTCTTTCAGCCGTTCAAGCAATAAGCATTTATTGAACTTCTATTGTTTTAGGCACAAAGCATATGGCATTATAAAACATAGTTCCGGCCATAAAATATTCCCCAGCTTAATTGGGAAAACAGATATAAACAATTAAGAGAGTATCCTGTAAGTATTATTATAGAGAAATGCAAACAGTACTAAAGGATCAGAGGAGAGACACATAGCTGCTTTGGGAGGGGACAGGTGGCATTGGAATTGGGTCTTAAAGAATAACTATCCATCATTATTCATTCATTATTTCAACAAATAATTATCAAGCACTTACTATGCGCTAGGCACTGTTCTAGGCATGAGATTTTACGCTTTTGTGGAACTTAAATTCTAATGAGAGGACCCAGATATTAAGCATAGCTGGGAATCAACCAAAAACATATGTACCCTCGGGGTCTTTACACTCTTGTAAAGGTACGTTTCAGAGAGCAATAACTAACACCTGTTTCAAGCAGGAACAATATATGCAAAAAGAAGCATGAATCTAGCTTCCTGGGAGAGACTGGAGAAGAAACCTTAGGTTTGGGATGCCCAATATGAAAATAAGGCTTATTAATAGCCCTGAATTAAGATGGACAATTGCCCTGACACTCTTTGGCTATAGTGGATACACATAAGTTGGAGACCATTCTTACATGGAAATTCATAGCATTCAGTCCCCTGACATTCTGATTTTGTAGTATCTATCAGGCACATGGAGTCACTGACTAAGGGACTCTGGGTACAGTTGTTTGGTTTCACTAATAGATTCTTGGTACCTTCAATCTAACTGTTTTGCAATGGTTCAGTGCCATGAAGATGAAAACCTAAGACACTGGCCACCTCCTTGCTTAAGTAATATTCAGGTCAAATTCTGTAACAGCCAACTTCGGTTTGGAGGTCATACTTGATTCTTATTTTATCAGGTTGTCTAAAATAACCAGGCCATGAGGTGGTTATTGTTATGGTACTCATTGGAATGGGATTTGACCTATATAAGGCAAAGAACTAGGACAGAAATAGCTCTTCAGCCCATCACAGGGTTGGAGAAATCCAGTATAAGCAATCGTAGAATCACAGAGCTGGAAGGGCATCAAGGTGACTTAAGGCGATCCTGGCATCTGCCTCTAGGCCTGTCTGGAAATTTAATATAAATTCTAGAACTCATTATTTTAACAAATGCATACAAACATACTCATCTTGAATAGTATAGTTACTTTCAGGGCAGTGATGCTGCCTAGCCTCGGGCAAAACATCTTTGAACCTCCTGTTTTATAGCAGACCTAAGAATCTACAGCATATTCTTTCAATATACTTAGTGGAAGAAATTCATTGTCTTTTGAGGCTATTTTGTGTTTTCAAAAAAACCCAAGTGCCATATTCAATTGGTCCAGCTGCATGATACCATTTTTGATTAAAAATGAATTTAAGGCCGGGCGCGGTGGCTCACACCTGTAATCCCAGCACTTTGGGAGGCCAAGGCAGGCAGATCAGGAGTTCGAGACCAGCCTGGCCAATATGGTGAAACCCCATCTCTACTAAAGATACAAAAATTAGCTGGGCATGGTGGCACACGCCTGTAGTCCCAGCTACTTGGGCAGCTGAGGCAGGAGGATTGCTTGAACTCAGGAGGCAGAGGTTGCAGTGAGTCGAGATCATGCCACTGCACTCCAGCCTGGGCAACAGAGCAAGACTCCATCTAAAAAAAAATTTTAAAAAAGAATTTAAATGCACTTATAAAATCATAAGCTGACATTTTTGTTTGACTCATAACTGGTTCAAAGGGACTTACCAGCAAATGAAAAAATAATAAGTATATATTCTCCCAGATTGCTGATTTGAAGATATATGAAGCTCTGGTAAGTTGTACAGTTCCTCCCTCCACTTAGTGAACTTACTTGAGGTCAAGGAGCATGTCTTGTTTATCCCAGAATACCCGCCTACCACAGAGACAGATGTATGTGGGGGCTATTTGTTAAATGAATAAAAAACCATAATTTCATCACTTTATAGTCATTTCATGAATTCTTTGTTCATTTTGATTTTTTTTCATCAAATATGAATCCCATGATCACCTCTTACCTTAAGGCTAATTAGCCAGCAAAAAGCAAAGGAAGCAGTATTTGGTGGATGGAGCTCTGTTCTGGGAAGAAAAGTCAGGCACTAGGATAAAATCTGTTATGAGTAGAATGAGTGGCTTTGGAAAAGGTACTTAAGTCTGTGTCTCCATCTTTAAATGAAAGGATTGAACAGATATGGGAAAAGATCCATTTGAGGAACAAACTCTTGAGTAGCTACTTTGTGACTATCTCTATGTGCATGCTATAGGGGAGATTCGTTGTTGTTAATCTTATTTAGAGACAAGGTCTCACTCTGTCACCCAGGCTGGAGTACAGTGGTGCGATCATAGCTCACTGCAGCCTCAAACTCCTGGGCTCAAGTGATCCTCCCAGCTCAGCCTCCTGAGTAACTGGGACTACAGGTGTATGCCATCACACACAGCTAATTGTTTTATTTTGTGTAGAGATAGGGTCTCACTATGTTGCCTAGGCTGGTCTTGAACTCCTGGGCTCAAGTGATCCTCCTGCTTCGGCCTTCCAAAGTGCTGGGATTACAGGCGTGTGTCACCATGCCCAGCCCACAGGAGATATTATTAAGGTGGGGTTTTTTTGTTTGTTTTGTTTTTTTGACTGAGTCTTGCTCTGTTGCTGAGGCTGGAGTACAGTGGCATGATCTCAGCTCACTGCAACCTCTGCCATCTGGGTTTAAGTGATTCTTGTGCCTCAGGCTCCTGAGTAGCTGGGGCTACAGGTACACGCTGCTACACCCAGCTAATTTTTGTAGTTTTAGTAGAGACAGGGTTTCATCATGTTGGCCAGGCTGGTCTTGAACTCCTGACCTCAAGTGATCCATCTGCCTCAGCCTCTCAAAGTGCTGGGATTACAGGTGTGAGTCACTGCGCCCGGCCACTTTTAAGGTTTTACTTTTGGTCAGTACTCTTGTGTTTGCAAGTGAAAGAAACCCAGCTTAATTTAGTTAGGTAACAAACCAAACTCTGGAAAGGGCTGGGTACACCAGGCTCCAGAAATTACTAGAATCAGGGATCCAGGCACTTCCTCCCACTTTGCCCTAAGCTTCTCTCTCTGGGTCAGCTTTATTCTCTTAGACCTTCCTCCATGAGGCTGGAAAAATGTGCAAAACCTCTGGGAAGTCCTCTGAGCCAGGGAAACAAGAAACATGACTGGCAGCTGCTATAGAACCCTAAGGTTGGATGCAGTGAAGGTCAGCTCCCCCAGAGAAAGGGTTGTTACACAGCCAAGATAAAATAGAGCCTTGCTAAAGCCTGCCTTCTCTTCATGCTGCCTACTCCGACCCTACTTCTCTCAGCTCCACAAACACTGGTGACTTTCTACTCTCCTTTCAAGACTCTGTTCAACTTTGCTTTCTCTGAGGCCTGACTGGCAGGGCAGCACTGTCCCTTCTTGTGTATGCCCCCAAGGCACCTGAATCCATCTGTGTACTGGGGAAGTACACCTTGCTGTGTTGCTTGTCCTGTTCTCTTTACAGATTCTTCTTCCCATGAGCCTGAGAACTCCTCAAAGACATTAACTAACTGCCTTAATTGGTTTTATGTTACTTTATTTATTCAATTATTTATTTATCAGTTATTAATAGCCTACTATGTGGTAGGTTCTGAGGATTCAAAGAGAAGTAACATAAGATTCCTGTTCTCAAGGTGGTGAAGGTCATGTGGGAAATGCATGATAAATAGACACTGGCAGTGCAAGACAGTGGGATGAATCCATTACAGATGTCAGCTCTGGATGCTATAGGAGCATATAGGAGAGTCTCCTTCCTGGAGCAAGGATGACGGTTGAGAATGCCAGCAAGAGTTTCCAAGAAGGGAAAGGCACCACCCCTAGCCTGAGTCCTGTTGAATATGATTGAGCCTTGTTGTGTGGGGTCTGAAAGGAGAGAGCATTCTCTGCAGTAAGAACAGCACATGAGGAAGTCAGGGGATGCCCCAAAGAGCAACATAATAAAAGGCTTATGTTTGGGTGTGATAGATAAGACAGAGACACATGAAGTAGTTGGACAATAAGACAGTTTCCAATCAAGTACTAATTTTGCAGTACAATGAACTACGAGTATAGAACGGATCACCATGCACTTATTCTGGAAATCTCTCAGAAAATGTGGGTTCTGACTCACTCCTTGAGAAATGACAGTGCTAAATCTGAGATAAAAAAAAGTCTGGGTTTCAGTCTCACTCTGCCAATTACTAGCCTGGTGATATTTTCTCAATCTTTAATTTCTACATCATGAAATGAAGACACTAAGATTCAACTCTCAGAGTTGTATTGAAGATAAAATAAGACTTGTAAACTGTAAAGCACTACACAAACATTAGTTTGTTCATTAAAACTGTTTACCTGTAAAATAGAGAATTCTTCATTGATAAAGATATTTGGATGATATAAAAAGAAGCATAAGTATACTTACATGCAATGATACAATATTTACATTAAAAATATGTTAATTTTACATATTTATACATATACTTTTTATAAAAATCTTGGTTAATGCTATTGAAAAATGCAAATGTGTTAATGAGTTGACTGTGTCTTTTTACACATTTCTGACTCTTAGGATAGGGCAGAAAAACAGCCCTTCAGGGTAGGCCGTCTGATTCAGCGGTACGTGTGATGTGTTAGGAATTAAGTAGTTCAGGTGTGCTAATTTAGAAGTAAACTCTCTCCTAAGAAAACTGCATTCCTGTAGACAGAAGTTTTACTTGAGGATTTCTGTCTCAAAATAGAACTCTAAGTGGTGCAACTTTCTCTTCACTGTCTCCATTTCCTCCTCTTTAAATGACCATAAGCAATGGCAGCATTTTAAAGTCACACTCATACAAGTGGCCTTTAGAGAAGTTTGATTTCATTAGTCTTATACTCTGGTCAGATGTAGGCAAGGGCAAGGAACATCTAACAGATACAGAACGACCCACTAAAAGAATCTGAACTCTTTTGAGTGCTTTTCAAAGACTATGGGTGAAATACTAAAATGTAATTGACACAGTGTGTTCAGGCATGCAGTGTAAATGATCCTTCACTCCACGTGCTCCATCAGTTCTAGACAGCCCTTGGCCATCTTGTGGGAAGAAACCCCTGCTTTGTCTCCCTCGTTCCCACTGATACCAACACTGAGCTGATCATTATAGAGGAGAGTGACGCCAGTGCTTTTCCATGTGGCTGTGAACGTGGCCCTGAAAAGCATCAAAAGAAACATTAGAGATTTGTCACTCACTCTTGCTTAATGATGAATTCAAGGAAGCTGAAAGTGGAGGCCCATCACTCCCAGCTATGGGCTTGAAGTTATGGCCAGTTGGTAGTCCTCTTTCTCCATCCATTACTGCATCCACCTGGACCTAACTGTTCTAAGAGCTACCTTTCTAAAACTTATGTAAGGAAAGAGAGCATGACTCTTTTCTTGGAATATGAAGTCTATGAGATATCAATACAAATTCTACAAAATAAGGAGGTATTCTAAGGTCAAACAAGTTTAAGAAATCCTGAATATGTCCCCACTGGACATTCAAAATGTACATCAGCATAGTTAAGGCTGTAAAATAAAAATAATACAATAAAGTAAAACATTTGCTTTCCCAGTGATTTGACTTTAGAACTGTTTTATTTAGTAATACTCATTAACACCTTGAATACTTCTTGCTTCTAGTTTATAAGAAGATAATGTTCTTACAGAAGTCTCAGTAAATAGTCCTCTTGAAGGCTGAAGTCCATGCTTTAGACTGAAAAAAAGTTGAACGTAGCTTGGATAAATCTTATAACTGAGGAATACATGCTTACCATCCAAAGGTTCTTTTTAATAGCCAATTATTTATTAAATTGGGGGTTTGCCGGGGAGGTGGGAGGTGAAATAAGCAATCAGCATTCGAGCCCATTCCTTATTCAGAAAAAATTTTTTTCTCTTCTATTACTGGCTAGATCTCATGGAAAATCCCTTGAAAATGCTGAAATGAACTTTTCCTCTCCCTCTCTTCTGGCTGTTTGCCTTTTTTTCATAAAGAATGAGTGTAGATTTGATCTGTAACTATTATAGTTTATATTTGATGGGACCCTATGGAAAACTACTAGCCAAGAGAAAGAGTAATCACTAGTAGTTTTAACTGTAATCACAGAGAAATCCTTCCCTGTCCTTCAACCTTTCCATGGCTCTGTAATTGTGAGCCGTATCTTTCATAGGACGTTTCCCATAGGTGCTAAGATCATATTTTCTCTCCATATAGGTTCTCCAAAGTATCTTTTTTTTTCTACCCACAAAAATAGACAGGGAGTCAGGCAATGGGATCAACTCTATTCATCATACATATCATTTTATACCTCTCCAAGGAAGCTTTTCTTGATCAATTTTCTTCTCTAATCACTGCTTCTCCCAGCATTTCTTCTGAATCTATTTAATGCGTAGGATATTATTTTACCTATGGTGTCACAATACTTTGCAACTGATCTTAGTTTATTCATCTGTGTGTTTTCTCTGTCAACTAGAATTTAAAGTTCATTGGAGGCAGGTACAATATATTTAATTTTTTCATACTATCTTCAAAGTCTTACATGCAGTAAGACTTGTACAGAGTTTTATACATAGTGGGCATTTGCTTATTTGAATTAAAAATAATCTACGTGGAATGAATGTCAGGACATCTACTCATCTCCTAGGTTTTCTATCGATATGACTGGAACGTGAACATTGGAGTCCTCCTGACCTGAGCTCAAATCCTAGGCCAAAAACATCAGTAATCTTTGTGCTCTTAATCAAGCTACTCTTCTTCTCTGAGTTTCCATTTTCTCATATCCACAATGGAGATCTTGTATCTACCTTTTCCTAAAAGACTGTATGAGGAATAGTTAGAAGTTTAAGTTCTGATGTCAGACAGTTCTGATTTGAAAGCCCTCTCTGCTACTTGCTACCTCATATTGAAAAAATTGGTTAACCTCTGATGAGCCTCATTTTCCTCATCTGTGAGTTAGGATCCATAATAGGATTTATGTCATGAACTTGTTTGGATTAAATGAAATAATGCAAGGAAAACTTAGAATGGTACCTGATACCTAGCAAGCATTCAATTAATGTTAACTGCTGCTGTTGAAGAGTACCTAGAATACCTGATGCTGGTGGGCTCAAATAAACCATAGTTCTTTCTCCTACTAATTCCCATCTTTAAATCCATTGCCATGGCAGATGCACTTTGCAAATCTGTTGGCTAAATGCGTAACTTTCATTGCAGGAATGGCATTCTGCCTGTTTTGCCTATCTTAAATGGCACAAAATTCTTCTGAAGGAAAAGACTTTCTCAGGAAGATAATCCATATCTGGATTGAAAAGAGCTTATGTTTTTAAAGTGTGGGTTGGAGACATTTTTTAATTGAACGCAGCCATTTTTTATCATGTTGATTTCCTCAGGATATGAATCAGAGAGAAAGAACTGAAGTCTTGTCTCAGGAAGAAAGAGGGCAGGCAGAGGATTTTTCACTGGTAAGGCAACTTGCACACTTGTCCTTTTCATAGTGAGTCATGATCTATGATACATTTCATAGCAATGTCTATGAGTTTCCAATTCTGGAATTAGACATGCCAGCCAAATAAGGGAGGGAGAAGAGAATAGACTTTTAATCCACCTCATTGCCATTCAGAGTTCTAGAAGCGGAGCTTCAAGAAAAGGAGTATTCTAGCACCCACTTTTAGTCTTATCTTTAAACACATTGAGAAAGAGAATTAGCTAATTACTTTCCAAATGCTTCCAGCAGAGCAATTCCACGGGGTTTTTTTTCCCCCAATAACTAGCTCTAGTGTTCCAGAAAAATCAGTCTCCCTAATCTCTTTCCAAATCTTTTTTTTTTTTTTTCCTCTATGACTTGAGGCTAACTTTTCTTTTTCTTTGTTTTCATACTGGCTGACCTAAGCTCTTCTTAAAATGACGCCATGAATTTTTTAAAGTTATTAGGCCTACCTTCCCTAGTTTTTTTTTTTCTAATGAAGGAAACTTAACTCTCTTTAAAAGCTCTCTTATATCCAATTTTTTTACACTTCAAGTCACTTTGGACTGATGTTCTAAGGATGTTTCCCAGCTATTCTAGTAATGAATAAAAAACACCAATGGTTTGTTACCATTGGTCCTTCACATCCATGGATTTCACATCTGGGGATTCAATTAACTCTGGATCAAAAACATTTGGAAAAAAAAAGGATTGTTGTGTCTGTACTGCACACCTACAGATTATTTTCTTGTAATTCCCTAAACAATAAAATATAACAATTATTCACATAGTATTTACATTTTATTAGATATCATATGTAATCTAGAGATGATTTAAAGTATACAGGAGGATGTGCATAGGTTACATGCAAATACTAGACATTTTATATAAAGGACTTGAGCATCTGCAGATTTTGGTATTGGCAGGGGATCCTGGAACCAATTCTTCATGGATGCCACGTGATGACAGTATATGCACTTGGGTATCCCCAGGACTTGGTGCTACTCAGAGTATATTATAGGTGCTTAAAATGGTGACTGAATAAATATGACCTTATATTTCTATAGCTTTTAATGCTTTATGGAAAACTTCAATTTCCTTAAAAAGTCCTGTCTGCAGTTGTCTTATTTTCACCTTTTCCACCACCCAAAATAACCTTACCTTTGGTTATAAAGTCAGTAAGTTTTACAGTGGAGACCAGAACTTGGTCTCCAGTTCCCAGCCACACAAGTTTATTGCCTTAACCTGAACATTTGCTAAAGTGGTGGTGCTAGTGTTTTGAAAAATGTAGACCTCCCAAACTCAACCTTGTACTCATATAATGAAGAGAATAACAAGAGTGCAGACCAGTTCTACTATGTCTTTGTTTTGGGAATATATCTGAACATCATGTTATTTTTAAATTGTAAAATGTGACTTGTTCATACTTAGCTTTTATTCTTCTCTGAGCTTGAGCTCCAATTCTCACTGCCTTTTCTACAAGCTCATCATTTTTTCACATGGTATCTCTACATTGTGTTATGGTATGAAATATTAATAGCCCACAATAGGGCACTTTTAATCTCTTCAACACCAAGATATAGGACATCTTGGTGCCTTGATTAAATAGTGCGTGGTCAGTGTGAGGACCTTGATTCTCCTCCTGGTGAAATTCTTTCTGTCACAAGATTTCTTCAATGTAAAAATCAACAATCATTACTATTCCTTTCATTACTTCACTGGAGTTCGAAGTCAGCCAAAGAAAGATATTAAATAATCAGGGAGACAGGGTCTCTTGCATTGAACTCCTTAAAGGCAGGGACTATGTCAGAAATTTATGCCGAGCGCCGTGACTCACGCCTGTAATCCCAGCACTTTGAGAAGCCAAGGTGGGTGGATTGCTTGAGGTCAGGAGTTCAAGACCAGCCCAACCAACATGGTGAAACCCTGTTTCTACTAAAAAAAAAAAAAAAAAGCCCAGCATGGTGGTGCATGCCTGTAATCCCAGCTACTTAGGAGGCTGAGGCGGGGGAATCGCTTGAACCTGGGAGGCGGAGTTGCAGTGAGCTGAGATTGCACCACTGCCTTCCAGCCTGGGTGACAGAGCAAGACTCTGTCTCAAAAAAAAAAAAAAAGAAAAAAGAAAAGAAAAGAAACTTATGTAGCCCCATCCCCTAATCCAGGGTCTGGCACAGAGCAGGTACTTAATACATTATTAATTACAATTGAATTGACATCTATAAGAAAATTCAAGAAATCTGAGCCTTGTGACTTTGTCCATAATGATGTGGCCTTAGCTAAGACTCTGAGCTTCTGTTTTGTCATCGGTTAAATGGGATCTCTGTCTACCTTTAATGGGAATGTGAGAGTCCTAGGAAATTTGACCTTAAGGAATATTTGTTTTAGACTTCATAGACTAGATGGAGTTCTAGTTTTTAAGTGAATAATTTACAGACTAACGGGCTTTACATGAATAATCAAAGCAAAGGGGCTCTTGGTGACCTACTTGTGAATTAATATTTTTAATTAGTAAGTCATTTTTGACAAATTCACACAACCCTCGATATCTGTTTGTTTGATTTCCTTTAATTCACTTTCCATTATGGTCAACTTTACTATTGAAATGAAATCATCAACTTGAAGATATGTTGAGAAATGGTGTTACAGTCTGGGTTCATAAATCTTAACAGGAAGAACCTGGAGCCAAGCAGCTCAGAGCATTATGAAATCAGTTAATTCAGGCTTCTGGAATATGTGAGCAGTCTACCACTTTCTCATTAATCTGAGGCAGAATGCCCAGAAAGAGTATTTCGCAAAGGTTAGTGCAAAAGAGAAGTCTGTTGAGTCATTGTTGGGTGTTGGATAACAGAGCAAATTTATTGCATTAATCAGTGGAGGAAGTCTGTATTCTAAGATTGCCTTGCTAAGAAAGTCATTGTAAACTTGTAAATGAACAATTCTGCTTCCTCAATGGCTCTCAAACCTGAATGGGCATCAGAGTCATCTGGAGGACTTGTTAAATCACAGATGGCTGGGTACTACCCTTAAAATTTCTTCTGATTTTGTAAATTCTAATTTGGGGGTGGGGTGGATCCCAAGAACTTGCAATTATCACAAGTTTCTAGGTGGTGCTAATGCCACAGGACGGGGACTATACCTTGAGAACACTGTGCTACTTGATTTTCCTTAAGATTGCCAAGCCTGGTGAAAATAAACATTCCGTGGGACTGCTGCTCTTTTCTGAGACTGATTTAATGAAATAGGACGTAGATAAGCCATCAATAGCACAAGCCACAGGCAGACATCTATGGGTCAGAGTGTCTGTATAGAACTACAATGAACCCTAGATATAGAGAAACAGATTTTTTTTTTAGGTTAAGTTTTAAGCTCAGCTCCTTCATGACTTTGTAGGACATATTATTGTGGTCTGTTCCAAGCTCCTTCTGGAGTCATCTGAAAATATATTGCCAGAATCTTTTAAAAAAAGGGAGAGGAGATATGTTTTCATTTTCTTTCAGGTGGTCATTCCAGGTTGTCATCTCTTTTCCAACAAACAGGCCGTGTATTCAGGTATTCTACCCTCTTGCTTTGTGATTTAATCAGTCAGTAGACAGTAATTCTCTATCAAGTTCTTTTAAGTCAAGTTCTTATTTCATATAGGTACAATGTTATCAATTCTGGTTCTTTTCCTGGAAGCTCATTTTATTCAATTCAGTTCAACACCCATTGTGTGACTTCCTATGCTAAGCACTATTCTAGGGACTTAAAAAAAGACATGACCAAGACAGACACCAATCCCTACCCTTGCAGAATCTACATTCTAGCACAGGGAGACAGACAGTAAACAGTACATCAGCCAATATATTATATTCTTCATAGTAAATGCTATGGAAAAGATGAAAATAAAGCAGAGTGATTAGGTTTAAGACTGGGGTGGGGCACTGGCAGAGGAGGACCATGTGCACAGTTGCAATTTTAAATAGGAGTGTCAATTGAGCAAATATCTGAGGCAGGTGAGACTGTAAGTATATATCCAGGGAAGAGTATCACTGGCAGAGAGAACAGCCTGTGCAAAGGCCCAGTGGCAGGAGACTGCCTGGCGCATTTAATGAACAGCAAAGAAGCCAGCATGGCTGATTCAAAGAGATGGAAGGGAATGCATTATAGGTCAGAGAGATAACAGAGAGGCAAGGGTGAGGCCCCATGAGGCTTTGCAGGTTACTGATAGAAGACTTTGGCATTAATCTGAGTGAAATGGGTGTTACTTCAAGGTGCTGAGGAAGAGTTGACTTTTTAACAAGGGTCTTTCAGGATATTATGTAGAGACTAGATGAGCAGGGCAAGGATAGAAGCAAACAGACTAATTAGGGGGCCGTGCCAGTAACCCAAGAAAAAGATGATGTGGCTCAGGCCATAGGTTGGTCAGTAGAGGTTATGAGAAGTAGTCTGCATATGGATATATATTGAAATCAAAATTCAATAGGATTTTGAGATAGATTGGATATGGAGTGTGAGTTGAAAAGAAAGCAAAGTTTTGGCTTGAGCAACTAGAAATATAGCTATGGGTTGAGATATGGATTGAGATGCTATTGACTGAGATGGCTATAGGAAGAGCCAGTTTGTGAGGAATATTGGGTTTTAGGTTTTGGACATACTGGTATTGAAATGACTATTAGACACCAAATTATAGATGTCAAGTTGGTTGTTGATCATGCATATTTGGAGCTAACCAGAATGTCAACTTCCCCCAGCCAAAGATGGAGACCTAGGAGTCACCAACATGTTGGGATTACAAACTGTGAGGCTGAGTGATATTATCAAGTGAGTGTGTATAAATAAAGTAGAGAAGACTGGGACTCAGCTCTGGGGGTCCTCAGAATTATAAGTGGAGACTGAGGTGTGACTATCAAGGCAGAAGAAAAACTAGGAGGTTGTGGTGTCCTAAAAACCAAGAGAATGAAGTGCATCAAGTAGAGGGGAGTCAAAAGTAGTGACAAATATTGCTGATAGATCCAGTATGATGAATACTGAAAGTCACTCATTGAATTTTCCAACTGAGCAACACTGGTGACCTGAACAAGAACATAATTTGGTAGAGTTGTGACAGTTAAAGCCTGGTTTAAGTAGCTTAATGGGGAATGGTAGGAGAGGAACTTGAAACAGTGAGGAAATCCAACTCTTGAGGTTCCTGCAAAGGGAAGTAAAGAAATTGGATGAAAACACCTGGGGAAAGTGAGGTCAACCTAAGGGGTTTGTTATTGCTGCTGTTTTTGATTAGGAGAAATTACAATATGGTTATGTGCTGATGGAAATGGTCCAGTAGAGAGAGAGAGATTCATGTTTTAGGAAAGATAGCAAGAATTCCTTAAGCAATTTTGTTGAGTCAGAAAACAGTGATAGTATCTAATGTCCAAGTGGAAGATTTGGCTTCAAAGAGAATATAGATTATTTCCATCCATAGTAACAGGCATATTTAGGGTAGTAATGCTGCTTGGGGATGAAGTAGATATAGCAGTAAGGCCCTCTGTAAAATTCCTTTTTATCACCTAGTTTCTCCATGAAGTAGGAAACATTATCTCACACAATCTCAAAAATTGTTCAAAAGAAAATGAAGCCCAGGTATATGCCTCTATAAGTATTTATTCAAAAAATAAAACACAGCCAAACATAATACAAAAAGTATGCCATAAATGTTCTATTTTAGGAGTTTTTCTGCATGAAGCAATTGAGATTTTAGAATAGGGATCTAATATCTTTTCAACTAGGGACACTTCTTTTCCTGGTGAATGTCTCTGTATTAAGCACAGGCATTCTTCATTGCTTCATTAACCTTCAGATTTATTCAAAAATAGGGATATTTATATATAAATTTTTCTATTTGCCAATTAAATGTGCATAAATGTAACTTTTTTAGATGTTGTATGTGGGTGGAGTAATTTCTATGAAAAATCTTTAGCCATCTCTTTCTCTTCATTTCAACAAGATGATTGGCCCCCATCATCTTATCAGTGTTGTCAATTTGGTACTTTGTAGATATTGGCTGCAAATCTTAAACAGATATAAACAGGAGCTTCCACTATTCTTATTTATAATAAGTACATAAACTTAAATCAGAGATAGGAAGCACCTATATGATTTTTTAAAAAGACATAGTGGACCCTTTAATCTAAATTCTGTTTCTTCTCTGGTATAAAAAAAAGTCACTTTTTGGAGGTTAAAAACTATATTTTAGTGCTTTGCTTGAACAAAATTTACAAAACACAACTCAGTAAGCTATTTCATAAATGTTTTGCAATTGTAATGATCTTAGTTTGGGCTGCTATAACAAAATAGTATAAACTGGGTGGCTTATAAACAACAGGAACTTATTTCTGACATTTCTGGAGTCTGTAGGTTCAATATCAGAGTACCCGCCTGGTTGTGCAGGTTCCTCTCCTGAGTTATACACTGCCAACTTTTTGTTGTATCCTCACATGGTGGAAAGAGAACTCTCTGCAGTCCCTTTTATAAGGACACTAATGCCATTCATGAGGGCTCCACCCTCATAACCTAATTTTTCCCCAAAAGCCCCACCTCCTAATACCGTCACATTGGGGGTTAGGATTTCAAGATATAAATATTGGAGGGGCACTTATATTCAGTCCATTGTAATAATAAAACGTATAAGATAGATGTTTTAAAAATACTTTTTAAGATTCTTTCATATTAGTGATCAAGTGAATTTGAAGCAAAAGGGGAATAACCATAGTATTGAGCTCATAGGGTTGTAGGGGAAATGAAGTGATATTGTCCATGTAAAGTAACTTAGGGCAATGCATGGCCCATGGTAAGTGACTAATACATTACTGTAGTAGGTATAAGATGGTGATGGGATTCCTTAAGAAAAATTCCATAAAATTGACAAAATTAGGGCGCTGTTCTTAGTTAGCTGCTGTGTGTGTGTGTGGTTTGTATGTGTGTGTTGTGGGTGGGGGGTGACAGAAGATTACTATAGCCAGCATCAGTTTATCAAGCATGAATTTAAAGAATGAATTGAAAGAAACAATTCGTCCAGCTTTTATGTGCCAGGTACTGTAGTAAGCATGTTAGATACACATTGTATTTAGTCCTTATGATAGCCCTGCAGAGTAAGTTGTATTAACCCAATTGTATGAATGAGGAAATTGAGTTGGGAGGAAATGATTAAATGCTACAATGGGAGAGCTGTCTGCAATTTGTTAAGTAAATTAAAAGACTGACCTTATCTACTAAGCTGTCCATAAAAGAGCAAAATCCTTACCAAGGTCACCATGGGATTTGATTCCTAAGTCCTCAGTCTTCACTATTCTAAGTTATTGACTTGCTCATCTAAATCCAACCTAAATTCAAATGCATGTTGCTGGTTTGATCAGAATCAAGAAATTTGCTTACTCTGCAATTAGTCATCGGATTTGCCTCTGAACATGTATGTAGAGATGGTTCACTCTTTTGTACTGGTAAAGGCTGAAGACAAAAAGAAAATCTCACCTTTTGTCCCTTGAAAGAAAAAGCTTTTCCCATTCCAGAAGACCATGGTATAGTTTCCTTAAAAACTAGCTGTGTTTCAAACTCAAATGACTCTTGCTGTGGTTGATGAAAAGCACAATATTCCTTCTCTCTTCCTGTAGGAATGCAGAAATAGGAAAACAGAAAGAAAAAAAAGAAAAGAAAAAAGAAAGAGAAAGAAAGAAAGAAAAGAAAGAAAGAAGGAAAGAAGGAGGGAGGGAGGAAGGAAGGAAGGAAGGATCTAATTTATTTTTTTCTATTCAGAACAGAAAAAATCAATTAGAACAATAACTTTTTTTTTCTCCCAAGGGGAAAACCAAGTTGTAGCAACTCTTTGGAGACTTGGAAGGATGTCATACCCCATTCATTTATGGCAATCAGTTGTTGAACACTTAGCAACTTCATTTATAAATGAAGGAGAACAGTTTGGCTGGCAGAACAACTTACAAATATTATATTTTGTACCTGAGTTTATTCTAGAACAAAATATATATCAATACAAGCATTTAGAACACTTATTATGGAAATGTCAAACCTCCAGTTTTTAACCCTTTGAGTGTTTTTTTAAAGACGTGAACATGTAAACTCTTCACTGAGTCTATAGCTGACCCCATGAAAACAGGAAAACATGATGCCAGAGCCTCAAAATGTTTCTTTCTTTCTGTAACTTGGATGGAGAGGTGGAGAATTCTCATTCTGGAAGGGAGAGGAGAACTGCCTGGTTTCCATTCTGAGCTTAGTATAAGAATAACTCTGTGCAAATATATGAAGGATTTATATTTTTCAATAATGAAAAAACAATTTGCCCACCCGCAACCACCAAGGCCAGTTTAGAACAGGAGAGATTTAGGGTAGTTTTAGCATGGGGCTTAATGGCTAGAAAGAGTAACTAAAGATATAAATTAGTTACTAGGAGGAATTGTGATCTTCTTTTTCCCAGAGAATTTTAAAAATCTGCTCAGCATCCATTTTGGATAACCTAGTTGCTCTTCCATCTAGAAACAGGCACCTGCACTCATGATTCTCGTGGGCCCAGATGTGGCAGAAGTTCTTTTCCCCTCTCCATCTCAGGACTTATTTATACAGTGTATGTATTTTATAATTTATGCTACAAGTGAATCACAATTTGTCATCGTTCAATGGCCAGCTCACTTGCTTCTTTTGGCTAATTGTAGAGGAACTGAACTCCCTGGAGAGAGGGAGAGAAACAGGCAAGAGGGCAGAGACCCAATGGTGCTGCCTCCAAGGAGCCAGTGACTCAGCCCTGAGTTCCCCCACCCCCAACCAACTTCATGAAACCACAGCCCCCCTAATGCACAGTTTAACATTTTCTTTAGTGGTGCAACCTTGTTCTGAGATTACAGGGAATGCTGAGTTTTATTAGGGTTCTTTCAACAAACTCATTTAATTGTTGCTGCCCCTTAGCTAGTGCTGAGTCACTCTCAAACTTCACAGCATTCCACGACAGCTCATCCTTCTTGACTTTCCTTTTTTTTTCCCTTTTCCTTTTTCCTTTTTTAAGTTCTCTTAATATTTTTTATTCCCAACAGACTTGTCTTTGGACAAAATTGAGAAGAACTCATAAACTTGGCTTCCTCGCTTCTGCTCCTCAGGTAAGTTTAATTCCTATTTCTATTATGCAACGTCATTGAAGAATATTTTCCCAGGTTTCTGTTGAAGAACTGCCTTTTTTTATCTTTTCGATGCTGGCACTCTTTTAGAATTAACCATGGAAAAACTTGATGACACTTCCATCCTTCTTGTAAAATTCATCTTTGGAGTAATTTTACAGTGTGCGTTTTCCCCTTGGACATTTTAAAGAGCTGGATTTCCGCCTCTTTGCAGAGCATTTTAGCAGCTGTGTCTCATTTGCTTTGCAAGGGCATTTGAAGAAATTGCTATTTTGTAAGCTGCTTAACATATGAAATAATTGTTTTAAAGCACTTTACAGTTTGCTTAGTGCTTTCTGTTGTTTTACACCGTCATTTCTTATAGAAGCTCAGGATGTATTATTTACATTTTTCAGAGAAGGAAATAGAGGTACTGAAGACATGACAGCAGCTTGGCAGGGCAGTTAATCTCCTAAATTAATCAACAGATTAAAATTTCTCCCTTCAGATCCTTTAATGCCTATGACCAGAAAGCCTCATACCTTTTGACCTAAACAGGTAGACAGACATACCTGCTTTGCTTCACAGTAATTTGCAGTCTAGCTAGTTTTGGATCTACCCTAATAAACTGCCTCAGTGATTGGAAGTCAGAACACTGTTTGGACAGATTAAACATTGTTTGGTTGTTTTTATTAAAAGTGATGTACTGGGTGGCTAAAAGCACTTGTTTTGGAGTCAGACTGCTTGGGGTTAAATCCAAGTTCCAACCTGTATCAGCTGTGTGGGCTTTGGTGAATTACTTAACCTCTCTCAGCCTCCTTTTTCTTACATGTGAAATGGGAACAATAATTGCAAATTCATGGAATTATTGTTGTGAGCCTTAATTGAATTAATCCCTATAAAGCTCTAAGCACAGCGCCCAGCACACTGTAAGCCTTCAGTAAATGTTAGCTGTCAGCGTATAGTGGTTCAAAAGGTGGTTACCTGGCCATTTTTCCTGAGGTTCATTTAGGTTGATTTGTTTCATGAAATTATACATCTGGCCCAGTCAAGACCAGATATCTTAGTGGTCTTAACAGATAATTGGTGGGTAGACAGAACTTGTACTAGTGCTTCCTCTGCTTTAGAGCGCTGTGATAATTATAACGTCTCATTCCTCTCTCTAAAACACAAAGTGGCAATGTTGTTTCTCCTGAGTAATTTGCAGCATAGACAAAGGGCCCCATTCAGTACTGCCCATGGTATTCAACCTAGCACTTTTGGAAGGGTAGCACACAAAAAGGCAAAGACAACGTGGGTTTTCTTAAAGTTCAAGGAGAAAGTAAGGTGCAGAAGAAGTAGTACTGATCTGTGTAGTTGTGAACTGGCTGTCGTTAGAACACATAGGACTCAGTCCCACATCTGCTTCTCACTTCCTGGGTAAGCTGGGCAACACATTCTGCTTCTCTGTACGTTTGTTTCTCCAATTATAAACGGGAATGATAATACCTGCAGGATGGCCAACTTGTCCCTTATTTGCCTTGGCCACTCCCATGGCAAGTGCTATGTCCCAAAAGCCTCTCAGTCCTGGGGAAAACTAGGATAGTTGGTCACCCTAAATACCTGCCTCTCTTTTCTTACTGTGTTCACCATACGGGCAGCAGAATAAAAGTGCTTTGACATTTCATGAACCGAAGAATATAATAATCAGCTCAATTCTGAACACCCAAGTTCCAAAAATAGTGCTTTGGGGTATTGGAAGAAAAACATAGCAATATGGTATATTATAGTACATTAGTTCTTAAGTAAGAATAATGCACCTTAATTCTTGGTGCCTCATTCTTGGTGCTTAGAAATATGTAACTGGAATCATGGTTTATATCATCCTTACGTGTTTACATACATGTAATTGAAAGTACACAGGAGTATTTATAGAGAACATTTAAGAAAAGTACTTTCAGGTGGTCATGACGATAATTTGCATTGGAAAAACCTCATTTGGATCATCTTAACTTCTTGAAAAGTTCTGTTTTGTACCCAAGGCATATTTTGGATGTGATTGCCATTTACAACAAATTGATTGATTGGTTTTAGAAAACCTCAAAGGAAGACAAGAGTCTGAGGAAGGTGTCATAATTGATCATCTACTTGGTATCAAAAAATAAGTACTCATTAAAGAATAATAGTACATTGCCAGTAATTAATATGAAGCAGCATTGGTGTTCCAGAGATATGCAAAAATATTAACCAATGTGCATACTCAGGAATTAGAGTAGTTTCCACAAAATGATTCATTTAGTTTGCTTTCACGTCATACAGAGATTGCACTTCAGTGGAACTTCAAAATGTATAAGCATGTGTTTGCTTGAAAAGTCAAAAGTTTGTTGATTGACTTTTATTTCTGTTTCACCCAGAGGCATCTGACTAGAATCAAGCCAATGCACACCCTATAAATGCCAAAGTGAGGCTTCTCATAGACATACACAACAAAGATACGAAACACATATGCAGTATGTATTAGTAAGAGCATCAAAATTAGCAAATTTCATTCAATTCAATTGCTTATGTAAATACAGAGAAGTAAGATGTATTTAAACAATTAGCCTCATTTTTGCTGATTTTGTGCTTGGCTTTTGAAATGGGACATGCAAACCTCTGTTAAGGGAGATTAAGGGAATTGAAGACCCTGAACTTGTCCCACACTCTTTCTTCATCTACCCTAGAGGACCAACTGCAGGCCTGGATACATGGTACTCAGTAAAGCCTTGTTAACTTACATTGAATGTTCTTTGTATTAATAATTCGAAATAACATAATGAAACCAAAGTGAGAAGGGCATGGCCTAGCATTCCACATTCAACTTTTCCCCAAGGAATGAACTACTTTACCTCTCAGGCAGAAGCAAAGAACTCATTCAAAAGCAGAGCTGAAGGCTGTTGGAGTTATTGTTGTTTATATTTCTCTGGACAGAGGAGTAATTATGTTGGCTTCAAAGGCCTTTTCTTCTACCTTCCATCCTGGCATGCTAGTGCTGGAAGAAGCCTCCATTCTGTTCCTGCATTTTACAGATGGAAACCCAGAGAAGGAAACTATTTGCCCAAGGTCACAGATGCAGACCTTCTCAGATATTTGTTAACCCTAATTTAATTTCCCCACATTTCACTGAATAGAACTGTAGGTGATTTTCTTGGCCTTGGCCCTTTTTTAGTTTCGGAAATACCCTCCTTCCTAGATGCTTCCCACCATCCAGTGTTGTCCCTATCCCACCACTTCTTAGACAACTCTCCTTCCTTCCAATGCTTTCAAATGGCATTTTCTTTGCTGTCATCTAGCACACCTGTACATTCATTCCAAGGTTTCAAGACAAGGGAATCTTCTCATTGATCCAAAGTGCTTTATTTGATATAGTGATGCATCACTCCGGGCTTCTACCAATTTCTCTGAGGCTTCAGTAATGTGAGTCAAGGTTTTGCTTTATGGTTAATTTAGCTGGTGATGAGAGCAAGCTGAAACTTGTGAGAAGAGACATAAACTGCAACAAACCGAGGTCAGAGCTGGAACAGAACCTCCAAGAAGACAGATTGCCTGTGGCTCTGAGAGCATCATTCCCTCGACAATAGTGATGCAGACAGAAAGTAGAAAAATGACAGTCTCTGTTGAGGGGCAGATGAGGGCACAAAGGTTTTTCAAGACTCAGTCCCACAGAGAGGAAATCTGCTTGAATTTATTCAGGCCTCTTCCTTTTAAATCCTGATTACCCTTGGCTCTGCTAGGTGCCGAAATTTATGCATCAGCAACAGGTGATTCTTATGTAAGAATGGAATCTCGGGCGTGATAAATTTGGTCTTGAGAAATCTCAGCTCAGTGGCTGCAGATGGCGGTGTCATGATGGCAGAGTTAGAGAGCGGTGACCTGCTGGGCTGTGGGCTGTCTGTAAAATGGCTACTCTGTTCAGAACTGTCTGAGCCAATTCTCCGAGCCTCAAGGTCATGACCAAGAGGCACAGCCCAACTGTAAAGTTGACATTCATTCTAGCAACGTTCTTCCTTCTCCCTTGCACACTGCATCTGGCTCACTCAAGGGTCCCTCAAGAATTGGGTTGTAACCTGTGTTCTTTGTGAATACCTTTATCATTGGGGATCTCTGTCCATCATGACTAGTCCTATTAAGGGTCAATTCTATGCTTGTAAAGAGTTGCTTACACTAGAGGATTTGCACCAACTGGGTTGGGTTGGCCAAGGAGACATTTCTGTGCACTCATCCCGGTCAGGTTCTATCTGTGATCTAGGTCCCTTTTTAGTGGCAACTTTTAGTTCGCAGTTTCTTAGCCTTGGTTTTGAAGAGTTTTGAAATCCCTGAAAAGTACACATGCACACAATTATGAACATATATGCCTCTCTCTAAGGAGAGGGTCTACCACTTTTATAAAATTGTTATAGGAGTCTGAGACCCAATGAATAATAAGAGTCACTACTGTAGATGGAGAAAATATTCTGAAGCAACCCTTGTTTCCTTACAACTAGATTTCCCACTTTGAATTTTGGATTGAAACTGATCAGAGGTAAGCAACACAAGGCAAGCTTGGGTCCTGGCTTAGACCCTGCCTCTACCTTTCCTGAGTATGTGAGCTTAGACATGCCACTTCTCTATGTCTCACATCCTTATTTAGAAAATTGATTAAAATGGGGAAAATATTACCCACCTCATTATGCCATTGAGAATTAAATGAGAATATATGTAAATCGTGCAATGCACCGGGCATTTGAGAAGTATTCAAAAACCAGTAGCTAATAGTGGTGGGAGCCCCATGGAACTCATGTCCCCAGAGCATGTGGACTGATGGCCAGTGCCGTGTGTCTTCTTCCCTTCTGCATTTTTAACTTTTTCCTGCCTTTGTCTATTCACTGAGTCATTATGAGATTCCTCATAAGTATCAACATATTTTAACCACAACTCTTTTAAAGTGTTTTTACAGATTTAGGGGGTATAAGTGCAAATTTCTTACATGCATCTATTGCACAGTGGTAAAGTCTGGGCTTTTGGTGAACCCATCACCCAAATAGTGAACATTGTACTTAACAGGGAATTTTTCAACCGTCACTCTTCTCCCACTCTCCCACCTTTTGGAGTCTCCAATGTCTATTTTTCCACTCTGTATGTCTGTGTGTGCCCATTGCTTAGCTCCCACTTATAAATGAGAATATGTGGTATTTGACTTTCTAGTTCGAGGTTATTTCCCTTAGGACAATGGCATTCGGTTCCATCCATGTTGCTGCAAAAGACATGATTTCATTTTTTTTTTTAAGACTGAGCAGTAATATATGATTTAATCACCACTTTGAGAATATGTTATCTCATATTCTGAGATGCCATATTCTCATCTTTAAGCCTACTTCCTATGGGCAAATAATAATTCGTGTTAGACTCCCAGCACCCTATTAACAAGTGTTACTTTTCTTTGAAATGAACATGTTTTAATAATTTTTAAAATTTATTAATGATATGTAATGTGTATTTTAGCTACAGACATTTTTCCTACCTTACTTGTCTTTCTCTTCTCCATTCTTATTCTTATTCCTCATTCTTCTCTCCAAAGACCCCTGCAAACATGACTTACCTTGGAAACTATAAGAAAGGATGGCCTTATGTGAGGACACTCATCATCCTGGCGTTAATGTGCTTCTCTTCTATTTGGCATTTGAGTCCAACACTACCTGATCTCAGTCCTTCTTTTTAGAATCAATATTTCCATAGCAAGTGTAGCATCATCTTAAATGGGGAATCCCACTTTTTTTTTTTAAAGCTAGAGATGGCAGTTTGGTGGGATTGGCCAAAAATAATTTGAAGAAAGAATGCACTAAGGGTGAAAATGTTATGTTTATAAAAATATTATGAAAGCTAAATGTGATGCACTTGAAAAATGTGGCAGGATATTTCACTGTATATTCATGAAATCTGTATCTAAACTATATCAATAAATACTATTCAAGAGAATATAAAAATTTCTTCCATGTATGCATTTCTGTTCATCTAGCTCATTGCTTAACCACAGAAGGTTATAATAATAATAATAAAAACAAACAAAATAAATGTTTGTTAGATGGATATTTATATTACAATGTAAATAACTTATTATTTATATTTTATTTATGTTATGCCCATAAGGAAAATACAATAGTCCTCTGTGTAACGTGTTGATGAACATAATATTTTGGAAGCTCAGTTAACTGAAAAACCACTAAAAGAAAGTGCCTTCTATGTTTGTTTTCTATGACAAATAGAAATTTTACAGACTATGGATGTAAGACTTTTGAGTGAACCTTTGTGAGTGTGTGAATTGCCATTTAGTTTCTTAGCAGTTTTCTCATTACATTCGTTCAGATAGAACAATTCTTTAGGAGGCCACAGCAGTCTTGTGGATGTGCACCCTTCCCTCTTTATCTCAATCTTGGATTTCATAAAAGAAATAACAAGCAAAATTAGAATGGTATGGGCCTGCCTGACTCAGGGGCGTCCAACCAAGTAAGGGCAACAGCATGTGCTGCAAGAAGTTTCAAGAGCCTGTTGTCCCAGTGGGAGGACTCGCCTGAGAAGTTAGGGTGGAAGGATAGCAGCGTGGCTGGGATATAGCTCCCTACAGCAGCCAAATTCTTCATGAGGTGTCACTGAGCCTTGGGCATTGGGGCATTCAGAAGCAAGTGGGCATGTGCAAGGACCATAGAAACAGGAAGGTCACAAGAGCAAAAGAGAATGAAACAAAGAATTTATCTCCCAAAGGAACAGTGCCGTTTTTCTTTCCTGTATTGCTCTAAGAGTCCTGTATTCACCTTCGGTTACTCAATACTGTATTTCAGGTGTGTTCCTCGTATCCTTGCTTATACTGCTCATTAACCCTCCTTGTTTTACAAAAACATTTAAGCAAACGCAACCTTGGTTCTTACCTGGTATTTCTGTTAGGGAATGAGAAAAAGTAATCCATATTTATTAGACATCTATAGGTGCCAGGTGACTTTATGTACTCTCCAACTCAACATGTCTTAGATGGAAAAAACTGATTATGAGGAAGTTAAGCAACTTATCCAGAGCTTCCACCTAGGTGGTAGGACTGTTTGCAGCCCTTGGCTGTCTGCCTCTGTATTTCTACATGGTAACTCCTTAGGACCAAAAGAAAATTCTGAGAACCTGGATAAAAGGACATGCTTGGTGATAAGAAATATTCTGTTTGAAGATTTATTTTCTTGCTTCCATGCACTCCTTTTGTATACAGGCCAATACAGGGGGACACTCATTTTTTCTCCACATATGTAAGCTTGAGTCTTCCCCCATCTTTCCTGCTAATGCAAATACAAAGGTCCTATGTTAGAGATCAGGGTCCATGACTTCACTTCTGGTATAGGGCAGGCCAGTATGGTTATGGGAGGTAAAAATCTGGAACAGAGACGATTTGTCAGAGCCAGATCAAAGGGTTGTGTATGGCCAAATACTGGAACTCCTTGGTTTTCCTTTTATTCATCTTGATGTTTAAAGTAGTTGCACTTGAGCTTGAGTTTATTCTAAAACAATGTTGTAACTCACTTCTGGGTTCCTTTTTCAAGTAGTTTATTTAGTGTTTAAATTCCTGTGCTTCTACCTTGAAAATTTCCCAGATGCCTTTCCTCCTCATCCTCTATCCCTGCTACTCTTTCCCACTGAGATTGAATCCCTGGTGAAAAATACTACACTGACTGCCAAGTGCAAGGCAACAGATATCTCTGTGAAAACTAAGTTAAACAAAATCTGACCACTTCTAACAACTTGCTGAAACATACTGAAACATCTCGTGTGTTAGTACCAAGGTCAGGGAGCCCAGACTACACTTGAGCACAGGCATTTGAATCTGTCAAATGAGTCAATCAAATGGGAATGTTGGGTTTTTTTGGCTGATGCATGTCAATATTGCTAATGCATAAAATATATCTGTTTGCTATATCACAATTTGCCGTCACACTAAGCCATAAGTTTAAGGAGTGACTGATGTACTGAGCACATTTGTCTTTATAAGAAGTTCTGCTATAAAGACACATGCACACATATGTTTATTGCGGCACTATTCACAATAGCAAAGACTTGGAACCAACCCAAATGTCCAAAAATGGTAGACTGGATTAAGAAAATATGGCACATATACACCATAGAATACTATGCAGCCATAAAAAATGATGAGTTCATGTCCTTTGTAGGGACATGGATGAAATTGGAAATCATCATTCTCAGTAAACTATCGTAAGAACAAAAAACCAAACACTGCATGTTCTCACTCATAGGTGGGAATTGAAGAATGAGAACACGTGGACACAGGAAGGGGAACATCACACTCTGGGGGCTGTTGTGGGGTGGGGGGAGAGGGGAGGGATAGCATTGGGAGATATACCTAATGCGAAATGACGAGTTAATGCGTGCAGCACACCAGCATGGCACATGTATACATATGTAACTAACCTGCACATTATGCACATGTACCCTAAAACTTAAAGTATAATAATAATAAAATAAAAAAAAGAAGTTCCTTGTTGCAGAGGCAGATGAATTTTGTTGAAGAATTTTTAGTCTCCTCTTTCCTCCTTTCCTCATCTCTCCCTGCTCACCTGCCTCCTTTGTGCTTCCTCAACACTTCTACAAGAGAAGTACTTTCTCTTTTCTTTTTTTTTTATTTGAGACGGGATCTTGTTCTTTGCCAGGCTGGAGTGCAATGGCACTATCTCAGCTCACTGCAACCTCTACCTTTCTGGTTCAAGCGATTCCCCTGCCTCAGCCTCCCAAGTAGCTGGGACTACAGGCGTAGGCCCCCACGCACAGCTAATTTTTTATATTTTAGTAGAGATGGGGTTTCACCATGTTGGCCAGGATGGTCTCGATCTGCTGACCTCATGATCCACCTGTTCAGCCTCCCAAAGGGCTGAGATTACAGCCTTGAGGCACCGCACCTGGCTGAGATGTACTTTCTCATTGCCCATGGACAATGCTAGCACACATGCAATTATTTGTGTATCATCCACCTTCCTCGCTAGAGTGGAAATTCCATGCAGACCTGTTTTCTCACTCATATATAATTCATCTGCAAGTCACTGGTGCCAAGCACAATGGTTGGCACAAACTAGTCATTCAGTAGATACTTGTTGAATGAATGCAGGATACAATGAATGGAAGAAGCACACTAGTTTATTTTGCTTCATGTTTGGCTTTGCTGAAACATTTGGATTTTTTTAGTATTATTCACTCATACTGCTTCTCTCTCTTCCTCAGTCAATATTTACTGGGTGTCTTTAGTGTGTCAGGCACTGGACTAAGTGCCAGGATGAGTGAGATGTGGTCCCTTCTCCCATGGAAGGTCCAGAGTGGGCTGCAAGTATCATGTTGGTTCTGAGTCAGTCAGCCATGCTTGGTGAATCACAAACCACTGTGGGTGGAGCCTTGAAGTGGCTCTTTGTGGGAGGATGCAGAGGAGGAAGATATTTTCCTCATTCATGAGGCTCTCACAGTCCATAGGCTAGTGAACAAATAAGTACATGAAATGCATAATATATGCCTAGCAAAAAGAAACAGTGGAGTATAGTACAAATGACTTGGGATACTTTTAGAGATAAAACAATGAGATTTTCTACCTGATGTGAAATCTCCCTGACTTGTTCAGCTAATATGTAATTTATTTAACAACTATTTTTTGTGTACTTCTGTATGCCCGAAAGTATGCCAGGGATGGGCACATGGCAGTGAACAAGAAATGTGTGAGACTGCGTCTAAGGAAGGTGCAGGCCAAGATGTCTAACTCAGAGGTGAAAATGAGAGTGAGTATGAGTGGGAGACATGAGAGTGAGAGAGTAATATGGAAGGAGAGGGACAGTAAGAAAGTCGGAAACCACATCTAAAGGCTCTTAGTACTCTATTTTTTAGGCCCAAAGAATTCTGAAGATGGTGGCTGTCACTTAAGGAATTTTAACTCTCTCCCTTAGAAACTTTTTCAAGGAAAAGCTTGGTATTGTTGAGGTGACAGAACCTGAGTGTCTTAGCCTCTTTGTGCTGCTATGACAGAATACCACAGACTGGGTAGTTTGTAAAAAATTGAAATTTATTTTTCCTATTTCTGGAGGCTGGGAGGTCCAAGATCAAGGTGCTGGTGGGTTCTGTTGTCTGGTGAAGGCTACATCCTCCAGAGGGGTACAGCCTCCTCTGTGTCCCCACATGGCAGAATGATGCGTGAAGTCTCTTTTATAAGGGCCTTAACCCCATTCATGAGAGAGGACCCTTCATGGTCTAACCACCTCTTAAAGGCCCTACCTCTTAATACTACCATATTGGCAACACCTGAATTTTGGAGAGGACACATTCAAACCATAGCGGTGAGTTTACTAGAATTATGACAAATGTTTAAATAGCATCAGCAATCTAGGTTATTGGTAGACTAGCTTATTTCCAGATGTCTTGTTTAACCGTGACCTAAGATTTCCAGTGAATTTTAGAGTTTAGCCCCACCGTCTCTACTATCCATACTCTATTAACCTTTTTTTTAAAGTCTGTTCCCACTTTTAAAATAGCTAGAAGCATCCAATCTTGTGTTCATTTAGTGCATATTTGGTACTTGCTGTGTGTTAGACAGGGTTCTAGACCCTAGTAATTCATTAGCCCAAAATCACTACCCTGTGTTAGCATCAATAATTTTGGCCTTCCCTTATAAGATACATTTCAATGTGTCTCTGAGTCTTTAGACTCCAGCTTTTGATAAAAGGACTTATAATAAGGTTTGTGATTTGCTTTTAATTTCTAAAAGAATATGGAGCACAGTTGAATAACATAGAAACTCTAGAATTAAAACAATTTGAGATTTTCAAGGGCATGGCCCTTTAAATAGTCCTAAATCACCACTTTATTTTGTCAGGCTCACCGGCAAAGGCAAGGCAGGGCTCAAGGGGCAATTACCTTCTATGCCATGGCTAAATGAAGTGTGTTTTCTTTTCAATATTGACTGAAATCTCAATCCATCTTGGGCACAAGGCTAGGCACTGTCACATGCTATTTCTTTGCATTGTTCCAATAGCCTTGTGAAATATATCTCATCGTTATTCCAATTTTACAGATAAGAAAATTGGGGCTCTAAGTGGCTAAGGAAGGCATCCAACACCATACCCCTAATAAATAAGGTAGAGAGGACTGAAATCCAGATTTATTGACTCCAAAGTCCTTTCTTAGGTAGAAATCTCTTTCAGAACATTCTTATTAAGACGTAGAGCCTTTTCTTGGTGACTCTAAGAAACGCTTCTGTATCTGAAGACAAAAGGAAAAGTTAATTTGGTTTTGGATTTTGCCTTCTAAAACCTTTGGGGTTTATTGGGTGTTACTATCACTTGCCATTTTTTGTCCTCTACACTTAAAATATGCTATACAGCTCCCTTCAACTCAGCCATCTGTGTTCTTGGCTTTTAATTTTCATAAAAATGGCTGGACACATTCTTCTTATTTCATAAATACCCAAGGCCAAAGAGAGATATTTTATTGGCATTTTTCAGTAATCTTTCCCTAACATTGTTTTTCATATCTGTTCCAAAGCCTTTATATTATTCTACCTTTCTTATGTGTGTGTGTTGTGTTGTGTGTGTGTGAGAGAGAATATATTTGTTATATTATTTGTTATAGTTATTATGTTAATATATTTATTATAATTATGATACAAATGTATTAGAAATTAAAATGGTATGTTTTAATCATTTAGAACCAATGCTCAGATAATGTCCTTACTAGTTGGTTTTAATAATTAAAGACTATAAGGAGCATGGGTGAATAGGAAGCAGCTTCTGAATTTGAAAGGTGTCCAAATGATAGCCCAAGGACCAAAGACAGCTCAAACCAGGTTTGAATAGTTCATTTTATATGGCTTATATACAGACCTACCTAAAGTCAGGGAATTGGATTAGTCATGGGTGTAGAATTTTACAACTTCAAGGTGCATTTAAGATCCATCCACTACATTGTAGAGAAGAAACTATATTCTGGAAAGGTTAGTGATTTGCCCAAAGTCAAACAGGAAGTCAGAACATGATCTAAACCGGCAATTCTCAAACTTTTATCTGTAAATAGACTGAGATTAACGCCTCATCAGAAATATGACGGACAAATATTTTCTCCCATTCAGTAGGTTACCTTTTCACTCTGTTGATTGTTTCCTTTGCTGTGCAGAAGCTTTTTATTTGATATGATCCTACTTGTCTATTTCTGCTTTTATTGCTTGTGTCTTTGAAGTCATATCCAAAGTAGTATTGCCAAGAACCAATGTCAGGATAGTTTTTCCTATTTTTTTTTCGAGTAGTTTTACAGGTTCAGATCTTACTTTTAAGTCTCTAACTTGTTTTGAGTTGATTTTTGTATATGATATGAGACAAGGGTCTAATTTCATTCTTCTGCATATGGATATGCAGTTTTTCTAATATCATTTATTGAAGAAACTATTCATGTCTCCATTTTTCTGTGTCTTCTTTCATTTGCTAAGCAGGTAAATCTTAAGTGTTTTCACCACAAAAAAGAGAAAGAAAGGAAGAAAGAGAGAGAAAGAGAAAGAAGTATGTGAAGTAATGGATGTGTTAATTAGCTTCATTGTGGTGATCATTTCACAATGTACACATAAATCAAAATATATACATTTCACAATGTATACATATATCAAAACATTAAGTTGTACACCTTAAATATGTACAATTTCTATATGTCAATTTTGCCTCAAAAAAGCTGAAAAAAAAGAAAAATTGTTTACAACACAGATCCCAGGATCTCAATTTCAAAGAATCTGATTCAGATCAGGGGTGGGTCCCACGAATCTTTAATAATTAATAAGCCTCCTGGGTGATTTGGCTGCAGGTGGTCCTGAGACCACACTTTAAGAAACACTAATCAAGAATCAAGGCCTTATGACTCTTAGTCCTGTTTCTTCCCAAAGGACTATGTTGCCTCCCTACATTCGAAAACATTCCAAACAATACATAAGAGTCTTTGTAATTCACATTAGTGCTCGTATTTACTGACTCAACAATTAATTCCTGATTGAGTCATTCATTGAGTAATTTTCTTTTACTCAGTCAGCCTCTGTGGTTTGCCAGGAGCTACAAATAAAAGATTAAAACACAGTCACACCTCCAAGGAACTCATATAATAGTAACAGAAGTAACTACCATTTCTTGAGCACTTTATTTATACATACGTCATACAGTTTATCTCATTCACCTATCTCATTCCCTGCCTTTCAGTAAGCCTGTATACTATTATAACCGCATAGTTTGGGAATATTTCATATATATATATATATATATATATATATATGTATAATCACATATATTCTCTTCAACTTGTTCTTTACATTTAATATGTCTTAAAAGTATTTCTTTGTCAGTTCTTGCTTTATATATGTCTAGTATTTCTTTATAAGGGCTACAGAGTATCCCTCAGCATTGATATTCATCAATACTGGTGATGTATCTGATGATTCCCATATTGATGAATAGTAAATCGTTTACATTTTCACCTTTTACAAATAGCATCCTGATGGATTCCGAAGTAGATATTATTATATCATTTTATAGATAAGGAAATAGAGAAAAGTTCATTACCTTGTCCCCCAATGGCAGACCTTGGATTCAAATGGAGTCCTGTCTATCTCAAAGACTACAAAGTTCCTTTCTTTTTACTATGATGCCTTTTAATAGTTCCAGTGAGGTGAGAGCTGGATGAGGTGGGTACAACAGAATCATCAAAAACCTGGCCGTTGATGGGACCTCAGAGTCACTTGAGGAAGCAACATTTGAGCAGCATCTAGGAGCCTTCTGGGAAAAGATGGAGAAAACTAAAGACGTTAGGTTTATTGCAAACCAATCAATCATACTCACTGATCACCTACTAGAGGAAACCTGTGATAACACTTGTGGGGAGATTTATAGAAAGAAGACGTATTTGCACATCAGGATTTTACATCATGATGTGTGCCTGTGTGTGTCTGAAAAATACTAGCATAACAAGCTGGTGAGTACACTATGAAAAAAAACAACAACACCTACTTCATTTGGCAGAGCACCAGAAATGAGGGGGTAATGAGGTCCTGTCTTTGTGGCATGGTAAAAAAAAAAAAAAAAAAAAAAAAAAAAAATTGCCCTCTTAATTCAGTTTCTTCTTCTGAAATGAAGAAAGTAAGATCTAGCCCCTGCATACTTGACAGGATGTTGCAAGGCTTGGTTAATTTCTGTAAATGTTTTGAGCTCCTCTGAGGTGTGTGTTCTGTAAATAGGAGGTATTAATAGCAGCCGTCAGAACTGAAACAAAACTGAATTGAGCTGCAGTCATTTTCCGGGAAAGAAACACAAACACCCATAAAGCATGAAGCCCATACTGGATCTGTCACATTGGTCCTTCTTTAAAAGGCAGCTTGGGTCTCATATAGGACATGGTGACAGCTCAGGCCCTAATCTCAAGTGGGAAAATTCAGGAGACTAGCTGGATTTTCTAACATTTAATTTCCCAGCTGATTACTATGATTAAGAGTCCATCTGGCGCAGCCCATTTGTGAGGTATGTGTGTGCAGGGAAGTGGGAATCTAGTAAAGGCAGAGATCTAACAGAAAAAAAAAAAAAAGAAAGAAAATGCACAGTAGAGACAGTGCCATATTAGAGCCCTCCGCTAGGATGTTTAAATAGGAATTTCGTCGTATTAGCGTTAGTGAGGCCAGTTGGCCATATGTTATAAGAAAGGCAGTTAGAGAGAGAGGGGTTTCTGTTTTCAGGGCTTTTATGTTAGCTTAGTGAGGATTTGGTGATGCCTTTGTCTGCCATGGGTCTAGAGGGGCTGTGAACTGCTAAGAAGAAAATCTAGCTCTGGGTTTCAGCAGTAAAATGCCAGCATCTCTACCTGCAAACTGGCATCGACTAAGCAGTTGCTGGGGAGACACGCAGTTACGCTTCTGCACATGGATGGGGGGGGTGATAATTTAGGATGGGGGTACCCTGGAGCTCACAATCTACTTGCTCATATCCCCCGAAAGGAAGCTCTGAGGAGAGGTTTGAGGCAGCCATGTGTTAGCTCTCATATTGTCATGGCCCCTTCAGGGTAACTGCATTTCCCAAATCTATCCAGGGGCAAGTCGATCTTATAAGCACTAATAGGACTTACAGATGTGCAGACATGAAGGTTCTGATGCTCAGCTCAACTCCTGGATGGAATTTCTCATAATTTTTTGTTACCCAGGGGATTCTATGTAAACCTGTTCCAGACAGAGTTTTTATTGTACTTTATTTGTAATCTCCAACCAGGCTTCCCCTTTGGAGGTCAAGCCTCTAAGTCTCCTTGAAAATTCCTACCTCAGAGGTAGGGGCTCCTGTCTCCTGTGGTCATTGCTTTTGCTGGGGACTCCAGGTCCACCAGGAAAACTCATCAGCAACTTGATCTTAATCCCTGGCTGCATGCACACAGGTCACTGAAAAACATCTGGTGGCCCTGACCCTTCCTGTTCATTTACCAAATGTACTGAAAGTGGGGAGGGACTGGAGAACACATTTTTCTTCCTCGCTGGTGACAGAGGGATGAACTAGTTGATGGTCCAACTTCATGAGGACCTGTGAGCCCTATCTATTTTGCTCATAAAAAGGACCGATGACCTCTGTTCAATGGCTGGAAAGTCTCCATCTCTGTGGGCCATTATGGTAGCTCCTGAGGGCTAAGGGGAAGAAAGCGTCCTCTGCCTCATCTTGGAAATGTGGAAATAGAGTGGGTTTCCCTGCAGGTTGGAATCAATACCCAACTGCCTTGTCTCTGGGGAAGGTGGATTTCATGGCCTACCATATGAGTTCAGCAGAGAAATCTAGATCAATAGGAGTGAGAGAGTCTGTAATGTGGTGCCTTTAGGCATCTGTATCTGAAAAGGGACTTTTATTTGAATTACTTGGACCTTAGACTGAGGCTTCACCTCCATGTAGGAACAGCAGTCCATTAGTGATCCTTTGAATTTATAGTGAGACCTCGTTCACAGTGATAAAGCTTCCTTAGGGCCTAAGGTCTTCTGGTGCCTCTGTTTGTGGCTGAGTGTCCTAAATAAAGGGCAAGTCTGCTACTTTTATGTCCTATTCGGCCATAGCTGTCTAACCTTGTAGCGAGAGGGAGCCTGGCAAAGTCAATAAGGTAAGATGGAAAGCATCCACAGCTCATTACAATGGCTTCTTCTCGCCCTTGCTTGCCCTCACTCATCACCAAGAGTTTGTTTCCCAGTCTTCCCAGAAGAAATAGTCATGCCAGTCTTGTCATGTTGCATTGGCCCGAGAGAGGTTTTTGTTGTAAAATATATTGTCTTACTTAGATTCTAAAGAGAATTAGACTTAGGATTAATGGATTTGAGGGTGCTGGCTGCACCAGACTTTCTCTTTTTCTTGATTTTTTGCTTTTAACAGAGGCTTAGCTATCAGCAGGTTTGTATCTTCCAGTGATGGGTAAAAGGGGATGGGAATTATTTTGTGTTTTTTTTCTACCTTGCTCTAGTAACTTAGATTGTGCCCTAAAGATTATGTGAATAAAATGTGCCAGACCTGGTTAATGCAAGATAAAAATCAACCTGAACTCCTTCTTTATTAGCAAGAATGTCCAGAAATGATATAATAATAAAAATATTCTTCTCAGGAATCCAAATACTGATCACAGAGAAGCTGCTGAATAGCTTTCTCCCATTGTCATGGGAAAGATAAAGACCTGCCAATACAGAAAAAGTTTGGGGTCAGCCAGGAATGGCAAATATTTGGTCTACATTTTATCATCAACCTTCTTCCCCCATGGCAGTGATGACTTACTAAGTGCTTATAAAACTCTTTCCTACCAAGATCAGACATGATTTCAGAATACTTCTCACTTTCCAAAAAGCCCCAATCAGTCCATTAGAGTTGGAGTAAGTGGTTTAATTTTTAAAAATAAAAGTAAAAAATGGTGGCATCTCAACTTCTCATGGTACGATTAAAATGTCTGCAGAAGGAGTTTTGGACTGCATCTGTGATTTTTCCCAGCCTTTTCTGTTTACAAATCATTTAGATGCGAGTCAAGATTTGACTTTCCACTTACCCCACCCATTCTTGCCTACCACCCCAAAAATACCACACCAAAAGAAATGGGAAATATGACCCTGCTTCTATGAGCCATCCATGAGGTGATGTCTGGTTCGCATTAAATGTCAGAAATAAATTATTTATGTAAGATGAAAATACAGATGTAATTATATTATGGATTAATTTTACCCAAGAATAGCATCTTAACCATTTGAATGCCCCCCGAGAGACACTAGCAATTTTTAAGTATACATTAATAACCACTTGACTTGTGGATATATAGAAAACATAAATATTTTACATAGGATACTTTGTACTTGATACCCTCTCTTCAAATCTTGAATTTGTCCTCTCCTCAACCCTGTCCATGTATAAAAACAATACAAATTCGGAGAGCATTGACAATTAACTCAGGTAATGGAAAGATGGGCTTTAGTTTTAGTCTAGATAGTATAAACCATTTTGCAGAATTGTGAGTGAGGCCTGTCATCTGTTGCTTATGATCAGAATGACAGAAACGTGCCAATGGATTGGCATGAGTAGAATACATGTCTGGAGACCATTCTCAACCTGAATTTATCTCTGATGCCAGTCCCCAAGATGAGCCATTGGTTGCTTATTCTTTGGGGTCACCCAAGATGGCAGCACTGAAGGCCACATGGCTGGGGTTTTCTATACCTTGGGATTACATGTTATACAAAACAGCTGACTGACAATGCAGAATGAGGGAAGGGACACCTCCAAATTCCTTCAGCCAGACCTAGAACCCTCTCACCAGTTTAAAAAGGGGAGAAAAATCTGAATTCTAAAGCTGTCATTACAATAATATACGAGCTTGGGAAAGACACTTAACTTTTCCTCTATGTCAACTCTCTATGCAATGTGGAGTGATAATACCAACTGGACTTGGGAGACAATTGCTGAATGATGTGTAAAGCATTTCACAATCTGGAGCATTAGCTCATAAACGATGGAGGTAGAACATTCTGTTCCTTAACCTGTATGTAGAGTATAAAACTGAATTTTAGGGTGGAGTAAAGGAAGGTCACTTTACACAATGTGAAAAAGATGTGTTCTTTCACTTCAAGGCTAGAAGTGAGAGATTTGGATGACAAGTACTTGAGTCTGCTTACAAATCTACACATATATGCAAACATGTCCCAATACCCCTGTTGGAAATAGAAGTTGTGTTACTTTATTCTTTGAGATGTGTCTGGGTAGCATTTTAATTTTCCAGCCACTGTTAATTTGGTTATTTTTCCTTCTGCATCTCAAAAAACAACAACAACAACAACAAAAAAACAAGCTTCTTAAGGATTTTCCAGTATGTTTTTTAAAACTATATTTTTTCTATCTGAAAGTTATCCAAATGCACTTATGTGTCTGGTGCAGTCTCCCTTCCAGGCTGGCCTAGCCATGTTGCTTGTTTCTTTCCTAATAGCTTTCATTTTTCCACGAAGAACTGGTAAGGTTGGAGGGAGGGGAGGTGGTGGTAGAATGAAAGGTGTCTCATGTGTTTTCTGTTCTTTAGAGAATTTGAGAAAGCAGTGAGCCAACTTACAATAGAAAGCATTTTCTTTGGCAATCTACATGGGAAAGAATCCTCTATTTTAGGATCATTTGTTGCATTGATCCTGTAAATTAGTTCTTCCTCTCTTTGATCATATAGAATCACGCAGTATCCTAACAAATATGTCTTCACATTAGGGTGAGACAATTCTCTCAATCCCAGCAGGCAGGAAAAATAGGCCAACAGGTGCCTAGGCAGGATATCCTGGGATTCAGGCTACTGCAGTTTCATGGACAAATGAAAAAATGCAGGTGTCACTGCCCTGCCCCCAGGCCAACCAGGTCACAGGGTAATTGCCCAGTTGCCTGCTGAGATATGCCCACCCTGAGCTTCTCCCTCCAGGTTCATTTTTCATTTTGATTGAGTCATGATGGCTTAGTGCCATAAAACATCTGAGGATATGCTTTGTAGGGAAAAGGTCATAAAAAACTCCAATGATGTCCCCTTCCCTAAAATCGAGGGCTCCTATGTGTAAAGGGTAGGCAAGCAGGCCCAGTTACAGGACAGTGCCTTTCTCTGCAAATGGCGGGAGCCAAATCTCCATCTTGCTAGCTTAAGAGTTGCTTGGCGGCCTTATTTCAACTGAGGCAGCACAGCTTGCTTTAGCCTTGAAGTGTGAAAACCAAATAGAGGTTGGCAGAGGGAAGAGATGGAAGATGCATAGCCTTCTTGGAGCATGAAGAGACACACCCAGCCCTTTGCAGAATGCAAAGACTTTTCCCATCCCTTCACCAGGATCTTGTCCCATGGCCACCCGTCCAAGGATTGCAACTAAATCAGCAGGCTCGATTGGGTGCTCGTCACTGGAGCTTTTCTGTTGTGGCTGGTGGGCAAATGTTTTGAACTTCCCTAATTTGAGAAGGGACTGAGCAGATGGCTCACCTTCCAACTGCCTTGGTGTGCATCTCACTAATCCCACTATCATAGCGAGGCAGGGAAATACACACACACTCACACACACGCACACACAAGTACACACACATGCGAGCACACACACACAAACACACATATGCACACATACACACAAACACCTGCAAAAACACAAACACACATAAGCATACACACTTGCACACACACAAACATACATCCTCAAATATGCACGCACGTACATAGAGGAGACACAAAGGAACAAACACATTAACACACATGTGCACACATGTAAACACACACACATGCAAACATGCAAAGTCACACATGTAAACCTACACACAGATTTGATTTGGGGGCATATAGTTTGCTCCAGTGCTCTGAGCAATTATTTAGAACATTTGTTGTCTGCCCTCTCTCTGTCCTGGGGAAGATTTTAGAAATTCTAATACGAGAGGCTGAGAAAGGAAAATATTGGCTTCTACAGTACAAACATCCCTGTCCTGAAAGAAAATGTTAATTTTCTTCTAAATCAAATGTTGACATATATCAGCTGCTACTGAAGATGTATCACTGTGGGACAAGCTCTCAGCTCCAGCGGGTGGACATCAGGCTGAAATCCCTCCTCCAAAATGCTAGCTGGTTTCTAACCTAAACAGGTTTGGTTTAGGTGTTTTTTTGAATTGACCCCCTTTGTTTTCAAAAAGCTGGTCTCTCTGGGACACCCTGAGTAGGGGAGCAGGATTCAACTTTGTCGAATGCACTGTTTTCTGCAGAAGCCTAGGCCCCTACACTGTCATCTGCAGTGATGCAGGCTCTGCTTGCATCTGCCAGGGGCACAGGATTTTAACCAAAGATGTGGGAGGGGGAAAAAGTATAGGGGTATGGAGAAATGAAGGAATCTACAGACTAAAGGAAATTTCCAGTGCTAGATGTTTTACCTATCCTTTCCCCATTGCTCCCAAAATATGCACTGTAAATATTCTTTGTTCAACACCTATGTTTTTAAAATCCAAATTAAGATTTCTCTACTTTTCCCCCCAACTAATCACACACACACACACACACACATGCACACAAACACACACACCCTTTTAACTTGTTAAGTTTGAAAGATGATGATATCTACAACCCGTGTGCTTTGCCAGAATGCACGGTTAGGGCCAAGATTAATGCAGAAGGTTGGTGCAACGTTGCCGCAGAGCAGCGTGATCAGAATACAAGATGGAGCGTAGGGGGAAAGGCCAAGAAATATGTCTGCGCTTGGAGTTTACACAAGTCTCCTTAGCAACTTGTCTGCATTTATTTTTCCCTTAATGTGTGTGGGTTTATTCCAAACCCTGAGTGAAATGGGAGTTGAGTTTCTGACAGTCCCCTATTTCCCTTCTTTGGGGGCAAAATTGTTTCATTTGGTGAGTGAGGCTTTCTCTTTTTTACCAGCTCCTTCTCCTCCCTTCCACCCCCGGCCCCTCCCATTGAGGGAGCTCTGATCCTTTGCATTGTGACTTTGTGGTCTGTTGGTAGCTTTCCAGAAAACCACCTCTCCGTGGGGGAATGAGCGAGCCTGTTTCTGATGGCTACAGCTGTGCAGATTTCTGCCACAGCCTTGCTGCTTCAAGTGCACGATCCTGTGCGTGGCACAAGTGTAAATATGCCTGTTACACGCCTGGGTTATAAAATCTGGGAGGAACAACGGCGCTCCTTTCCTCTCTATTTTTCTTTTTCTGTCTTACCCTCCTCCCTTTCTATCTCTACCACCCCTCCCCCAACACAAAGACCCTGTAATTCTAATTAGAAGATGAATATAAAGCTATTAGGAAAAAATCCTGACTTTTAGGGATTTGATATGTTGGATTTTATGTGGCTGGGCTTGCTGCAGGGGAGACGACCATAAATTCTGCAGTGGTTTTACCTAAAATTGTTTTTACCTTGAAATAGCTCTAGGGGAGTATAGATGCTGCCTCATTGGAGCCGATGCTGAATATAAATCTTCATATTTCTCTTTCTGCCCCCTCCCATTTTAGAGTCTGGGGAAAAAGGAAAAAAGAAACCTAGCCAAAAAAACGTTAAGGTTTGACTTTGGCTCTTTTACAAACAGATGTTGCTTGTCATTCTCTTGTTGTTAAGCAGGCACCAGATTGGATCAAGCAGCAGTTGTGTGTGTGTGTGTATGTATGTATGTGTGTGTGTGTGTGTGTGTGTGTGTGTGAGAGAGAGAGAGAGAGAGAGAGACAGAGAGAGAGAGAGAAAGAGTTAGGAGGTTGATGGAGGGCTAGAAAGCAAAATAACCAGATCAATATTTGGGACAAGTTGAGAGCGAGAAGTAAGGAAAATAGTCTAATACTTTTTTTCTTTCCCAACTTCAATTTGGTGAAGAGTATATAAAATCGTCTTCTAGTTGGTTGGTTGTTGTTCCAAACAAAGAGAGACATGTGGAAATCAATAGACATGGAGAGCCCTAGGTGGAGAAACGCTGACCTGCTGGGTGAAATGCAGAGAGACAGGGGTGTGTGACTTTTCCTCTGAGTGGATCTGCACCCTGGAGTAAGAAAAAAGGTCTTTCTGTTTCAGCTGAACATCTTTTCTTGGGTTTGAAGGTTGCTTTTTTTTTTTTTATAAGTATCATTTTGGACGTTCCAGGCTCCTCTATAACTTTCCCAGAACAAGACTCCATTGTCATGCGGTCAAAACCCTCAAGAAATACTCACTCTTTACATATTATGTATCTCTTTTCTTGCAGGATTCAATCTTCAAATCTTCCCAAGCCATCCTATCCACCCACTTTCTCATCTAATTGTGAGATACTTTCTCAAGAGCAAAACATAGCTTTGAACAGAAAGTGTTAAAGTTGGCTGGTGTCTAGGAAGCATTTATATAGCATATAGTTCACTTCTATTAAAGAGATGACAGTCATCTGATTTTTAAAAGTACGTGTCTGATGTTTCTATGTCAGAATCAAGGTCTTGTTATTTTTTCAAATTTCAATTCTCCTCCCCTGCTTTATTAGCAAAATAGCTAGAAAGGAAGTTGTAGGCTGGCATCATTGTTTGCATTTTAAAAAGGAAGAAAAATTGTCATCCTGAGCAAACTTATTCCTTTCAAAAGTGAAAGTAGTATACCTTAGCCAGCGCACACGATACAACTTGGTACTGGCAAAGTCTCTCTTTTGTTTCATCTAGTGTGTCAAAAGTGAATTTGCCATCAATTTCTCACTCTCAAATAGTTGATTTCTGTTATATGCCTGTTTTAAGTGAATATTAAGTGGGTTTAAGATTTTTTTAATTACAGAAAAGTAAGCTCACTATTCAAATAGTCTAAGAGTGTCTTTTGTTTTCATCCGATCTATCTTCTATTATACCATTTTCCATCTTTTCTCTTTGCTTGATCTACACACACTTGCATTTATCATTTTCATAAAATATTGTTTAGTGTGGGCAGGGTGTGGTGAGATGAAGATTATAAATATCCATCAATCTTCAGTGTTCCATTTGCTCGAAAGAAACATGAAAGCCATGGCATTGCTTTGCCATTCTCCTCGCTCCCTACTGCCTTCTGGCCAGTTTTTCCTTGTAAAAAGGAATGAGTTCTACCTAAGCTAACTGGTTTTGATGCCAAAAGCCTCTGCGTCATATCCTTGAGCGCTGCTCCCACTCTGTGGTCTGATATCCTTGTGGCAATGTCCCAGGTGGATAAAACGTGGCACGACAATTGGCACCAATGAATTACTCTTGGAGTAGCAATTGCTGGATGTGCCTCTTTTGTTGAGGTGATTGGATCTTTTGGCAAAAACCAGTGACTGCAAAGGATGAGAGAAACGATCAGAAAAACTGAAAAGCTGTAGGAGACCAAACACTAGTGTCTCCCCTGCTTCAGGGGACACCCACTGTCAGAGTGAACGACAAAGGTTAGATTTGAACAAGCTTTCTTTCTTTCTTTCTCTTTCTTTCTTTCTTTCTTTCTTTCTTTCTTTCTTTCTTTCTTTCTTTCTTTCTGTTTCTCTTTCTTTTCTTTCCTTTCTTCCTACTTTTTCTTTCTCCTTCTTTCTTTCTCTTTCCTTCCTTCCTTCCTTTCCTTATTCTTTCCTTTTTTTCCTTCTCTTTATTTTTTCTTTATTCTCTATCTTGCTCTTTCTTTCCTTTCTCTGTCTCTGGCTCTTTTTCTTTTTCTCTCTTTTTTCTTTTCTCTCTCTGTGCCGCTCTCTTTTCTCTTTTTTTCTCCTTCCTTCCATCCTTCCTTCCTTCCTTCCTTCCTCCTGTCCTTCCCAGATAAAAAATATTATCTGGTCAAACTGTCCCATCTGTTTGGGACAAAGGAGATCCACTGAGATTTTGTACAAGACGTACATTTTTAAAAAGGAAGGGGGGTAGAGGGCAGGAAATCTTTCCGTTGGTGTCGTTCTGCTGATGTCACCATGGATTCAGTGTTCAAGTCCACAGCCAGGCAAAACTCAAATAAATTTTCCTTTTTGCAAGCAGCTGCACTGTGAGTTCGCCTTCCATTAGTAAAGGGACAATGAAGGGAAGGCGAACCCCGCGTCCAAAACATGGCCAATGAAAGGACACTGGAATGGAAGCCAGGAATCCTGCTGTGGTGGAGAGGCATAGACTCATGAGTCCACCACAATCGGATACTTGCTTCTTTTTAACAGCCCTATCAGCCGAGAGAAATAATGACTCCTGAATCATTTGACAGTAAAAAAGTTAAAATGATGTCTCAATGGCGCTGCATCATGCCAGGTAATCACTGCCCAATTCATTGATTATTCCTTAAACTATTCTTAACCATAGATAGCCTATCTCTTCATCATGCTTAGCAAGTGAGTGGTTTGGTATAAAACATTTGTACAAAAGTATGGGAGTATTCCGAGACTTCACATTCCTATTTGATCATTTTTCTGGTAAAATTGTTCTCAAGGTCCAAGCGTAGCCAGGGGAATTCCAGGAAAGATTTGTGAAATTACTTATTTGCAGAACCTATTTATTATGCGTAGTTCTGGAAATGAAGTAAACATAATGGTTCCCGATGTTTTTCTAGAAATAGTTTTATTTCAGTTTTTGTTTTTCTTTTTACTCTTGTTCTAGTGTTACTTTCAACTTTACAAAAGAGTTGGGTGGCAAAAAAAAAAAAAAAAAAAAACAACTGAAAAACAAGTAAAAATTCTTAACCCATTTTAAAATATTGTAAATGTCTTATTTTCCAGACGCGCGTGGATGATTTGAAGATATTAGCCTAACAAGATGGAAGCAGGTTTAAAATTTTACATAAGAAGTTACCTTTTTCAGGTAATGGTGTTTTTCTGTAATTTTCCCAAACCTTTCGCTTCCTCAAGTATTGCAAATTTTTAGGGCATGCTTGAATGATTTAATTATGAAGAATAACTACATTTTAAACTTAATTTTTTAAAAAAGAAACCAGTTTTATAATTTTCCTAGCCAAGGAGTAGAGCAGGCATGACATTCAACTCTATGGAGTTTGGAAAATTTTTAGAAATTTATTACTGAACAGCACTTGGTTTTTTGGATTTGAAAATTAAGCCATAGAGCTACAACTAAATTCTGTTTTGCCAAACTTCACAGCACCAGCAGGCTCTGAGCAATCATAAGCATTTGAAACTAGCAGGCACTGCCCCTTAACTCTGTCGCTATCTTGGGCATTTGAATGAAAAAATATAAGTATTACAGGATTGGCTCTAAAAAGCCTACCATGTGTTCTGAATTCCTGGAAGATAGAGCTTATATAAATTACATAATAACAATATTGATTTTTTTTTTTACTTTAGTCATAGATTGGCAATACTATATGGCACTTTATGAAACTATTCCCATGCATATATTCAGTGAGTAGGATTTGATCTTAGCTTTCATGATACAGGCAGTTTCCTTTTAGTGTCATTGAAGGGCTTTATGCCACCTAAAAATGTTTAATAACATAAATTATATATTTGCTTTATAAGTTACATTACTCGGCCTTTGTCACTGCTTATCAGCATTAACCCATATTTTCCAACTTGTTAATATTACTAAGAGAGCCCACGGATTCTTGCTTAATGAAGCAAGCCAAAATTTCTTCTGAAAAAAACCCCTCATTTTCCTCCTCAACACAAAGAAGATTCTTAAAGGACGTATTCAATTAATACTTTAAGAAAAATATCTACTCCCAAACAAACCATCCCTTTACTAGGTCAGTATTTGATTTTCTTCTCGTTTTTTTCCTGCAGCCTGGGTATCTTCTGGTTGCTCTTTTATTTTCTAAAATGGAAACTTTGGATTGTTTGGAGGTTAACACTACAAACCATTTGAAATGAAAAACTTCTCTCTGTTCTATATTTGCCAAGGAAAGGGAGAGCTGCCCCCAGCTGAAACGCAGCATTGAGCTCCTTTCTGTGGAGGTCAAGAGCGCCATGCAAATTTATGAAAGTGGTGCTATTTGAATGTCTCAGTGTACCACTTTGATAGATCTTAGTCTATCGCTAACAAATATTGTATCGTTCTAGTAAGCGTGATGATAACAATTCATTCTCATTACTCTGGGACGTTGGGCTTATTCTGCTCCATTATAATAGGAGCACCTACATCCCCCACATTCCAGCAATATTTAACAGGGTTCAAAGTGGCCATCCTCAAATACCTCTAGCCCCATGCCTTTGTCAGAGAGACGGAAGGAAAAGAAGCAGCTCAGAGCTTATTTAAAAGTCTTTTATTTTAGAAAGGAAATGAACATTTTAAAATAAAATAAATAAAGACCATCTGGGGGTGACTGATTTGGATACTACTTACTTCCACTTGCTATTGTTATTTCTTTGGATCTGAAAATTAAGCCACAGAGCTACAACTAGATTCTCAGTTTTGCCAACCTTCACAGCACCAGCAGGCTCTGAGCAATTGTACCACAGCTCACTTGTGATGAGATGGGGAAACAACAAAGTATCTATGAATGGTTATGTCTCAGTTTCTGTTCATCGTACTGTTGGTTTCCTGTTCTCTTTATTTAACTTTTTAGGTTGCATACACGAGGGCCTGCTCTTTTCTCTGAATAATTCCTCAATTCAGCTCTGTCTTTTTTTGTTCCCCTTGGTAGGGCTTCAGTTCATCTCCCAGATTCTTTTTTTTTTTTTTTTTTTTTTTTTTTGAGACAAAATCTCACTCTGTTGCCTAGGCTGGAGTGCAGTGGCACAATCTCGGCTCATTGCAACCTCTGCCTCCCAGGCTCAAGCAACTCTCATGCCTCAGCCTCCAGAGTAGCTGGGATTACAGGCGCACGCCACCATGCCCAGCTAATTTTTTTGTATTTTTAGTAGAGACAGGGTTTCACCCTGTTGGCCAGGCTGGTCTTGAACTCCTGACCTCAAGTGATCTGCCAGCCTTGGGCTCCCAAAGTGCTGGGATTACACACATGAGCCACCAGTGCCTGGCCCCAGATTCTTGAGAAAGGAGTGAATGTCCATTTTTTGAGGCAAATGAGATAATTATTTTGAGAGCCAGGATCCATAATTATAGCTAACAAAAGTTAAAAAGGTCTCTTTTTAGGTCCTGTAAAGGGATGGAGTCATGTGTGTTTCCCAGCATCTAGGACAGGGAGTTATTTAGCTGTATAATATATGTCCCTGAAGTGCTTATGATTATGCCTGTCTTCAATACAATTCACAAAAGGCGTCGTTAATGAAAGTCCATTGTCTTGGATGTTCCCTTCTTATATGTAGAACATTGGCTTTGCAGAAAAAAAATGTTATGTTGACAAATGCAATCATTTTATAAGAAGGTCTCTGAAACAGATTCATCCCTGTTTTTTCAAACAGTATTGCGGGGGGCGGGGGGTGCGGGGGGAAGGAGGAACAACTATGTAATTTCTTCTATGGTTCAAATTTTACAGAGTACACCCAAACTTGCTCATTGTTGGTGTTTGAATCAATAATAAGTGTGGGGATGGGATGGGGGTGGGAACAAAAATGCAAACTTTTCCCGAAGATGGATCTTAATATACCTGAAAATCTACTCTAGAGTGGTTTTCAAAAAAAAAAAAAATATACCTATAAATCCGTTGGTAGTACTTGCTAAGTTTATTCTAGTTGTTTTCCAGAATGCAAATAGGAAAATGAAAATTTCACCATCATTTTTAATGTAATGACAGGTATTTAAAGGAATGGACTTGCATTTGGGCTCTCATGTGTTCTTTCTCTCTGCCTACAATTTAAAGAATTTTCTTTATTCTGCTGGTTTGCCATTTTGGTATCACTTTGCCCAGATTATGTGTTCAGCAGTGAATAAATGAGTCTTCCATATATAAACAGTAAAATGATGAGGTTTACCTAAAGTCCACTGGATTTGTGGAAAAAGTGGAAACCAAGGGAAGCACGTTGGGGAGAACATAGAAGATATTGCTTAACTTTTGCTTTTGTGAGAGTGGGACGAAGTCCTTTCCATTTATGGCATAAAACAATTGAATGGTAGACTCTTTTATTGGATTAATGGTTGTAATATTTTATTTTCAGACATGTCACAGCCCCAAAAGAGAGAAGATATTGAGGCCTGTTGCCACAAACCCGTAGATCCGAACTTGTGGTATTAGTCCGCACAAGCTTGTATCTATAGGTATGTGTCTGTTAGGCAATCTCACGGACCTGGGGCTTTGCTTATATGCCATTCAATATCCCTTCGAGTTATTTCATTCTCCTTCTCTTCCCCTTAGTTTCCTTTAAGAGTGATAAAAATGGAAAAGGGGGCTGAGGTGGAGGAAGGAGACCTTTTGTCCTGAAATGAATGAGGTTCTTCAATGATGAATTAATAGGCTGGCCCTCAATTCCCATATCTCTTGTAACTGGTCTCTGCTGTCAAATTAGAAGGCTGAGCTTACAGGTGAGGCAGCAAGAATTTGAGTGATTGGAACAACTTACTGTTGAGTGATGAGTAAAGAGATAAACAAGGGTTTGTTTTGTTTTCTGTAAGCCTAATTGTTTTCAAAGTTATTATGATATTTTCTGGAAAGTGGCAGATGTGTTTACAGGACCAATTTCACCGTGATTTGGGTTTTTGGGTTTTCCTTTGTTGCAATTCTTCCTCCCCCAATTTCCCCAATAATTTTGCTTCTGAAGATAAGGACTGATAAATCAGAATGGATGTGTTTAACTGCCTAACTATTTATACTTCTATTTATATCCAGCAGTGTAAGAAGGACTTCTTATAAAAAAGAGATCGCCTGTTTAGGTCCAAATTCATATTTGGCCAGAGCTGTTTTATAAGTCTTTATCCTGTTTAAAACGCTGGAATGAAAATAATTTTATCCTCTTGCCTCTTAAATGTCACCATTGTGCCAGGATTGAAAAGCTAAACTGACCACAGATCAAAGCAAAACTGGCTATATTTGTTTCATTCCAACAATGTGAGCTGAGGAGTCTGTAAACAGAACTAGAACCCAGGGTGAAAAGTTGATCAGATTTGGATGACTCTAAAACTTTTGCATGCCCTTTTGGTAAAACATAGTGCCAGAAGTTCCCTTAAGATGTGTGTGTGTGTGTGTGTGTGTGTGTGTGTGTGTGTGTGTGTCCTCTTCTAACAAAAAAAGTCAACATGAAGTAGTTGGTGGGTTAACATTAGAGAAAAGTTTGAAATTCAAGTGGATAAATTCTGTCTCCTCTTAAGACCTACTCAGGAATAACTAAAACTCTTTCTTTTATCCAGTATATAGAAATGAGATTTTGCATTTCCGAATTAGGACAGCCTAGATACAGATGACATATGTATAAAGGGTAGAATTTGGAATTCTGTAATTGCTAGACCAAGACGACATTGTTTCCATGCATTTCCTTTGCATAGCACTGAGGAGGGTTGTCTATGGTGCTCAACCCCCTGCTTGCCAAGAAAGCATTGCTTTATTATAGAATGATGGCATATTACAACCCAAAGTGAAAGACTGTCCTCATTGGTGTGTGTTGTATAAATTGTTTGCCTAAGGCCTTTATCTACACAAAAAGCAAACAATTTGCTTGGTTAGTTTTATATGCCTCTTTGAAGTGGTTAACTTGGAATGAATAAACTGCTAGCAAGTTAAATCAGTACCTCCACTAGATAAATACTTGTTTGATAACGGCAAAATCACATCTCTACTCATCATCCTTTAACCTGCTGTTAAGTGTACTACCATGGGATTAGCGGTGGAGTTCATGGATCCATGGGGACCATGAGCTCCCAGTATTCCCCGTACAGGAACAATACTGGGACTGCAAAATGGCCAGTGGGTGACTGCCAGATTACTTCTTTTAAGGAGGTTTTTAAAAACACATTATCCCAAGAAAAAAAGATTATATAGAGCAGTTGGCCCTTTCAAAGTTTCTAAACGGCTTCAAACTTTGATTCATCTGGTTAGAAAATATTCTAATGGGAAGCCCAAAGCCCCTGGACATTGGCCACAAGAAACAGGATATTAAATATTTTACATGATGAAATTCAGTATTTTTCCCTCCTTCCATGTTCATGAATGAATGGTTCTGTAGATATTAATTATTCCTTTGAGGCTCCCTCAGAGTGTACCAAATATCCTACAGGAATCATGCAGAAAGTAAAATAATTTCAGAATTTCCCCAGAAAGGCTTGGAAGAAATATTTCAACAGCTATTATTGCATGGAGGAAATGGAATGGGTATAAAGCAAACTAGTTTTATTAAATTTCTCAAATCATCACTATCAAAATATATTTAAGATGTAATACCAGGACATGGTTTAGATTTGTTTTTTTAAAACAGGAAAAGAAACTTATTCCGAGAAATGCATTTGATAAAGCAACTCACCCTGAGCAACTCACCCTGCAACATCAGAGTTTGAGGAGGGAGAAGCTGAGATTTAGCTTGAGAAGTTTTCTTATTTATATTTCAAAATTAATAGATGTATTTCTTTACATGGGAAAAATGGTATGTGTATGATAGAATTAATTTTGAATTTTAAACTAATATGATTTCTTAGTTTTCCAATGTGCTTACGAATCATTCCTCAATATTTGTTAGGTCCTGTGGATCCTTATCTGTTGACTATGGTATTTAATCCCATCAAATGCCACCTAGGCTCTCTAATTAAGATTTTTAAAGCCTCTACTGCCTGTAATAGCACTGAATTTGTACAGAGAAGTCGATGTGAATGACTCTTCAAAGATATTCAAAGATTTATTAGAACCTAACATGGTAGTTAATAAAGTATGAATTGGAAAAAAAGTCACTTTTTACATTGGGCATAGCCGTAAGGCTAGAAAAATTATGATTTCTTCATTCTCTCATTCATTCAACAAACCTTTATGAATGTTTACTTTGTGTTCAGCACTTTGCTAAAGGACAAAGATATGACTCTGGCTTCAAAAAACTAATTATCTGATCAGGGGCCCCTTTGAAGAATTGCGTGTCAGCCATACTGACACATGTTTTAATGAATCCCATGTTTTAATCAAAACATTTGTCCAACTTCCAAATGCCTAATCAAATATAGAATATGTTTACTAATGGGGTGTCTCTGCTGTTTCCTAATCTCAGACACTCATAGCATTGTTTGAGGTTTATCCTTACTTCGTTTGGAGGATTGCTGCTGGCAGCACTTAAAACCTCGGTGTTTGATAGCATGAGAGTCTGTTTACACGTGTTCAGAGAATGTATGGAAGATTTTTTTTAAGTTAATAAGTACAATAGATTGTCTCTACCTGAAGATATACTACTGTTGTTCACCTATAAATACTACTTCTTGTTTTATTTTTCACTCGTACTTTTCGATAAGAATTTTTATGACATCATTCCATATCATAATTGCATGTTGTTATTACATGCCTACAAATATTTACACTAATTATGTAATGAGCCATAATTGCACTAATACATGATAATGGGCTAAAATCAGTGTAAATAAACAAGGAAATTCACAACCAAAAGAGCAGGGTATTGAAAACCATTAGTATTCTAAGAGCAGCATCTTTATATCTTTGACCCCCAGAATAAGAACGTACATGGAAAAAGATCAATTTTTCCATTTCTGGGTATTTAAAAGCCCTCTGAACTGTATGTTGTGGCTGATTGACTAGCACTCTAGCACATGGATCTTATCCTCTCTTTGTTGTGTCTTCCTTTGTCAACACTTACTGCCCTTCCCCTGCCTTGTGTCCCATTCATAAGGGTTATATATCGTGATTGTGCTTACAGAGTCAGGCACAGTGTCACTGCAAGGTGAATGAAAAAATTCAAATTAAGAGGAAAGAAAATGAATTATATATTCTTTTTTGGTCACAGTAAGTGTTAAATCTTCTACATAAGTGAGCATCTAGTAGCAGAAGACTTGGAAATACATCTTGAGTTTCCATAGGAGATCTGGGATTTAAGGTTAAACCGGCCAGGTTGAATTCAGCCACTCTGATTTTTTGCCCTCTCTGGAATCTTAATAGCAAATCCATCTTACTATGAGTGAAATTCTAACATAAGTGGAAGAACAAAGGATTGGACATAAAAATAAAAATGATCATCCCTTAACTGTAAGTTCATTTATACTCCCATTTATCCATTTATGCATATATTCTTCTTTTCATTTGACAAAGTTTTTTTTTTTTTTTAAATTTCTATATGTGCCATCTACTCGCCATTGCAGATAATACCAGATTGGCAAAGGTGAATTATGGGGTCCCATTTTCACATAGCTTGGGGTCCAGCGAATGAGACAAACAGATAAACTATAATGCAATGATGTGAGAATTAAAGCATAAATGCATATATGAAATTGTGAGATAATCAGAGGAAGAACTCTTTCAAATGAGGCTTGAAGGATGAATGAGAGTTTTTTTTTTTTTTTGATAAAACTAACCTCCCAGTCTTTCTCCCAAACTAGGTAGCCTTGATCTAACAGAGGCAGCCCCCCCGCTCCGCCCCCCAAAAAAAGCAGTTTCACCTCATCAAAGCATAAGGAAATAGGGTTGGAAACATTGGAAAAAAAATCACTTTTCTCCAGGCTAGTGGAATAACATGAAGAAACATCAATGCTATGGCATTTGAATCTGTCTTTTGAACACGATCAGTGCAGTAGAAGTATCAGGAAGATTCTCAGTGTGCTCAGATGTGCCTCCATCTCTATTTGCCTAGGCTGACCTAGCTCCTTTGTAGCACAGCCTTTACTGGGCAAAACCAGAGTCCAGCTAAGCAATGAGGAGAGGTGGCTTCTGATAGACCACAGAGCAGTCCTTGTGGGAAAATATAGACCTGACCAAACTTGAGTTTACATAGAAATGAGAAGTTGCTAAGCTTGTAGGAGCCTATCTCCTGCTCCAGCACCTGCCTGGGACTGAAGATACAAGAAAGATTCAGTTTAAAATTATGAGGTGGGTGTATCACAAGGTCAGGAGTTTGAGACCAGCCTGGCCGACATGGTGAAACCCCGTGTCTACTAAAAATACAAAAATTAGCCGGGCATGGTGACACACTCCTGTAATTCCAGCTACTCAGGAGGCTGAGGCAGAAGAATCACTTGAACCAGGGAGGCAGAAGTTGCAGTGAGCCAAGATCGCAGCACTGCACTCTAGCCTGAGTGACAGAGCAAGACTCTGTCTTGGAAAAAAAAAAAATTACAAGTGCAAACAGGGAAATAGGCACATTTTGTAGGTTGTTGAATAGACTGTTGGGGACAGATTTATGAGAAATGCTGAAACAGTCAACTCTGGAAAAAGGAGCACTTTCTAAATATGAGAATTATGTAAAATACATGATAAATATTGTTGGGTGGATGTTCAATATAGCTTTTGCGGTATTTCTTAATCTGTATTTTGCTCAGAATCATGTTTTCTATGTCTTTTCACTGTGTTTTGGTTTAAGCCATTTCTTCTTATATATCCATCTTTTAGTGATTCCAGTTTTTCAGTTTTACCAGAGGAACATTTATTTTTCTAATCTTTTTTTAATTGCCCAAGTTTAAATATTGTTCTACTATTCTATTTCGTCAACAGATATCAGAAGGCATTAAATTGTTCAGAATCACCATTATGTAACATTACTATAATTTCCATGCACAAATAGTTCAAGAAGGCCAGTCCCAAGTATTTGCTCCCTTCATGTTTTCATGGTAATCTCAAGCCAAGGTTTTTGTGTTATCTCTTCTATCATCAGACTCTTTGATATGTTGTCTCTTATGAATGGCCCAAATAGGTGACAGCACGATGAATCATTATAAGACTAACTTGTAATTTCCCTGCTTAAGAAATGGTAGTTTTCCAGCCATTGTGACTGCATGCTCCCAGGTTGAGGTAGTAGGTTGTATAGTTTAGAATTACATCAAGGGAGATAACTGTACAGCCTCCTAGCTTTCCTTGGGTCTTGCACTAAACAACATGGTGAGAACGATCATGATTCCTCCAGGCCTTTTCTCCCTATGAAAGGTAAGATTGGGTACGATTATTTTATGGTATTTTAGAATTCAAGTTTTGTTTAATCCTTGTACCCATGCTGTATTTTCATATTCTGTTTCCTCGGGTTAGATTTTGTTTTAAGAAAAATGTGAGGCTTTGAGGGATTCAGTATATCAGGTGTCCATTGTCACAAAAATGCTGCATAATAAACACCAAATTGTCACAAAAAATGCAGCATTGTCACAAAAAAATGCTGCATAATAAACACTACAAAGCCTCAGTGGCATACAATAAATGCATATTTAGCTCATGAGTCTGTGTATCTGTGATTTACACAGGTTTTCTGGTCTTGCCTGGGCTCATTTCTTCTGGCTGTCAGCTCTAAGATGGGGTCACTAGATTGATGGGGGCAGCTAATTTCTGTGCTATGTGTCACATCTGACAACAGATTAGTTCTAGCACATTCTTATGGTAAAGGCAGAGGAATAAGAACAAGGACAAGCCAAGTGACTTAAGGATCTTACAAGCTTCTGCCTGCTTTGTATTTGCTAATATCTCATTGGTCAAAGGAAGCCACATGGCCAATCCTGAAGGCAGAGTGGCCACTACTACAAAGTTTCATGGCAAAGGACATGAACTCAGGAAGGCATTACAAATTGGGGCTGTTTTTTTGCAACTGTATTGCACTTTCTTAGATATCATCAAATTAAAAGAATTTTGTACTCTCCACTCAAGGAAGTTTCCAAGATAAAGAGCCATGTTTTGGAATTCACATTTTGGGTTTTAGGCTAAGCTGGTCTTTGAATGCAATTTTATATCCCTCTTATTGAGATATGCTCTAGCCAACCTCTATGAAAACTTCTATGGAAAAATACCAAAAGACTGGAATAGTAATAATGTAGAGATTGATTATCTCAAAGCATAAACTTGGTCATTTCATAGTGATAACCAATGTCATGAACAACAGACATTTTACCTGTCTTAGATGGAAATCCCACAATCTACAAAGAGCATATGAGCAGCCAAACCAGCACTCAAATCCAGATCTGTCAATTAGGAAGGAGTTAGTTGTTCCATGTCTGGATACTTTTCAGTAGAAAATACAGATGGGTAGTCAGAAGGTACATAATGAGGTATTTAGTCCATTTTATTATTTTCTGGTAGTTTAATGTACAAAATATGTCAAAGGAAATGGTTATGCAGTCTGTAGTTATAGTTTCTCTCTCTCTCTCTCTCTCAGCTACCTCAAAGAAAAGATGAAATTCCCTGTGTCAGGATTTTGATTCTATGCTCAAATATTTTTATGGTGAATTACCACCAGTGATTGTCATGTTACTAAGAGGTCAAGAATAACTAGCCCCATGTCATAAAGAAGCACGGCTGAAGGTTCGATGTTACTTTGAAACCACCCTGGTACTCTGCAGCAGAACTAGGAGCAAGACTCAAAGGCTGCTGTGCCGTCTTTATTTCTTAGCTCATTCTTTCATTCTTTAGAAGGGACTATGCCTTGCTTTAGAAGATGCTGTCATTACTTTGTGACATTTATTATGAGTTTAACATTAAGCATACTTGTTACCTGTATCTGTGTTGGATGAGTTTGTATATTAAACATCTGTAGCCACTTGACACAGATGAGGACCTACTTATACTGTTTATACATTTATAAAGCTTCTTTTTTTAAAAAAAAATCATGTTATCTTTTTCTACAAAACAATAAGATCCTCTCCTTTTCAATGGGATAAACCTGAGTGGGTTTACACATCCATGATTCCCAAGAGCAAGCTAGTGTTTGGGATACCCTGCTTCTGAAGACAAAGTAACCTTACTAGGATTGAATTTCTACTGACTTTAGTAATGAGGTTTTATCTACTAGAGTTTAAATAATGCCTTATGTGCTTTTAGAATGGCTGTAGTGTCTAGGAGCTCACATTGTTTTGATTTTTAGCCAATAGCTCATGGTGGGACAAAGAGTTTGAGAATGCAAGGAAAATAGATAATGTTGGAAGCCACTTTAGATACCATCTTAGTGTGAATTTCAGCAGTAGTGGATGGGTAAAGTATTTTCCAAAATAATGTATCCCTTGTCTTCATCTTTGGTGAGTATGTGTTCTATTTCCTCAGGGAAACTCTTCACTGAATTTTATGTAATGGACAGTCATTTTTAACCCCATAAATCCCAAATACATCATTTAGACAAATGGCCATAGTATCTTCTAGGAATTAATCTCAGGGTTTAAGAAGGAAAAGAGGAGGCCAAGACAGGGTGGACCACTTGAGGTCAGGAGTTCAAGACCAGCCTGGCCATCATGGTGAAATCCCATCTCTACTAAAAAATACAAAAGTTAGCCAGACATGGTGGCATGCACCTGTAGTCCCAGCTACTCGGGAGGCTGAGGCAGGAGAATCGCTTGAACCCAGGAGGCGGAGGTTGCAGCGAGCTGAGATCGTGCCACTGCACTCCAGTCTGGGTGACAGAGCAAGACTCTGTCTCAAAAAAAAAAAAAAAAAAGGAAGGAAAAGAAACTTGTAGTGGGATACACTTTTACATATTTATCAAGAAATTATATCTCTATGGGTGGTACATATGTTATTTTAATTTTTCAGAATCTGTTAATCCAGCTATTTTCCTAGTTCACTGATGAGCTTCAAAACGTAGAAACACTGCTGGCATCTTGACCTTCTTCATCCAGCAAAGAATGTTTTGCTGACCCAATTTAAGGGGACTGGTCATTTAGAATAGTGAGTTTATAAACTTTATTGAAGATGGATCATCTGTGCTCCTTAATTAGCAGGCATAAGATTCTTTCCTAATTGGCTTATTAATAGAGATACTAAAGCTAGCATGTAACAGTGCAAGCAGCCCCCTTCTTATACCAGAAATGTATTTACTTCTAAAGACAGTCTTGTGAGGACAAACAGTAGCCTTCTCTCTAAGTTGACTTTGGCATATTGTCTTCTCTGAGCTTTATGAAGATCTTAGGAAAAAGGAGTAAACCAAGTTTTTCTTAATTCAAGCAATATATATTTCCTAAATATTTAATATAAGTTCCAACTACAAATAGAATAACAACGTAGGCCACTGCTATTCTTTCTAACCAATCCTTCAGGGCAGATGCTGCTGTTAATACATGGAACACACTCTAGGGTAGCAAAGTTTTACATAATCAAATGCTTCTTTACTCCAGAAGTCCAAGTACTTAAGCTGAGGGTAAGAAATCTGAGGATGGCTTCCCATCTTTACATAAATACATCAAGTTTCCCCCTTTAATTGTAGGTCACACAGCCTATATTTTTAATATATTTTAGTTCCCTTCACTAATACAGAACCCTTTGATGCAGCACACAAAAAAGTTACATTTTAGAAATAGGGATATTGTGACATTGAGCAAGGTCCTATAGATCTTCCTAGTACAATGGTCATTCATTCAACAGAAGCATGCTTGACTCGTGCATGTAAAGAGAATTCACCTGGGGACATGAGTACATGAGTGCTGGTACCCAACCTGGTTCTGCCATAGTCAAATCATTTAAACATTATGACCTCCACTCTTCAAATATGTAAACTCGTGGAATGAAACGCAATAGTTTCTGTGGTACCCATAATGAATATTCTGCAATTCTGGGATTGTCACTCAGTAATCTTTGATTTCATGAGTAGACTCTTACTTCTTTTTTTCTTTTTCTTTTTCTTTTTTTCTGAGACGGAGTCTCACTCTGTCGTCCAAGGCTGGAGTGTAGCGACGCGATCTCAGCTCACTGCAAGCTTCGCCTCCCGGGTTCGCGCCATTCTCCTGCCTCAGTCTCCCGAGTAGCTGGGACTACAGGTGCCCGCCACCATGCCCGGCTAATTTTTGGTATTTTTAGTAGAGACGGGGTTTCACCGTGTTAGCCAGGATGGTCTCAATCTCCTGACCTCCTGATCCGCCCGCCTCGGCCTCCCAAAATGCTGGGATTACAGGCATGAGCCACCGCGCCCAGACGACTCTTACTTCTTAGACTACATATCCTCCTTGTCTTATAGCGTGGAAGGGTATTTCCCCAATTCTATCTCTGCACTGTCAAAGGGACATGAGCAGAATAGTAAGGAACATTTTCAGTAATGGTTGCCACATCAAACTACTAACGCTGAAGGCCATATTAAGGCAATGGAAAAAGTAGCCTGAGAAGAAAGTAAATATTAATCCCCTTGTTCGTTCCGTGGTTTGCTGATGGCTAAGGTAATAAAGAAAAGTAAATTAGTTTCTGCCAAGTTAATGTCTATGATCAGACACTGAATATCATTTTACAGTGTAGATTATCTCAGTGGTGAACAGGAGGGACTGTGTCAGATTCACCACCTCCTTCCCTGGTTCCCGTTTGTGCTCTTTCTGAACAAAAATTATGTGCTTCGTGCTCCACCGCCAACTGCAGTATGGAGCACATGAGAGCTTCTGTGGCCCTTCTCAACCCTTTTACATCAGTCACAGAACTCCCACTGTTCTGTGCTAATGCAAAATGCAATAACGTTTAGCATCAGGACATCTCTGAGTCAAGAGGTTAACGGAAAACACATCTCCCATTGTGTTCCTGCAGCTCTGATACTGTTAATGGCGAAAACACCATGGAGACAAATAGATCTCTCTTTATTCAGGAAGCTTTGAGTGAAGAGAAAGTATATATGACATCTTTACAGCATGAGAGCCTCTCTATATGGTGCATTAAGGAGGGTGGAGGAGGGGAGAAATTCACGTAGCGTCATGTTTAATATGGCTTGAGCCTTGTCTAGAAGATGGATTCTGTCTTTTTCATTTTCTTTCTGTTGCTTTAATAAATCGTTCCAGTTCTGGCAGGGGAAAATGAGACTTAACTTCTCAAGATACAAATTCAGGGAAAGAGGACTCTTTGAATAAGCACAGTAGAGACTTTATGGGGTATTTCCTAAAATGTGATCCAAATAAATGTTTGATAACATAGCCACCTCTTTCTGACTTATCCTACTTTGTGCATCTTGCCTTTCTCTTCTGAGTGCTTCAGGTAGAAGGAATGTGGATCAATATATTTGTGAAAAGGAACCAAGGCAAAACAAATCAATACATTATGATTACACTGAGATTTTTACTTGAAAATTACCTGAAAGTAGACTGTGTGCTGTGTGTGGCCATCTAAAGATCACAGGCAAACACATTTTTGTGATCTTATTATCTGTTCACTTGCGAGGCTATCTCAGGGGAATCTTAGTCAAGATCACTTCTTGTTCCTATAAGACTTTAAAAAGAAATTTGTTTTATAGTTTATAAACTGTGATCAGAAGCTAAAATTAAGATGTCCCATTTCTTCAAGTGCTAAAGACTTTTCTCGCTGTGATTAAAAAAAAAAATTCTGGGTCAGGAATCCATTTTCAGGGTTATCTGCACAGTTCGGATCCCACAAATAATTATCACTTTTTATATTATATATAGTCTTTGAAACATTTGAGGGATATACATTATTTATTACTGCTAAGTCCTGCTGTCATATGACTGTGAGGGCTTTGATGAGGGGAGTGGGGAAAGAGGAGTGGGACACACATTCAGCTTTTACATTGAATCAAAAACTTTTAGACATGTTTCCAAACCAGGCTGATCACTGCAATTCTAGTGCTCTAATTGTTGATTGAATTGTACCAAGGGCAGCCAAATTTCATGTATCAAAGTTCATCAAGTCCAGGAAAGAAAGACAGCAATTCCAGAATGACTCAGTGATGAATTCTGTTTGATGAATAAGGCCTCAAGTGTTCTGTGGTTGCCATTTTTATATTTGAATAAAATGTATAGGATTCAAGTCATAACTTGAATTCCAAATTGGGATGCATGATGCTCCATGGTGAGCCTGCAGTGTTAGAGCAACATACTGCTCCTGCTCAGCTGCCAATAAGCAACTTCAAAGCATAAATGGAACATTCGTGGTGTGTGTTCTAAATCCTCGAGGGGCTTGAGAGTCTTTTAATCTATTTGTAGCTTTTTATTATTGAGTAACGAAGTGCTACTGATATACTGGAACCAATCTGCAAAACACATATTGAATGAAGCATAATTAAAGGATAGTATATCCCCCAAAGACTGAAGAGAAAGGTGCAAAATGAATTTATGGAAAGTAAACTTTTTATTATTTGCCATGACCAAGAAGCAGAGTTTTCTGGTTAATCAATATAGTTTTTAATAGAATTGCCATGTATGAGATATACAAATGACCAGTTTTTAAAATAAAGAATATATTCTGCTTAAAACTAAAACTTTTGGCTGGGCACGGTGGCTCACGCCTGTAACCCCAGCACTTTGGGAGGCTGAGGTGGGTGGATCACCTGAGGTCAGGAGTTTGAGACCAGCCTGGCCAACATGGTGAAACCCCGTCTCTACTAAAAATACAAAAATTAGCCAGGCGTGGTGGCGGGCACCTGTAATCCCAGCTACTGAAACTTCGGAGGCTGAGGCAGGAGAATCACTTGAACCTGGGAGGCGGAGGTTGCAGTGAGCCGAGATCATGCCATTGCACTCCAGCCTGGGTGACAAGAGCAAAACTCCATCTCAAAAACAAAAACAAAACAACAACAACAAAAAACTGTTTTAAATACAATTTAACATCTCCTAAGATTTATAAGTTATTCTGAATCCTGTATGCTTCAAGGTCAGTGTTATAAAACCAAATTTATCTTGTATAATTAGTTGACACATAAAAGTACAAATTATAGACCTCACTTGGCAGAATATTGGTTAAACTAGAGTTCACCATTTATGTTCTGTGGCTTAAGTTGGAAGCTTATGTTAACATTGACTGATCTTATCTAATGGGAAAGTGCCAAAATGTTCTGTTGCAAATAAAGCATTACTCTTAACCGATCTATCCAAATGTTTACTTCTGGATATAGCATATATTTATCCTGTAAGCTTGGGTGGCTCTAAATTCATCCAGCTCTGTTGGCCATTGCCTGCCTTGCCAGATCTTTTCTCTACCGTTTTCTATCTAGCTCTACGCTCTCAGAGGCGCACCTTCATGCATTGCCTCAACAGTCTCTTTTGCCCACCGGCTTCTGAGTGTGTTTGGCCCAAGTAAGTCAACAGGGAGAGATTAGAGAGAAAGTGAAGAGAGAGGTTAGGGTACTGAAGACAGAGGTTAGGGTACTAAATGCCCCTGACTCACTTCCTGTAGGCTACAGAGAGGACCTAGCTTTATTCCTTCCTGAGAGAGGCCATCTCTTGCAGTTTCAGCTCTCTCTCTGGCCTCTGATAACTACTCCCTCTTCTTGCTCTTTCAGGCCTTTGGGTGTAAGGACTTCCTGCTATTGTTAGTCCTGGGACACTTCACCATCTCTTCTTGGTCCCTCTTAACTCTGTCCAATCTTTACAAATTATCCTTTCATTAAACTTTCCTCAGTTTCCCCATGTACATGTGTGATTTTCTTGTCTAGACTCTGATTCACCATCTGAGGTCAATGTAAATGAGATAGCAGAAGTTAGTCACTCACTTTTCATCATGTGTGGGAGATGAGGGTCGGAGGAGTAGATATTTATCTTCCCTCTCATACTGTAAGCTCTGGAAGGGCAGAGACCATATCTAATACTGCCTTTATGATTTCTTGCAAAACCTGGCAAAGGGCTTAGCTCACAGTGCATGCTCAGTGCACATGGAGAGTCTCACTGAGTTCTGAAATCCTCAAATTTGTTATAGGCTTAAATAAATATAAGCTCTTGACTTAGGATGTAGACTTTAAGAAGTCAAGGGCCACACTATTTTTTTTAACAGCATTTCTAATGGAATATAATCTCTCATGATACAACTATCATACCGACTCTGGAAATTCTAACTGAATAAAAATAGAAAATTTCCTTCCTGGGTTAGGTTGATTTGTGTTTAGCTGATAAGAAATAATTCTGCTTTAAATGTTTAGATCCAGTTTTTCTAACTTTTAATTTAACGTTACCAGCTCATCCCCTACTATTCGTTAGTTTTTCCTATTTCTGTACGTGTGTGTGACTTTCACCTCTTCAGGAATATTGACAATTTTCTGAATATAATCTCAGTAGGGAAAACACGTAGGGTGATCAAAGCAGGATTTAAGAACTAGGGAATAAATGACACAGTGACCAGAATAGGTGTCTTTACTATTTATTTATTTATTTTGCGACGGAGTGTTCCTCTTGTAGCCCAGGCTGGAGTGCAATGGTGCAATCTCAGCTCACTGCAACCTCCACCTCCCGGGTTCAAGCAATTCTCCCGCCTCAGTCTCCCAAGTAGCTGGGATTACAGGCACCTGCCACCACGCCCAGCTAATTTTTGTATTTTTAGTAGAGATGGGTTTTTGCCGTGTTGGCCCAGCTGGTCTCGAACTCCTGACCTCAGGTGATCTGCTTGCCTTGGCCTCCCACAGTGCTGGGATTACAGGCGTGAGCCACCGTACCCGGCCTTTAGGATGTAGACTTTAAGAAGTCAAGGGCCACATTATGTTTTTTTAACAGCATTTCTAATGGAATATAATCTCTCATGATACAACTATCATACTGACTCTGGAAATTCTTAAGCAAATTCTTATTTCTTAAGGTTCATATTGCCGAGTCACTTTGACTTTTACCCTAATGCCAAACTTCTGTATACTTCAAGTTTCAATAATATTTCATATTTTATGTAATATAGAAAATAAAGATGGAAAATACTTTGGTTTGTAAAGCAGTAAATTGTAAATGTATCATTCATTTTCTACTCTGTACAGATTCCTGTTTTAATATCTAATTTCTCTGAAATTAGTGAAAGTAGGTTAAGAAAACCAGTGAGGTACAACTTGCCTTTTGACTTTCTTAACTGAAAGGAAACTGCCTGGCTAGTTCAAAGAGCAGATTCTTCACTGTTCACATTTTGCAAACAAGAGCATTTCTTTAACAAATGGAGGAGGGTGGACCATTGTCAATTCAGATAAGTTAAACTTTGCATCTCCCTGATAAGCTGAACTGTTTCATGATCATTTTACTAGTCCACTTGGGAAGTGACTGAAGCACTATTAGATAAGTTAAAATGAAAAAAAAAAAAGTATGGAAAATATTTTTACCAACTGTTTCTTCTTGGCTTCTTGGCAAAGATCAACAGTTATGTTCCCTATCTAGGGATTATCTCTTGTGGGCCAGACCGGATGATCTAATAGGTCTTTATAATCTCTAAATACTGTGACTTTTATCCCCAAGTGAACTACATAGTTTATTTACATAGAAACACACTCGCAGGCTTAAGGAAATGCAATCTGACTAATGCTAAAGAAAGTGAGCCAGGATGACTCAAATGACTTTTTTTTTTCTAAATAGGTTAAGTAAATTAAAATCATAGACATTCTCTCTCATTCCCCTCCAGCATATCAGTATGTAGATTTTAGATGTCAGAATTCTCCAGTAGTGAATTAGTTTTCCTGCCATCAGCGAATTACAAACGGCTTGTCCCTAAACCTTTGTCATACTTCAAGAAAGCTCTTAGACAGAGATTTGTTTTAATTTTTATTTTAATTCCACATTCTATCCCAGATACATGGAAAATTAAAAATGTTGGGAATGATAGAAAAATAAAAATTGCTAGAAAAATGCCAGCATGATAAGTAAAGCATAATCACCGTGCATTTCTACTTTATTAAGAATGTACTTTTGGTGTTGTTTGTTTGTTTTGAGACAGACTCTTGTTCTTTTGCCCAGTGCAGTGGCACGATCTTGGCTCACTGCAACCTCCGCCCCCAGGTTCAAGCAATTCTGTTGCCTCAGCTTCCTGAGTAGCTGGGACTACAGGCGCCCACCACCACGCCTAGTTAATTTTTTATATTTTTAGTAGAAATGGAGTTCCACCATTTTGGCCAGGCTGGTCTCGAACTCTTGACCTCAAGTGATCCGTCTGCCTTGGCCTCCCAAAGTGCTGGGATTACAGGCATGAGCCACTGTGCCCAGCCTAAGAACGTATTTTTGTGCCATGGGCTACATTTATCTAGACAAATGAAGCATTGGGAGGAATGTCAATATTTTAATAAAAAATTGCTTCCCCAGGACTGTTAGCAAAGACAACTCTTTTAAAAAATTTCGATAGTTTTGGGGGAACAGGTGGTTTTTGGTTACAAGGATAAGTTCTTTAGTGGTGATTTCTGAGATCCTGGTGCACCTGTCACCTGAGCAGTGTACACTGTACCCAATGTGTAGTCTATTATCTTTCACCCCCACTCCCACCCTCAAAGACAAGTTTTTTAAGAACTCTTTTTTACCCTCTATGTTGTACAAGCATTTTAGGTTTTCCCCATCAGGTAATACTTCAAATGGCCTATCTGGGACCAAAAATCAAAGCTGTTTTTATTGTGGCCATTGATTTAAATTTTTCTGTAATTGAATCTCCTTCATACCTGGCTTTGGGCCTCTTACAAGTAAATATAGGGACAGTCAAAAAGTCTTGCTTCCAGAGGGCTTAGGGCTTCTCAGCTGATTACTTGCCCAACACTTGCATACAGTGGTTAAAAGAATGTAGCTAAATTATACCTATTAAGAAGGTATAGATAATCCATATTGTCTGTAGATTGTGTTTCTAAGGTAATATAGGATAAACTTCAGGCCACTCTTTATTTTCAGAGGAGGTGTCTGGATGCTGGTCTGTTCTGATGAAAATGATGGTAGCAAGGAATTCTATCTGAGGCTTGGCCCAGCCATCGCGCTCTCTGCTTCCAGAATCCTGATTTATAATTTGGAAATCTCTTCTATTTGAGTACTGAGGAGAAAGCCTTCTAAATATAACGCATTACTTTCTGGCAGCCCATAGCTCATGGCACGATTGATTATGTTGCTTATCCTTAAGCTAAAGCATTTCTTAAAAGGTGATCATTTTTCTACTCTCTCTGTATAGTACAGCCAACCCTTGAACAACTCAGGAGTTCGGGGCACCAACCCGCACACAGTGGAAAATCCAAGTATAACATAACTACTAATAGCCCACTGTTGACTGGAAGCTTTACCAATAACATAAACAGTTGATTAACATATATTTTGTATGTTATCTGTATTATATACTAGATTCTCACAATAAGGTAAGCTACAGATGAGAAAATGTTTTTAAAAAATCATGAAGAAGAGACAATATATTTACTATTCATTAAGTGGAAGTGGGTCATCATAAAAGTCTTCGTTCTTGTCATCTTCACATTGAGTAGGCTGAGGAGGGAGAGGAAGAGGAGGGGTTGGTCTTGCTGTCTCAGGGGTGGCAGAGACAGAAGGAAATCTGCTTATAAGTGGACTCATGAAGTTCAAACCCATGTTGAAGAGTCACCTGTAAATGCTAAAAGCCCCAGTAAGTCACTCTCAACTTCTTCTGTATCAGATGATGACATCTCTCAGGGGCACTTCTGACAATAAATTCAATATGGACTGTAGTATATATTCCTTTTTTATTTTTATTTTTTGAGACCACATTTCATTCTGTTTCCCAGGCTGGAGTGCAGTGGTGTGGTCAGGGCTCACTGCAGCCTCCAACTCTCAGGCTCAGTGGATCCTCCCACCTCAGCCTCCCAGGTAGCTGGGACTACAGGTGTGCACCACCACTCCCCGCTAATTTTCTTCTTTTTTTTTTTTTGGAGAGATAGAGTCTCATTTTGTTGCCCAGGCTGATCTTGAATTCTTAGGCTCAAGCAGTCCTCTCACCTTTGCCTCCCAAAGTGCTTAGATTACAGACGTGAGCCACCACACTCAATAATATATTCCTTATCTTGCAGAGTCTTAAGGTTTATTAAGCGAGAATACCATCCCAATAAACATAATTCATTTTGTTAACTTCATTCAGTGTCTCATCACACATTCTACCTGGGATTTATCTTTTCTAAGTTTTATTTTATTTTAAATTGACAAATAGTTGTATATACTTTTGGAATACAATGGAATGTTTTGACACCTATACATGTGGAATGGTCAAATCAGGCTAATTAGCATACTCATCACTTCAGATATTTATGATATATCTTTAATCTCAATCACTTTCATATATCATGCTTTGGAATTATCCTAAAACTTGGATTTCTATTGAAGGCTACACTCAAGGTTGAGGATATGTTGTTTGGGCTGTTTGTGTCCTCTGAAGCCTAGGTCAAAGACTAGCCTTTTTCTCTGTTTCCTTCTCCCCTCCCTTAGACAGCTCTTTCTTTTGTTTTCACAGAATACTTTATTTAAACAACTAACATATCATAGTATATGATACTCAATGTTATATATGTCTATTTTGTATAGTTTTTTGAATTGTTTGATTGGATAGACACCATGTTAACCATCTTTTTATTCCCAGGTTGACTCAAATAGGTGCTCAATAAGTGTCTGTTCACTTATACAAAGTTTTCTTTTGGCAAGCAATTTTTCACAAGTCTATGATTTAGGAAATGTTAATCTCAGGTCTCCTTTATACCCTTCGTGTAAGTTCCATAGAGGTTTCTTTTAGCATCTACAGAATTTTCACCTTTCAGTTCTGCTGTTGCTTCAGTGCACATGATCCAATCTGAAACACGTTCAACAGCCAATGACACTAGGCTGCAGTTGAGGCTTAGCTTTTGAAAAGTTACCTTAGCATGTTGGGAATCACCAGAAATTAAAGGGTTCATTAAACCATAAGTATATAGAAAATACCTCAGGAAGAAATATTTTAATGCTTATCAGTACAGAACTGACTTATTTTCATTACCTAATTTTTTTTTTAAATTTTAGAGTAATCACATTCAATTTTCCTGCAACAAAACAAAACTTACTGGGGAGAAATGTCCCTTGTTAAATGGCTGGGCCTTGATGTACCCTTTTCTATATTGTTCATTAGATGTAAATAAAACCATCATAGTCATGAAATTGATAAATTGCTTTGCTTTGATGTTACTAAACTTCTACAGTTGTACCTTCCTACAGAGCTACATCTCTTAGTACAGTTTTTGAAGTTTTTTTTTTAACTAAGAAATACATTTTATGATGATGTTGATAGTGATGGTAATGATGGCAATTTATTTTGTTAGTATTCACTGTGCAAATGAAATAGAGAATAAAGAATGAGTTACTTTTTTTTCATTTAATCATAATTGAAAAGTCCTTCAAGTTAAGTGATGTGCAATTATAGTATTAACTGTGTCTAGCAATGTCTATTCAATTTGATTCATTGGATATGTTTATTCTTATGTTTTATTTTGGGTTCCTAGGAATAAAGTACATAAATTTCTATATCTGGGAAGATTTCAATACAACCCTGCCTAAAAAGTTAATGTTATAATAGTTAATCACACATAAGTTTTCTCAGTCGATTTTATTTTGGCCTGTCAAATAATTCTTAATTTACCACTCTTGTTTTCTCTTTTTTCCTATGTCTACTTACAGTTTTAATCTACCAATAATATGGTCCATTGACAATGTGTTGGACCTTGTTCAATTTTAACTGTTATACAGAGGTTACATGTATATGTGCATATATCTATACATTATGTATTACATACATATTAAGCATATGAGAGGCACATTTATTCATTCATTCATGTATTAAATAGTACTTTACTGAGCATTTATGCTAGGTGCTATGGTAAATGCAAGATTGAAATGGTATTTTCTGCTCTCAACGATCTTGAAATGTAGTGTGAAGAATAAAATAATTACAAATACAAATGCGTTAATTGCAGTTCCAAAGTGCTGTGGCGAATCCAAGGAAGAGACTATTTCCAGTTGTAAAATCAGAGTAGGCTTCATGGAGAAATGTACTTTGAACTGGGGCTTGAAGAACAGGTAAAATTTTGATGGACAGAGATGAGGGGGGCAAAATATTCCACATAAAGAGAAAAGTGCAGACAAGGGACTTGATTAGAGAGAAATAAGACGTCCTTGAGAATGCAAAGAGTCTATTTGGGCTGAGACATAGTTTGCAAATAGGTTTAGTAGAAGAAAAGGCTTTACAAGTAATCTGAAGTCAGTTCATAGAAGAATTTGAATGCCATGTAAAGGTGTTTGAACTTTTGCCAGGTAGCTATGGGGAGCATGTAGGTTGATTAACTGTCTACTTTAGATGATTAATTAGCTTATAAAGTGGACAGGACAGGATGTGGAGAGACTAGTTAGGAACTTATAGGCTCAGGTGATCTATGTATCAGTCTGAAATAGAGTGTTGGCAGTGTGTGTAGAAAGGAGGGAATATTTGGCAGATCCTGTCTGTGCAATTGGATTTCAAGTAGATCAATAAGAATAAGAACAATGAAGACTTGTTGAAAGTTGATTAGGTAAATTAATTTATTTTGCATTTAAACAATATGTGTTTGTGAATTTTTGCAGAAATAGTTGGCAGACCAGCAATGGACACAAAAAAACCAAACTGATTACCGCGATCATAGTTTGCAAGATAAAAACTTGTAAAAGATCAAAAGATAGTAGATTGTGGGGTGCTAGTGAAAGCATCATCAAAGTAACTTCCCAAGTATTGCTGACTAAATAAAGCACAGCTAGAAGAGAGTGATTGGCTGGGGGAATAAGTAGGAGTTTTTGTTTTTAGGCCATAAGTAGGAGTTGAATAGATTCAATAGAAGTGCATAGTGGGATATGTGGTAATTAGGAAGGGATTTCCTGAAGGTGAAGCAGTTGGGGATACTGACACTGAAGTTCAGGTTGTGGCTGTGTATACCGATGACTAAAATGGAAAGGAGACAAATATCACTAGCATTGATGAAGCCAGGATACTAGAGAAATCCTCAGTGTAGTCAGGATGGGGGAAAAGACCATAAAGTGAAATAGAACTAAGTTACTTACTAAGTTGCTAATCTTTCAAGAATTCCTTTTATCATTTCAAATGCAAATATCATTATACTTATTTTCTTATTGACTCAAGGTGACAGCCAAGAAGTTCACAATCATTGCATGTGTTTATAGGTACAGTCAATCCTCATTATCCATAGATTCCATATTGTGAGTTAGCCCACTCACTAAAATGTATTTGAAATCCCCAAATTAATACTTGCAGAACTTCTGTAATCATTTATGGACATGTGCAGAGTGGTGAAAAATTTGTGTCACCTGATGCCACTGTTATTTGCATTTGTATGCTTTCTGTTGATGATTTTGCTGTTTAAAATGACTCCCAAGTGTAATGTTGAAGTGCTGGCTAGAGTTCCTAAGCATAAGAAGGTTGTGATGTGCCTGATGAGGAAAATATGTGGCTAATAAACTTCATTCCGGCATGAGTTACAGGGCTTTTAGCTATGAGTTCATTGTTAATGAATCAACAATACATATTAAATAAGATGTCTTTAAACAGAAACACACATAAAACAATGTTGTGTATTGATCAGTTGACAAAAATGTGGCCAGAGGCTTTTAGGAAACGAACCCTGTATTTCCCCTAGGGGCAATGCTTTAGTATTTGTTAATTCGCTATTTGCAGCAACCATGTAGAACACAGCTATCGCGAATAACAAGAATGGAGTGCACCTTATTCATTTTGGTTCACGGTAGCTGCCTTCGTTGTTTGGATCCTCAATCAAGTTGAAAACCAAACTCATAAATCTTATTTAACGTTTTATTCTGAAGTAATTTTACACTTATAGACAAGGTGCAAAAATAATGCAGTGTTCTCATAGAGCCTTCATCTAGCTTCCCCTAAAGTTAACATCTTCATAACCATAGTATCCAAGCCAGGAAGTTAACATGGTTATACTACTACTGACTAATCTACAGACCTCATTAGAATTTCTCAACCTTTCCCATAGATGCCCTTTTTCAGGTCCAGGATCCAATCCAAGATCCCACTTTGCATGTAGTGTCACATTTGCCCAGTCTCAATCTGTGACAGTGTCTCAGCTTTTCTCTGGCTTACTACTGGTCAGATATCTGCAGACTGTCCCTCAGTTTGGGTTTAGTCTGATGTTTCCTTGTGATTAGATGGAGATTATTCATTTTTGGCAGAAACACCACCCAAGCAATGATGTGCCCTTTTCAGTGCATCTTCTCAGGGTCGATTATGGCAAGATGTTGTCTCCTAGGTGATGTAAATTTTGATTACTTGGTTAAGGTTCTATCTCTCACTTTTCTCCACTATAAAGTTACCATTTTTCTCTTTGTAATTAATAAGTGGAATATGATTATTTAACACCAAAACCTTCCACAATATTACCTTTCAATCAATCAGTAAGCACATTATCAGTAGCCAGTTCTGTGCTGAGCACAGCAATAAGGCATAATGTTAAAATGGTATTTATTTTATTTTATTTTTTATGCTTATGGATACATAATGGTTGTACATATTTGTGGGGTGCATATAATATTTTGGTGCAAGCATGCAATGTGTATCACTGATCAGATCTGGGTAATAGGATATCCATCGCCTCAAATATATATCATTTCTTTGTGTTGGGAACATTCCAAGTCTACTCTTCTAGTTACTTTGAAGTATATAATAAATTATTGTTAACTATAGTCAACCTATTATGCTATTGAGTACTAGATCTTATTTCTTCTATCTAATTGTATTTTGTACTAATTAATGAACCCCTCTTTATTCCTTCTCCCCACTGTCCTTCTCAGCCTCTGTTAACCGTCATTGTACTCTCTACCTCCATGAGATCATGAATGGGTATTCTTTTGTTCATTGGGAACTGATCATCTAGTTGGGATAATAGAAATGGCACATAGTAAACAACATCATACCAGAAAGAAACAGAAAATTACATGTGGCAAATTGTCTGACACAGAATATATCCTGTAGGAGTGATCAGGGAAGGCTTTCTGTGGAAAGTGGAAATTTGTGCTGGACATTGAAGGGAAGATAGAATTTTTTTAGTAGAACTTCATAATTCAGTTAATTCAGTGAAATATATTGAGTACCTCAGCTCCTTAAGGAATCATGCTAGAAGCCAGGGATATATAGATAAAAAATAGAATCTCTACCTTCAAAGAGTTCCCAGTCTGGTGAGAAAGCCAGAGATGTCTGTCAGTGGAAAGCAAATATGATAAGTGTTGTGTAGAGATGGGAGAGGAGAGGGCTTTACAGGTGTGGGGACTAATATTACACCTTAGAGATGAAAGGAAGATAGTCTTCAGGTTATCTAGTCTAACTTTCTGCACTCCAAGAATGCCAAAAAAATTTCTGTGATGATGTCACTCAGTCTATACTTGAAAGCTTCTAGTCATAAGAAGTTAATTTCTCAAGACATCTTATTCCACTGCTTTATGTCTCTCATGGATAGAAAATAATATTTTTTATTGAGCCAAAGTTTACCTCCTCCAAACTTTCACCCATGGGTTTAGTTCCTACCTCCTTAGCTGCAGGGAGGAAATCTACTCAGATAGTCCTTCAAAACACTGACATTGCATCCTTTGTTGATGTCACTTCTTTCAGGTTAAACATGAATAAATCTATACATTATATGTATTTCTTTATAAATCTATACATTATATGTATTTCTTTATAAATCTATATATGTATTTCTTTATAAATCTATGTCTATACTATATGTATGATTTCTAGATCCTTCATAATTCTCCATGTATTTGTCAACTGACACAGAAACCAGAATTGAAAATATTCTTGAGCTGTCCCATCAGTGAAGAACACCATGTAGCTAGCCCCTCCCTTCTTTTAGCCAATGTAAGTCTATTAACTAAGCCTAAGTGTGCATTGGCCATTTTGGAAGCAAAACACTTGACTTTGTTCATCTTTTCCTTGTAAATAAGCCATGCCCTCTCACCCTTATCCTGACCTTCTCTCCTGAGAATTTTTTTAGAATAATAATTGTACGGAGTCTTCCCCCACCCAGTTCAGTTGGAGCTTTGAATCTAACATTCAAAATGTATTTATTTATGTCACATTTGGTGCTCTTCATTTTGACCTCTTGTTGGAGTTCTCTTTGAGCTTTGATCTTGTCATCTGGCATAGCTTTTGTTTCCCTCCCATTTTCAATATCTGCAAATTTGATAAGAATGTAATCTATTTTCATCCAAGGCTTTAATAAAATAAACAAGACAGGGGGTCAAGAACAGAGCTCTTGGGAAAACCATGTAGGTCTGGTCATTTCACAATATAAAAAACTCCTGCCTGTACTTTTATTCAGCCCCTGGAGGGAAGAGTGGTGCAGGAAGAATAGGATGTGCTCGCTGACAGTGATAAGCCTGACCTAACCAGGGCCCAATGTGGCATGTTGGTCAGCAGCTTCAAATCAGGTTATACTTCGGGGAAGATGGGTCACATTATGTCACATCCAGGAAGAGTCGTTACTGTGACGATGGCAAGTCTATAATGTTTTCCTGCTTACGGAGTTTTTCTCATATTTATGGACTCATAAATATGAAATGATATAAGTTTCCAGTGAAGATTTTGGGCTTAGGGCATGATAAATTGAAAGCAGATTTTAAAGAAAATTATCCTGTTAATGAAATTCTAGGTGGACTGGAGAAGGAAGTAACCAGAGAGGGGGAAGCTAGTCAGGAAGCTGCTGAAGTTATCCAAGAGGTAAGAAGCCTAAGAGCTTAGACAAAGACAATAGTGAAAAGTGGAGAGATAAAAGACACATGTGACTCAGAAGAGCTATAGAACGTTGTCACTAAAAATGGATTTGAGGAGGCTGCGGGAGGGGCAGATCTAAGATGACTTCCCGCACATTAAATCTGGAAAAATGATGGCACAGTGGATGGCAACAAGGAAACTGGTGAGTGGATCCTGTTTAGGGCAGGGTTAGTTTTATTGTTTTTATGCTTGACTTAATGGTAATAAGAGTTAAACTAACTGGGCCAGGCGCAGTGGCTCACGCCTGTAATCCCAGCACTTTGGGAGGCCCAGGCGGGTGGATCACGAGGTCAGGAGATCAAGACCATCCTGGCTAACACGGTGAAACCCCATCTCTACTAAAAAAAAAATTACAAAAAATTAGCCAAGCATGGCGGCGGGCGCCTGTAGTCCCAGGTACTCGGGAGGCTGAGGCAGGAGAAAGGCGTGAACCCGGGAGGCGGAGCTGGCAGTGAGCCGAGATCGCGCCACTGCACTCCAGCCTGGGCGACAGAGCGAGACTCCGTTTCAAAAAAAAAAAAAAAAAAAAAGAGTTAAACTAACTGGTAGATGAGAGCGGGTGACTGAAGAGTTACCACCTGCTATATTCAAGTAGAAAATTAAATGGCCTGTGTGTGGCATGGCAGAACTGTAGGATCACAGTAGCTGTCAGCACCACTTGGTTTTCTAGCACATAGGTCTATTGCAAGATAATTCATTGATTGAACCAAAGATCACTTAACTTTGCAGATCCATTTCAGATGTTGTAAATAGCAAGTATGATTATACAATCTTGGAAATGGAGTTTGGCTAAATAAGATATGTCCAAATAATGGAATGTGTCATAGGAATACAATTTTGGACATCTTATTTCACCACCAGCAATTATTTTGTAAAAGCTATCTACTCTTTAAATAGGATAGCCTTTCTACATTTTTTCCAATGGATACTCAGTTTATAGTCCTTCTACCCCACACTCCCATACACACACCAAAAATATGAGTGCAAGGAGAGAATGAAAAGATATTAACTTGAAGCCCCATTAATCAGCCTTTAGAGAAGACCCTGTTATTAAGCTCTTGATCATCATCATCACCAGACATTCATTAAGCACCTCATTGTGTTTATGCAAAGTATAGACGCATGGGCAAAACCCACATGAGCCTGCCCTCTCTGGGCACATAGACCCTTTATGCAAGAACTCAACAGAAAATAATGTAAAAATGACCAAATAAAAGTGCTGAAATGAGCCCCTCTTCAATTACATTAGCAGTGCCTCAGCTATCCTATTTTATTAAGGAATGAAATCCCCATATAAGTAAATTTTTATAAAAACAAGAGCTTACCTACCCAGGCATCACAACAACTTCTGCCTTTTCAGTCTCTATACAAATTTTCTGCGCCTAATGCACTGGGTGGCTACAGGTCACTGTTATGAACTGCCATTGTTGAATTCTACGCTCTCAAAAGTCTTTGTCTGCTTTTTGCCTTTCAGTCTGTATTTTGTATTGAGCTGTTGGCAGTTGCTTTTTTCTGCTCTTCTTGTGCCTGCTCCCAGCTGCTCTCCCAATTCACTTGTAGTTTGTTACTCCAAAACATCTTTGGGCCAGGGGAAAAAGTTAACCAAGATTGTCATAAATTGTAAATGAAATGAGTCAGTTTCCAATTCTGAGTGGGGCTATAAAGAGAAAGTCGTCACTGTATGGTGGAAACTCTCAGATGCTACTTCGAGTGTTTAAAGTGTTTCATTTGCTCACTTCTGCATTCTAGGCTGGACTCTGGGAAGTTGAGGTTGAAGAAACACTGACCTCTGGGTAAGGGAGGGCATGTTGCCATGTTGCTCTATTTACACTATTGTAGATTAGGTCACAAATTAATTTAGGGATACAAAGCAAAGTCTCATATCTGAAAAGTGGAGACTTTTCTATAATCAATCTGATAAGATAATAATTTAGGGCTGGGCATGGTGGCTCATGCTTATAATCCCAGTGCTTTGGGAGTCTGAGGTGGGAGGATCGCTTGAGCCCAGGAGTTTGAGACCATTCTGGAAAACATAGTGAGACTTCCATTTCTACAAAAAAATATAAAGAATTAGCCAGGCATGGTGGCACATGCCTAAAGTCTCAGCTACCTGGGGGGCTGAGACAAGAGGATCACTTAAGCCTAAGAGGTCGAGGCTACAGTGATCTGTGTTCATGCCACTGTACTTCAGCCTGGGCAACAGAGTGAGACCCTGTCTCAAAAACAAAATTAGCTTAACATGACGTTATGAAAATAAAGACATTCTACACCAATCTTGAGTGCCTTATTCAAAATATACACAAACACATACAATATTTTGTTAATTTCACAGCAGGCCACTTTCTTAAACCAGAGACAAATTGTTTTCATTTCACTAACTGGGAATACTGTTGTATTCAGTGCTTCTGAAAAGTGCTATCCCCAGTAAGTCCCAGCATGGTGCTCAGGAGAGCCAAGCACTTCAGAGGAGGCTAGGCACACCACTCTGGATAGAGACAGAAAAGAGAAAGAGTCACTTTGAAAATCGCAACTTTTATTACTGAAAGATTAAGACATGCCATGATTGGCTCACTGCTTCCGGTTTTGTGTTAAGCTTCTTGATGGTTACTTGTGAGTCCTTATCAGTAGTCAGGTGGGCTTTTCATGTGTCCAGCAATATGTAGCTTTTTTTTCTTTCTTTTCTATTTTTAGATTCTTCTGGGTATGTTCATATAGATACTCTCCTTTCTCCATGCCACTTGCTATTTTAAAGAAAATATAGTAAGATTTAAAAATTATGATAACTTCTAGATTGACTATTTTGAAATATTATAGAAATGGTTTGATTACAACCCCATTAAAAAGTGGGCAAAGGATGAGCACAGATGCTTCTCAAAAGAAGACATTTATGTGGCCAAGAAACACGTGAAAAAAATCTCAACATCACTGATCATTAGATAAATGGAAATCAAAACCACAATGAGATACCATCTCATGCCAGTCAGAATGGCGATTATTAAAAAGTCAAGAAACAACAGATGCTAATAAGGCTGTGGAGAAATAGGAATGCTTTTACACTGTTGGTGGGAATGTAAATTAGTTCAACCATTGTGGAAGACAGTGTAGTGATTTCTCAAAGACCTAGAACCAGAAATATCATTTGACCCAGCAATCTCATTACTGGTCATACACCCAAAGAAATATAAATCATTCTATTATAGATACATGCACGCATATGTTCACTGCAGCACTATTCACAATAGCAAAGACATGGAATCAACCCAAATGCCCATCAATGATAGACTGGATAAAGAAAGTGTGGTACATATACACATGAAATACTATGTAGCCATAAAAAGGAACAAGATTATGTCCTCTGCAAGGACATGGCTGGAGCTTGAAGCCATTATTCTCAGCAAACTAACACAGGAACGGAAAACCAAACACTGCATGTTATTTATAAGTGGGAGCCGAACAGTAAGAACACATGGACACAGGGAGGGGAGCAACACACAATGGGGCCTGTCAGGGCGGTGGGGGGGCAGGGGGAGGGTGAGCATCAGGGTAAATAGCTAATACATGTGGGGCTTAATATCTAGGTGATGGGTTGATATGTGCAGCAACCCATGTTTACCTCTAACAAACCTGCATGTCCTGCACATGTATCCCTGAACTTAAAATAAAATTAATTTAAAAAAGAAATGGTTGATTAAAGCCACCATTCAGATTACCTTTAGTAATGTCAGCAATAAGAAAATCTGTTCTTCTGGAAAATTAGAATAGTGTTTGTATCTCCTTTTATTGTCTTTAGTACATTTGTGCAGAGCGCCCAAGAACACAACATTCCCATTTCATACATGGTTAAACTAGAACCCAGGAAGGACCAAGGGCTCAATGTCATGCTGGGATATGGATAACAACAGGCCAGGGCTGTTTAGAAGGAACAAGACTTGTAGTTTAATTAAGCAAGAGGGGTTTGGTGGCAGCAAATTAAAGTGCCCCTACAGAGGAGTAATTTACAAGAGAGGAACAAGTCTAAGCAAGTAGATAGGTTTCCAAATTCTAAAGGCAGGTGATAAATGTGGATATATTAACAAGCAAAGCTGAAAATCACTCTTAGGGATGGGAGATGTTATGCTGTTTGCTGGCACAAGTGGCTCTAGGGCTTTCGGATTTTCATAGCCACAGAGAGGTCCAAAGACAAATTCTGCTCCTCAGTGAGACAAGAACACAGATACAAAGATTTGCTCATCATTGATCCTACCTAAGGGGCATGCTGAAACTGAACCTAATATTTCTAAGTTCATTGCGCAATTTCTTCCATAAAATTATGAAGTGACTTGCAGTATTTGAAAAGTCTTTCTCTTATCTTAGAAAAATTGTTTCAAGAAAGATGAGAGCACTCAATTTTAAAAAGGATTCTGATAACACCACAAAAAGAAAAAAACTTTTGAGAAAGCTTTTTTTCCTCCCAAGCAAATGGTTTTTAAATTACTTTTGCAAATGCTTGCATAATCAGTATAGGGGATATAGAGTTATTAGGAAAACATAGCAGGTATTTCACAACACGTAGAAGCACAACATGCTTCTCTAGGAAGAGACAAAGATGATATATTTATGTAAAAATTGAATTAAAGCCAAATTTAGAAATTAATCAGTCTCTTCCCCCAAATAAACACCTTAAAAATACTTTCTAGAGCAGTAACAGTCAATATCACCTTGGGATGTTGAGATGAAATTCATCTTAAATAATAAGATTGCCATTGCAATGGTGATGGGGAAGGGGAGACATGCTATTTATGGATTGGCTACTTTGTGTTTGGGGTTTTGTTTCATTCCACATTTAAACTTCCCAACAACCCCATAAATGAGGAAATGTTATTTCCATTTTACAGATGAGGAAGCCATGGTTTTGAGCAGCTTGCCCAACATCACACAATTATTCATAATGGTAGTGCCAGGATCCAGCGCTGAGCTTTTTTTCCCCAAAGACATATCTCTTTCCACTATCACACATTGTCCCCTCCCCACCCTTAACTGAGGCGATTTTATTATATTTGAAGGAAATTGGGCATTGAGCATAGTTTGATAAGTAACTATTCACCAAACTGAGATACAGGTTTTGCCTCGTGAATAGAAATGACAGTTGATTCCATTTATTTCATGACCGAGAAAGGGAAATTCAGCAAGACATTTTTGGCTGAATTCATAAGGTATTTCCTTGCTCTTTTTAAAAAGTTCCACCTTAGTCTCTCTAAAGCTTTTGGCTATAACAGCGTTGATTAATACAAGGTGGTTTCAGGACCCAAAGGCTAAATATATTTGATTCTTTCTCTTTTCATTTTTTTGTTGTTGATTCATATTGATGGACATGGATTTTTTTTAAGTCCAATGTGCCATTCTTACTCATTCTTGTAAGCAGATTCTCCTTTTTCTGACATAACATTGATGCAAATATTACCATGTACACATCTAACTTTTTATTATCTATAATAAGGGCCACCAAACTTTATCTGTGATGGGCCAAAGAGTAAATCTTTCAGGCTTTGCGGGCCATATGTTCTCTGTTGCAACTACTCAACTTGGCTATCACAGTGAACAAAGCAACGATAGAGAAGAGTAAACAAATGAGCATGACTGTATTCCAATAAAACACAGAGCAGGCTGGATTTTACTCAAGGATGTAGATTGCTCATCCCTAATCTAGAATATACAAATTTGTTTACTAACATAAATTAAAAAACAATCCAGATCCCTCTCTGGATTGTCATGAAGAGTTATTTGCTAGTGTACAGTGGAAGATGGAGAAATTATAAAGCTCATGTGAGGTCTGATATAATTCATATGCAAAAAACTGCATTTATTTAAAGTATACAGTTGATGAGTTTTAACAGGGCTTACATCCGTAAGACCACCACCATTCAAAACACAGACCATCTTCATCATCTCCAAAAGTGTCCTTGAGATCCTTTGCAGTCCATCTCTCCCTCCAGCTCTGGCCCTAGGTAAGCACTGATCTGATTTTTGTCTCCATACATTTGTATGCATTTTCTATAGTTCTGTATAAATGGAGTGAAACAGTATGTACTCTTTTGTGTCTGGTTTCTTTCATTCAGAATACCAGTTTTGAGACTCATCCATGTTGTTGCATGTGTAAGTAGTTTGTTCCTTTTTATCGCTGAGTAATATTTCATTGTAGTGTGGATATATCGTGGTTTGTTTATCCATTCACCAGTTGGTGGACATTGGGTTGTTTCCAGTTTTTTGATAAGCTATCAACATTTGTGTACAAGTCTTTCTGTGTACATATATTTTCATTTCTCTTTAGTAAACTCTAGGAGATTATTGGGTCATGTGTTACATGTATATTTAATTTTGTAAGGAACTGCCAGTTGTCCAAAATTGTTTACCATTTTATGTTCCCATAAGATCATATGTGAGTTCCAGTATCTTCAACTTTCAGTTGTCAGTCTATTCTATCTTAGTCATTGGAATAGGTGTGTAGTCATTTCTCATTGTGACTTTAATTTTCATTTCCCTGATGGCTAATGATTTTGAGGATCTTTTTATGTATGTATTGACCATTTGTAGATCTTCTTCTGTGAAGTGTTTGTCTGAATCTTTTTCTTTTTTAGTATGCTATTTATCTTATTATTGAGTTTTAAGAGACCTTTATATATACAAAATATGTCTGTCATATTGTATGTATTACAAATATTTTCTCTCAATTCCTGTTGTGTATTTTTTCTTAGTAGTGACTTTCAAAGGGCAAAAGTTTTAAATTTTCAGCAAGTCCAATTTACCATTTTTTTCTTATAGTTCTTTGTTTTGGTATCTTATCTTTGTTATCTTTGCCTATCCTCAAAGTTGTGAAGATTTTCTTCTATGTTTTTCTCTAAAGGATTTAGAACTTTAGCTTTTACATCAATGTTCATTATTAACTTGAGTTAATTTTTGTGTATGGTATCAGGTAAGGATCAGGATTAATTCTTTTCTATATAGTCATTTAATTGTTCTAACACCATTTGTTGAAATGACTTCCCTCCACCCCCATTGAGTTTCCTTGGCATTTTTGTCCAAAAAAAAAAATCCATTGACCACGTAAGTGTGGGTCTATTTTCGACTCTTTTCTGTTCCATTGATCTGCTTGTCTATTCTCTCTTTAACACCACGCTGTCTTTGTTATTGTGCCTATATAGTGAATCTTGCAATAAAGTAGTATAAATCCTCCATTCTTTTTGAATTACTTTGAAAATTCTGGAAACTGTGTTTCCATGCAAATTTTAGAATTAACTTGTCCATTTCTTCAACAACAGCAAAAATATATGCTGAAATTTTGATTGGGATTGCTTTGAATTTATGGCCCAATGTGAGAAGAATTAACATCTTAATAATACTGGAGTCTTTCAGTCTATGAGCCTGGTATATCTCTGCATTTCTTCAGACCTTTTAAAACTTCCCCCAGCAACAGTTTGACATTTTCACTGCAAAGGTCTTATACATTTTATTAGTTCCTTAGGGCTATTGTAACAAATTACTACAATATGGGTTGTTTAAAAACAACAGAAATTTATTCCTTAGTTTAAGAAGCCAAAAGTCCGAAATCAAAGTGTGGGCTGGGCTGATTCTTTCTGGAAGCTCTGAGGGAGAATCTATTCCGTGCCTCTCTCCTAACTTCGGGTGTTGTCAGCAATCCTTGACATTCCTCAGCTTGTAGGCACATCACTACAATCTTTGCCTCTCGCTTCACATGCTCACATGATCTTCTTCTTCTGCGTTTCAGTGTCTCCTTTTCTGTCTCCTATACGAACAGTGTCATTAGATTTAGGGCCCATCCTTATTCAAGATAAGACCTTTACCTTAATTACATGTGCAAAAACATTTTATTCCCAAAAAAAGATCACATTCTAAGTTCCAGGTAGACATATCTTTTGGGGGACCCAATGCAACTCACTACATTAATATTTTTGAAAATTTATTTCTGAGTGTTTTATGTTTTTTAATAAGTGGATTTTTAAATTTTATTTCCCTTTATTTGCTGTTAGTATTTAAAAATATAATTGACTTGTGTGTATTAATCCTGTATTTTGGTATTTTACTAAATGCAGTTAGTAGCTCTAGTCATTGTTATGTAGATTCCCTTAAGATGTTCTGGTTACATGAACAATTATGCTGCTTACAAATAGAGGCAGTTTTACTTCTTTTTCTATTTATGCTTTTCTCTTTTTTTTTTTTTTTTTTTTTTGCTTCGTTACAATGACTAAGATAGCCAGAGCAATGCTGAATAGAAGTGGTAAGAGCAGGTGTCTTTGCTTGGTTCTCAATCTTAGGGGAAAATTATATTATAGTTCACCATTAAGTATGAAGATAACAATATATTTTTTTGTAGAATGTTCTTTATCAGATTGAGAAAATTCCTCTCTGTTCCTGATACGCTGAGAGGTGGGTTTTTTATTTATAAATCATCAATAGATGTTGAATTTTATCAAAGTTTTTCTTCATGTATTGAAATAATGATATACGTTTTCTCATTTATTTTATTGATAATATCAAGTATGTTGATTGATTTTTGAATATCAAACCAAAATTACATTCCTGGAATAAACCCTAGTTGGTCAGGCTGTATTTCTTTTTTCTTTTTTATTTTTTATTGAGACAGAGTCTTGATCTGTCGCCCAGGCTGGAGTGCAGTGGTGTGATCTCAGCTCACTGCAACCTCTGCTTCCCGGGTTCAAGCAATTCTACTGCCTCAGCCTCCCGAGTAGCTGGGACTACAGGCATGCGCCACCATGCCCGGCTAATTTTTGTATTTTTAGTAGAGATGGGGTTTCACCATGTTGGCCAGGCTGGTCTCGAACTCCTGAGCTTGTGATCTGCCCACCCTGGCCTCCCAAAGTGCTGGGATTACAGGCGTGAGCCACTGCACCCGGCCAGGATGTATTTTTTGTATGTTGTTAGATTTGATTAAAATCTTGTTAAGGATTTTTGCCTCTATGCTTATGCAGAATATTGGTTTATAATTGTTATGTAACTTTTTTGCCTGATTTGATAAAAAAAAAATAAGTTGTCAAGAATTCCCTGTTCCTCTATTTTTTGAAGAATTTTATAAGACTAGTGTCATTTTGTACTTGAATATTTTGATTCAAATCACCAGTGATACCATTTGAAGCTAAAATTTTCTGTGTGGAAAGGTCTAGATAATGAATTGAATTACCCTAATAAATATAGTGCTATTTAGGTTTTCTGTTATATCTGTGTCAGTTTTAGTAGGTTGTATTTTTCAGTGAATTTGTCCATTTTATCTAAGTTACTAACCTAGTTATTTTTGTATATCTAGCCTAGATATTTTCTCCTCTGTGAAACCTTCCCTGACACTACCAACAAAAGTGATTTCTTGTCCTTCGAGTTACTTCTTTACTCAGTATCATTTGTTCTCTCCATCTTCTGTTGAAGTTTGTTCACATGTCTCTTCCTGTACTAAATTAAGGGCCTAGGCTGGGCGTGGTGGCTCACACTTGTAATCCTTGCACTTTGGGAGGCCGTGGCAGGTGGATCACCTGAGATCAGGAGTTCAAGACCAGCCTGGCCAACATGGTAAAACCTTGTCTCTACTAAAAATACACAAATTAGCTGGGCATGGTGGCGGGTGCCTGTAATCCCAGCTACTCAGGAGGCTGAGGCAGGAGAATCACTTGAACCCGGGAAGCAGAGGTTGCAGTGAGCTGAGGTTGCGCCACTGACCTCCAGCCTGGGTAACAAGAGCAAGACTCTTGTATAAAAAACAAAACAAAACAAAACAAAACAAACAAAAAAAACCAGAAGAAGAAAAAAAAAAGAAAAAGAAAAAAAATTAAGGGCCCTGGAGTTCAATAATTGCATCTTATACATCTTTGGGTCTTTGCCACCTTGTATGGTGCCTGGTATATAATTAGATCACCCCTTCTCCCAAATGTTTAAATAACCAAATTATTCCACTTAACCTTGTCTAATGTATAGTGACCCAGCATGTTTCTAGCTTTCTCAGTAGATTATGAGTCTCTTTTATAAAAATGGTATGCATTATTTATTCTTCATATTCCATGTCTCACATTATAATAAATTTTAAAAACTGTTAAATTGAATAGATTTGCCACAAAGTACAGAAAATTAGTATTCTATAAACTCAAAGAGAAGAGGCCAAATAGAAATCTGGAAAGCATTCATCAATAAAGAGAGGAAAAAAACATTGCAAAGTTCTTACTATATACCAGATCTTGTGATAATTTATATTCCTTCCCTCATTAATCCCCCAAATAATTGAGCAAAGAAGATATTATGGTCCCCATTTTACAAATAAAGAATCTGATGTTCAGTAAGGTTAAGTACTCTGCCCAAGTTCAGAGTTATTAAGCAGCGGACTTTGGTTTGAAATCTATATTGAATGATCCCATTATCCACATCCTTACTTTTATGCATTCAGTTTTCCACAAGACACTTGATGGAATTTCTTATACTACCTATAAATTTTGCTAGAGTAGAACATTCTGTGTTCCCCCTAATTGAATGTTACAGGCCCCTCTGTAAATTTAGGAAAGTTCCAAAGTGTTCCCTGGATACTTGTTCTGCCTCTAGCATGAAATGTACAAAAGTAGCAGAGAAGATCCAAACCAGACTTTGCTCTCAGAGTAGGCTGCATAACTCCCTCTTGTCTTCTCCACTGGTCTACATCAGTCTTTTGTCTACAACCCTGACTTTTTTAAAAATGGTATTGGATGCTACCATTATGGTTATGGTTAACTGGGGGCATCATTGGTGCCTGAGTTTCTACTCAAATAACATAAGGGAAATCAAGAGACCAAGGCCATGATGACTCAAGCAGTCTCCATGGCTTGGTGGTAAAGGAGTGAATCCTTCCTTACAGCTGATCTTGCCTTTGTATATGTCACATATTGGTCCTGATTAGAAAGGTCTATAGGCTAATTTGTGCAAGACACATTCCTTCTCATTATACCATGATACAGGCCATGTGAAACACCAGATTCAATCTTATAGCCTCTCTGCTGCTGCTAAGTAAGAAACTTCTACTTTTAGTGTCTTTTCTCTCTCAACACAAAAATACTCTGTAAGTCACCCAGATCTGGGTTGCCCATGATTACCAGGCTTTTCCCAATTAGAAATATGACTCATGTTCCATTTTACCAATACATCTCAGGCACAGAACTAGCAAGGAAAGACAAAATTAAAATGTTTCTGTAATTCCAGCCCATCAATTGAAACAAGATGTTTCTGAACTTTTCCCAATGTGAAGAACAAAAAGTAATAGCATTTTGTTTATTTATTTGTGTACAACACTGTGGTCAGGAACTTGTTGCTTCCCCAGGGAAATTGCTTGCAAGCATCACTGAGAAGAGGACTTAACAATTCACACTGATCATTCCCTGTGGTCTGCCATGGCGAGGGTGATACTTTCATGTTTTATAAGCACCAGACAAGAGAGCTGGATCAATTTTCTCTCTCGATATTCTAGTCTCTGTTGAAACGACTCCCTCAGACATCAGCAGCTCCGGGTTCTTTCTAAAAAATAAAGTAAGTACTCTTAGGTCTGTTCACAGTAAGGGACAAGAAGTCCAAAACATATCCCTGCCTTTTACAATTCAGAAATCAACGTGGAGATCTTTCCTACTTTTAGGCAGTACATACAGCTTCGCTGAGGTCTGTGTGTCAAACTTACTGAGAGGAGGACATCGTGGAGACTTATCGTTAATTAGCAATGCTTATGCATGCAAACCTTGGTCAGATGATGTTGTGTTTGGAGAAAAGAGAGAAGAGAATTGAATAAGTACATGACCCCTTGGAAGCTGTTTTCAGTTGAGGATTTTGGTGAGTAGCCACTTGAAATCAAGGGAAATTCCATGAATAGCAGGAGCTGGGAAGAAAGGAAGAGGAGGAAGGATCCCACCACTTTTTTCTTCCCATCTAACACCGTGCTTATGCAAAGCATAGTCCATATGAGATCTGCCTTATAAAAACTTGCTGAATAAAGCGAATGGAAGTTAAATTTTGGACTTTCTTCCATAATAGCTTCAAATTATGGTGACTTTGTTGCCTATAGAGGGCCAGGAAATACATTTCTTTGAGATCCTAGAATCTGAGTGTGTGCTCTACACAGGATGGATAGAGCGAGCCTCTGGCAGTTCCATTTATCCAGAGGCAAAAGCACGCCTGCCACTGGAGGCGCTCTTGGGTTCCAACAAAGAACCTATGTTGCCTAAGGAAACAGTGCTTTCTCTTAAAAGGTACAATCTTGGCTCCTCTGCCATGAAGCGGAATGTTCCTGGACATGTGCTTCAGAGACCTTCCTATTTAACCAGGATACAAGTTACATTGTTATGCAATTCCTCTGCTGAGGCCCTGTAAAAGGAGTGAGTTAGGACAGATGCAGCAAGATATTAGGACAGATTTCGCCCATTATTCAGGCTGCACAACACAGAAGGAAACTTGATTTCAATAAGACCCAATTCTTAACAGTCTTTTCTACCCACTTTTACCCATAACTTTTCCAAATTTGGTTCAAATTGTGCAGAGAAACAATAAAATTTTTAAAAAGGATAAACTGGCTAGTTAAAAGTAAATGGCATTTAATTAAAACAAATCTTGCAAATTCATGAAAAAACAAAAAGCTATGTGATGGTAAACCTTAGGGCAGCGTACAGTGCCACTGTCCTTTGCAGTTTTGAGTGTATTTCATTTGTACATTGGAAGTAGGTACTTGTCATATTATTAACAATTACTCTACTTAGTTGTACACTCAGCATTTGGCATCAGAATAATCTTGTGTAGTCACAGGGTTTTCATTTTCTTTCTGTATTTTTTAAGCATGTTTCTGAGTGGTGGTTCACATAAGCTTTCAATTTTAAATAACACAATCCATTTATTTCACTAGGCGTCTTTATTTGCTTAAAGTGAAGAATCAGAGATTGTCATTGTGTTGTAAATAAGTCTAACCTTTCTTTCCCTTTACAAAAAAAAAAACCTGTGGAACTGAAAGAAATAGAAATTCCAGTAATCTTTTATGAACTCTGTTATTAGAGTGAGTAGAACTAAATCTGTGGGGAAAAAAGGAAAAGGAAATGGAAAAGGTGTTTCAGAGCTTTTACTTTAAGCTATTCTAGTGTCCCCTTCTCTGCTTTCTTTCCACTACCCTGACCCATACCTACCCACAGTGAGAACTGAGCCCGCAGGGCAGCTCAGAAGCTGGGAGGAGAGAAAGAGTGAGAATCTGAGTTATTTTTCCTCAGTGATCTTAAAAGCTCCAGGCAGAAAAGACCCTGCCTATAGAACCTCCCTTTTGCATTTCTCAATTGCATCGGAGAAACTCCTAAATTGCATCAGTGATCCTGAAGCTGTTAAAGTAAAGAATTTTCTGTAGAAGAAAGAAAAGAGAAAGAGAAAGAAAAGGCAAAAACTTAATCATGCCTGGGATCTTTTGAGGTAGAAAAAACTGACAAGAAACAAACTTTCCTTATATTCTAGTGTGTTGGAAAACAGTGGAAGGACTGTTTGCCAAATTGTCTTAGCGGTTCTCAAAGATGGCTGGCCAAATCATAAGAGAATACGCTTAGGTTCGTGTAGTTCTGAGTCCAGCATTGTGGGTGAAGCACAGGTTTCAGCGTAAAGAAATCTGCTGTCTAGAAACCATGGGAAGTATGTCATCCTCTCTTTTCTTTACCATATAGAGATCCTTCATGGATATGCTGTTGTTTGAAGAAAATTTTGTTTAGGAAGTAAGAAAAATATAATTAACATTGCCCTAAAGAAGCAAAGCTCTTTATTTTCATTTTCACTTCCTTTTGCTTTTGCATTGAAGAGTTAAGACAACATTTCAGCAGAGAAATGTGGAGAAGGGTAAAGAGAAATCAATAAAGTTATTCTGTGACTTTCCCCAGGAGGGAGCAGTGTTAATCGAGAATGGCTTGCTTGGCTATATATCAAGTCCGAGAACAGAGCAGCAGTTGATTGTGAAACAGATTTCCCAGCTAGACTGGAAGAGATATAAATACATACTTATCTATCATATACATATAGACATATATATACACACATACACATTATACATACACATACACATATATATAATTTTTATAAGAACAGTGTCTATGTGTGTGTATATACACTATTATAAACATTTAAATATAAATTATATGTATTATATATGTGTGTGCGTGTGTGTCTTTGTGTGATTTAAAAAGTAGATAAGAATAATTTCTTCAGATAATTGGTAACGCCAGACAAAACTCTTCGAATAATATTTCATATATATTGATCTGGGATCGTTTTACATTTTATAAGTTTCTCTCAAAAGTTTTTTGATGACTAGAGAAGGAAATTAATATGCAAGAGCCTCAAGTGACAGACAATGGAATGGAAACCGGATTTCTTGACCCAAGGCCAGCGAAAGCATCTTGACCGCAGGAAATCTTCTAAAGAGCCTCTATGGGTCATTCATGCAGTTACTTTTTCTAGCAATAAACATTACAGAAATTTTGAGCAGGTCTGATTGCAGCAGAGGTCATGAGACTGAAGCTGGCTCTGGGGCTGCCCAGTTTTATTGGGCTGTGGCACCATGCTCATTGGAAGCAGTGGTGATTTCTTTGTTGACAAATTCAGACAACATAATTGGGTGGGAAGTTGGCTTCGCCATCACAGTGTGGTCTTGAATGAGTTATCTATCTTTCCTGGGCTTCAGTTTTCCTTTCTATGAAATGGGATGAATAATTCTTGTCCCTTCACAACAACATGCTTTCTTGTTGCCCAAAAACCTTGTCAAATTTTCTTGGTTTCATCAAGCATCGGGAGATGTGTAGATAGCTAAATGGGAATCCCCTTTTCATGACCCAATCTGCTATGATGAATTTCACTGTGCTGAGACTCTTCACATCTCCCTTCTCCCATTGTGTATATTCAGACTCTATTTTTTCTTCAACATCAGCTAAGATGCTGTATTTATTTTCTAAATCCAAATTCCATCTAAATCGTAGCTGTTAAGAAAATATTCTTGTAAGAGAATGGAATCTAGACAGAGAGAGGAACTATGCAATTCTAGAATTTCCCTGGAGGGAACTTGAAAGTTCATCTAGTGTAATCCTCTCATTTTATAGTTGAGGCAGCTAAGGATCTGAGAGGTGAAATGTCTTGTCCAAGGTCACTGTGACAAAGCTAAGTGGAGAACCTATGTCTCTTAACTTGCAGTTCTATATTCCTTCCATTGGGTCGTGTGTCTTGGGACCACTATAACCAGAAATAGAAAATGAAGTCGAAGTAAGCAGACCAGACAAGGATATGTCAGCCTTTGGTTTTCCCCAGGGCCAGATTCCAACTCTGTGTGCATAACTCAGTGTCAGGACTTTAGCATCTTCATGAAGGATGGAAGATTCATACTGAACACTCTTTTTTACCCCTTCCTGTCCCATTAGACCCAGCCCAGAATCTAGATCTAATTGAGCTCTCACTTTTCCTTATTTTGGACATGGTTGTGCTTGCACTTCATCTTATAGCTCTTAAATTTTATCTTCACATTGACCCACTCATTTTATATTCCATATTTACTGAGAGCTTACTGTGTGCCAGTCATTCTATAATGGGCTAGAGATATAGGGAGATATATCTCTCCGTGTCTTAATTACAATCATAGTGCAACATGTCCTGTGCATGGTGTGCTTACAGTGCTGACGGGGTGCTGAGGAAGGGGAGACTGAGATCACTGAAAGCAGTCAAAAAATACTGAGTAGATCATGTGATAATTCTTCTGCTTTTATTCCCCTGCCCCCTTTATTATCAGGGCAGAGAAGTTCATTTTATGCATTGGTATTTTCTAGGTTAAGCGCTCCCTGTTTTTTTTTTTTTTTTGGTTGTTGTTGTTTTTGTTTTGTTTTGTTTTGTTTGAGACAGAATCTTGCTCTGTCTGCCAGGCTGGAGTGCAGTGGCACAATCTCGGCTCACTGTAACCTCCGCCTTCCAGGTTCAAGCGATTCTCCTGCCTCAGCCTCCCGAGTAGGTGGGATTATAGGCACCTGCCATCGCACCCAGCTAATTTTTGTATTTTTTAGTAGAGACGGGGTTTTGCCATGATGGCCAGGCTGGTCTCGAACTCCTGACCTCAGGTGATCCACCCGCCTTGGCCTCCCAAACACTCCCTGTTTTTAGCAGAAGAGAAATAACATGTCGAATTCTTCCCTCCCTTCCATGCCCACCGCCAGACTAGCTACTTCACCAGTTCTTCATGAATTTCCTTAACAAGGCTAATTTACCGGTACTTCAAATAATTCTTACTGCTCTGTGGAAAGCAAGGCACTGGGGCTCAGAGATATATGCATATGTCGAGTAATTGAAGTGAACATGCTGGTCATCAGTTATTTCCTCCTGTAGTTTGGTTCTCCAATCTGTTTTATCTGTTTCCTTTGTTTTTAAAAACGCATTAAGAGACAGACATGATGGTGCTCACCTGTAGTCCCAGCTACTTAGGAGACTGAGGCAGGAGGATCACTTGAGCCCAGGAGTTCGAGGCTGCAGTGAGCTGGGATCATGCCACTGCACTCAGACCTGGGCAGTGAGACCTCATCTCTAAAAGGAATAAAAATAACGTTAAAAGACATTGACAGGTAGACTCCTAACTATTTATTAGAAGCACCCAAATCACTGTTCACATTCTAAACAGAATCTAAACAACAACCAGATGTTCTTTTTATTTTCAAAGTATGTTTTTTCCTTTCTTACCTTGGAACTTTTCTTACTTTTCCATAAATTATAAGATGTGTATTTTGAGTAATTCAATTCATGACAGGAAAGGCAAATCATCAATTAAAGATTCCTTTTGTGAGTTCAATCTGTTGATTGGTCTGTGCTCCATAATGCTACAACCTAGATTATATTAAATTTCCAGAAGAGTGCAGAATAAACAATCATTTGTAAATCACCTATTATGCAGCAGACATAGTGGTAAGCATTAGTAGCATCAAAATGAACACATGTCCTCATTCAGTACGTGTAAGTATCATGCACAGTTAAGCATATAGACCCATAAGCCCGTAAATCAAACAGTCCAGAACTGGGCTAGGTAGTCATAATATCACAGTGAATGTTTAAAGGCTTGGCTGGGTGCGGTGGCTCGCACTGGTAATCCCAGCAATTTAGGAGGCCAAGACCTTAAGATAGTATGAGGCCAGGGGTTTAAGACCAGCCTGGGCAAAGTAGTGAGACCCTATCTCTACAAAAAGTAAAAACATTCGCTGAGCATGGTGGCGCATGCCTATAGTCCCAGCTACTTGGCAGGCTGAGGCAGGAGGATTGCGTGAGCCAGGGAGTTTGTGGCTGCAGTGAGCCATGATCATGCCGCTGCACTCCAACCTGGGTAACAGAACAAGATTCTGACTCAAAATAAAAATTAAGACCAAAAATAAAGGCTTAAGAATGTGAAAAATATTTACCTACCTCCCCCAGACTTTGGAGTGCAGGTTGGTTGCAAACTGTAGTTGGTTTGCTCAGTGCTGACCTGGATTGGAACATGCGATGGATTTTCACGAAGGGGAAAGCAGCAGACCCCAGAAGGTGAGCCTGGCTCCCTTCGACATAGTTCCTGTGGTATTCATGTCACTGCTATTTGTGGCAGGGAGACTCCTTGAGAAGTGTAGAATGCGCCGAATTTAAAGTCTCTGAGGTAGCAGTTTCCACCTTTAAAATATTTCTTGGCTTCTCCAGAGTGCCCCCTACTCATTGCTCTCTGTTTAAATCTCAGTGGGAATTCTGATACTACTGTTGCACCTTGGACCCAAAAATATGTCTCAAAATATGTTTCTGTATTCCTTTAATTTTACTTCTGCACACTCAGCACTTTTGACACACTTATCTATTTTACAAATGCTCAGGTAAACTAATCGCATCTTGTTGAAGCTCTTCCTTTCTGCGCTGTCATCAGTTAATTATGGGGTAAGCAAGATGCACAGGGTATGATTATTATTAACAACACCTCAGATTTACACAAACCCACTCTTTGAATGATGTTGAGGCAGTTCATACATATTAGCTCATTTTTCCTCACAACGGCTAGATTGAATGAAAGACCTAGATTATATTCTTGGTGCTATAACAACCTTCTTAGGAAAAGTATTTAGTCATTAATTGCCTCAGTTCCCAACTATGAAACAGGAATCATGATATAAAAATATTTGCTTCTCCCTCTCCTTATCCTAAACCTTTAGAATCTTAGTAGCTTAAAAAATGTAAAAATCTGAAGTCTGAAAGTAAAGAAGTGTGACTTTTTGAACATTAATAAAAAGTTGAACAGCAATATTGGGAGTATGACTGGAAACCCTGAAATCTGAATTACTAGGTTTGGTGCAAAGTTATAAAGTTATAAAATTTGGTGCAAAAGTTATAAAAATTTACCACAAATTTTTATGGTAAAAACCACAATTAATTTTGCACCAACCTAAGACAATCTAATTCTACTTAGTGGTGAGTCATTGCCCTATCTACTTCTTGCCTATGTATTGGAAAATACTTAGAGATCCAGAGGTGGGGAGTACTACAAAAGGAGCCCTATCTTCAAAAGAGCATTAATTTGGTCAGCAAAGATATCCCTAGGAACCATGGCATCAGTAAGACTGATTTGAGATGAGAACAGTCTCAAATCCAGTCCTATTAATGCCATGGTTCCTAGGCATCAGTAAGATGTCTCTTTACTCTTCCTCCACCTCTTTTCTTTCCCTCCCAACCACCAGGCTATCTGTAGCAGTTTCAAAACAATACAAACAACTCCAGAACAAATCCCTGGTCTGTATCCTTGCTTGAATATCATCTCTAGGTTCTTGGCCTTACAATCGCAATCTTCAAAAGTTCCAGGGGCGAAAAATATCCCTCTTTGCTTGCCAGCCTAAACCTAATGACTGAATGGCAGGGAACCTAGACTGAAATAGCATTTGGCTCTTAGATGACATCCTCTAGCCAAGAATAATGACTTTTATAATGTCAGACTCAATCCGCTTAGTGCACAGGTAATAGGCATCTCACCTTAGGGAGGGGAATGGTCTCTCTTTCCCTCTGTCTCTCTTTCTCTCTCTGTTTTCCCATTGTTAGACAGAAGCTTTTCTCCTTCACCTTCCTAAAACCCAAAGGCTGCTAAAATGTACTTCCTACAAATTGGTAGAGTTGGGCCCCAATGCAATCAATTGGCCATAGATTACCTTCCAGAGAGCTTCACAAACCACCTGGGCCCATCAGATAAGCACCAGCTCTTCTATGGAGTTAGGATGGAAGCCAGGAAAAGTCCTCTGAAACTCAACCAATGAGGTACAAGGAGGCAACAGAATTATTTTATATATTCATATCAATAAATATCACTAAATATATACTGAAGGATTAGCTCAGCATTGATTTTTCCCCTAATATCCTAAGATACTAATGAAAGCATTTTTTTAACTAGGCAAAAATCCAAGTATTTTGCCTGACACTACTTAGCCTGACACTTGGAGACGATGTGGATTTCGGGTATAAAATCTGCCAGATGATTCCCTTTGAGACCACTTGAGCTATAGAGTGCCTGTACCAAACACTGCCCCCTACTGGTCTAGAGCCTCATTGCTTTAGGAAAAGGGCTTTACTGACCAACAGGACTAACTTCCACTTCCTCTTCCTCTTCCTCTTCCTCTTCCTCTTCCTATGATGAGTAGTAAGAAATATTTTTGCCAGTTAGTGAAAGACTCTTGCTGAGGGAATTTAGATCGTCTTTATCTTAAGTACATTTAGAGTAGAATGATGTGTACCCATCCAGCTTTGCCTTGAGAAATGCCAGCAATGCCCCAAAGGATACAGTTTTAGAAACTGTGTTCTAGGTTAACATAATGAATATTATCCCAGCCTAGTACAGATAGTAACATATTTGTAACAAAAGTCAGTCAATGCTAATGGAAAACAGAATGGAGTCCATGATATTCCCCGGCTTAACTCTATTCGGAGACAAGAACTGCTCAGATAAAGAATAGGATAGAAGCTGGCCTGCCAAGGGTAGCCATTATACATACTTAAATATTCTTTCCTTAGGCAAAATAAAGAATTGCCTAATCTTTCCTCAGAATATACATTATGAAACCCTAGAGTCATTTAGGTCATATGATCATGAACCATTTCTATCTTCTCAACCTCTTTTTCTGAAATGAGGGCACCCTGAGCTGTGTTGCTTATCTCAGATCTGGATTTAGCCACACACTCTAAAGTGTAAGAGCTCTCCCTCCTCACATGTAGCCCAAAATAGTCCTTCACAGCCACGCCACCCTGGACAGTTTATCACTTGACATGACCTCCTGCTCTACCGATTGGAGAGATTTCAGACAGAGCTTAACTGGCTTGAAACAGAAACAGCATGACTTCAGAACGTATAGGATGAATTAAACAGACCAATTTTCTAGTTTTCAGAAACACAAACATGACTATAAGTGGGACCTCAGCCAGAGTACAGTCTTAGAAAATAAGGTTGCAGTCCACCATTTATTAAATGCCACGTTTATGTGGCATTTTATTAAGCCTTTTTAAGGGTTATTTAGGCATGAATATTGCTTTCTCAAAATGTTACAATCAAAGCCATCTTAGCATAAAAATGTATTCTGAAATGATTTGTTGAGCTCCTGCTGTGTAACAGGTGCTATGCCATGTACTGTGGATACAGAGAGACCTTGTCACAGCCTCTGTCTTTGTGACCTTAGAGTTGGGAGATGGAGTAGCAAAGTACACAGACGATGCCAGTACTACAGCATCACTTCCTGCCCTCCGGCTAAAGAAATTTCACTGTCCAGCACAGTGTCTGACATAGAGTTAAGTAGTCAGTAATTATGTACTAGATCCGCTTAGTACACAGGTAATAGGCATCTTACCTTAGGGAGGGGAATGGTCTCTCTTTCCCTCTGTCTCTCTTTCTCTCTCTGTTTTCCCACTGTTAGACAGACTAGATAAAATCAGCAAAATGAAAAGAATGAATGAACGCTAAGATAGTGTAAGTATAGGGTGCTATGGAAAATACATAGGAGAAGAAACTAAACTAGTTTGAGGAGACTAGCTGCAGAAAGTGACATTTACACTGGGACAGGAGTCAAAGAGTATATTGATGCAAAGGAAAGACCATGAATTAGACCTGAGTTCAAATCCTAGCCGTGCCACCCGTGAGCTGGGCAATTCTAACTATTTCAAACCTTATTTTCTGCATCTGTAAAATACTGATGATACCTTTTAAAGGCTGTTTTGGGGACCAAATGAGATATTAGTTACCTGTGTCTGACACAGAGAAGACCTTCAATGATATGTATTAGAAGTGTCACAGACAGCGGACTTGCAACATGAAAGCCATGAATATCTAAGTAGTAAGGTTAAGGGCACAAATATTTTAAAGAATGAATAGCAATAATAAGCTTAAAATCATGATGGAAATAAAAGAGAGGTGCTATAGCAGTTCTTAACCCCTAAGCCCAGACAAGGGTGGAGGGAGGCAGATGATTTAAAGGAGTTTGCCATCCTCTTCCAATCCATTCCAGAAGGCTTTTGTATTTAGCTTTCAGCTGCAGAACCATGTGGCCCTGCCTGTCCCATTCACAGTATGGTAAATACTTTTTCAGATAATCAGATAATCTTAGGGTATTGTGACTTAACTGCTCAGCATGGATGCTTGATACAGATATGTGTGTGTGTGCATGCGTGTGTGTGTATGTGTGTTTGTGTATGGTATTTTCTCCGTAAGTTCTTGCCACAATTAGCTTTCATTGCTTTTATCCTAAATGTTTTTAAGTATACCAGATTCCTTTCTTCTGTTCTTCCTTCCACCCACATGCATCAGGCCCTTTCCTGCTACATTCACATAGTTAGGTTATTTAACACACACATACACACCTGCTCTCTGCTGGCTTCAACTCTTTTTAGGTGAGATTTTAGGACATGCCTTGAGATCCATTGGATTGTCAGATACATTAAATATAATGCAGGGGAGGATAAGGGAAAGATGCTAGCAGCTGACTTTTGGTTTGGGTTTTCAGTCCTAATATGAGACAAGACATGGCAAAAAAAAGTGTCAAACAAGAGAATGAGAGTGGCCAAAGAAACGAGGTGGTGGTGGCTAGACATGAAACAAAGTACAAGACATAAAAACATTTAAGTTTGAAAGAGATAAAATTTGGAAAAGGGAGAACTAGCAGTGTTTAAGATTCCGATGGGGGAGGGAAAGCCATTGATTGGGCCTTTGAAACCATGCCAGGAACCAAGAGCCAGGGGTAGTGGCAGAGGGGACGGCCAGGTAGGACAATTAAAACGGAAGTCTGGCTCCTTACAACACAGCATGGAGCGGGGCTACAGCATTTGCTGCAGTGGGAGGTGGGGCCAGTCTGGCACAGTCTGTGGGTTTGAAAGGAGCTGGGCGGGTTGGAGAATGCCAGTCAGCCTTTGTAGTTCTGAGCTCAGAGAGGGGGTGACACATACTGGGCTTCAGGTCAGAAGCCTGGCTTGGGTGGCTTTTGGAGAAATTTTCCCTCTGCTCCCAAACTCTTAAAAGGTGCTCATCACACCACTGGCCTCCAATCACAGCATAAGCACGTGTTCCAAAGGCCATCCTCCAGCAGAGATTTCGGCAGTGGTACCTGTTGGCTGGCTCATGGGGTCCTTTCCTTTTTCCATTCCCTGGAAGCCGTCAACTGGACTGAATACAACATCTTTGCGTCTTTTTCTTCACCCTCCCCACATGCTTGCATCTCCCAGACTCCTAGGGTTAATCCCCAGGACAACCTTGCTTTGAAAGAAAAAATGTGGTGAGCCTACTTGAAGATTTGGATTCCAAGAGGCCTCTGTCTGTCCTGCCTCAGCCAGAGCCAGACAGCCAGCTCAAGGAGATGGGCAATTTACAGAGAAAGCAGCAGTAAGTTTTTGTTGTTGTTGTTGTTTGTTTTCAAGGCTTGGTTGTTCTCCAGAATTAGGTCCCTGAAAGCATGGGATTTTCTTTTCCTTTTTTTTCTTCTTTCCTTTCTTTTTTATTTTCTTTCTTTCTTGGCAAAAATTAATAATACCCCCTTCTCCCCCGAGAGTGAGTCATAAAAGCAATTAAAAAGTTGCTTCTTCATCGCTGCTCATAACCTGGGTTAAAGTTATCTGAGGTTGATCTGTGTGTGCCTATTCTCAACATTGTAATATTTTCAAATGTACGTGCATTTGTTATAATAATTTGTGCTGATGGTTCTCCTCCAGAATCAATGCTATGTAACTGGCAGATAGATTGTCATTATGCTGAATTTGTCCCAGGACTTGCATAGATATCTTCTTTGGGGGTTTTTGTGCTTATTTGCTGCTTGTGAGAGAGAAGGATAGAAAGACTTTGGAAGGAGGGTGTGGTCCAGCAGATTTCGGCTTCCTCCCAGCCCATCAGTGACTCCTTCTTCCTGCTCCTCCCTTTCCTCTCCACTTCTATCCCAGTTCAGTTCCTCAGATCCAACCAGAGCCAGCTGTCAATGAAATACCTTCTGCCTTTCTTTTCTATTACAGTGTGGGTTAGACTCTGTCAGGTAGGAAACTACTCCCCATAATCAAACTCATTATGTTTGTGATCTCAGCATATTTGCAAACTTAGACATAGACCAGACAATAACATTTACCTTCTCCATTTCTCCCATTCTGGGATTTTTAGCCAAGGTAATAATAACAATAATAATACAGTATTTAGAAGGCCTCTAGCAATATTTCATCTTCTGAGAGTCTTACAGATGTTAACTAATTAATCTTCACAACACTCCATACAAGAGAGGTAAATATTATTACCCACGATAGAAGATACATATGTATATGCTAAGGACAGCAAACTAGTTCACTTATTTATCATGGTTCACTTGATATAGTAACTGGTATTTTTAAAACACCCATCATAGATACAACAATTAGAGATGTGCTTTTGTTAACAAAGCCACTACCCACTTCTAGCGTACCCTTGGGTACTAAATAATTACCCACTTTGTGTGGTTATCTAGCTCACTAATTACCCACAGAAATTGGGGTCAGGTGTTAACTGCTTGAAATAAGTATCCTCCAAAGACATCGCTGAGTTGTATAGAGAAAATGATGTGTTCATAGCAAAACTTTCATAAGCTATATATTTGTATATCTTTGTAAGCAGAGTGAATACAAGCAAGAGCAAATTAGCTTATTATGTGAAAATCATGCTGAACTATTGTTGCAAATATAGAGAGGTTTAAAAGAGTCTCGGGAAATCTCGTCCTCTATTTACCCTTCGTTTTGAAGATGGGTGCAATGACATGATTCCCATAATCTGGCCTTCATATAGAAGTACACTAAGACAATTGATGATTCTGGTTAGGAATGATTCATTTTGGTGTACAGGGAGGCACCCAGTGAGTCAAAGACTTTTTTTTTTAACAGCTCCACCCTTCATGATTATTCTAGCGTGTTTCTTTTTTCTCCATCAGTCTAGTGAAAACACCCCGTTAGCCAAATCTGAAAAAGATTCTAACCTAGTCACCAACTCCTGGCAACCACCTCTTTCTCCTTCCCAATAACGACAAAAAGAAAAAAAAAGTATTACAAAAATCCAACACTCTCATTTTGCCTTTAGCTGTTATGCGCTCCTCGCCTTTCCTCTCTACTTCTCTCCTCTCCCTTCTTCCTCTGTCTGTATCTTCTTCTTATTTGTGCATTTTCTCCTTTTCCTTGGCATCTAGGTATGCTTCTGCAGGTCTCACAGTCAGAGACAAAGCACAATTATGTCTGAGTTGAGCACAAAGAAACTATCTTTTAAAAATATTGACTTGGAGGAAACCTGCATCCTCAGATACCTTTCTCCCTTTCCTTGCTATTTACAGAATCTGACATTATATTTAATACCACGCTGCCGGTTGTCTGCATGATTCTAGGCAGGAAAATTGGGTTAGAACGGTAACATACCCACTGTGTACATAGATAGGTAGAGACCCTAATTTTCGGCAGATCCATGCCTTAAAGGATCACAGCAGAGCAGAGCTTTAAAAATGAGTGCCAACAGAAATGAGAGGAGATGCTCCCCCAATCAACTTAGGATGTCTTCCTTTTTTCTTGTGCCTCTTTTTTTTTGTCATCTGAAATATTACTTGTCATTATTGGGGAACTTGAGGCTGATCGATGAAGTGTATATGTGTCTGTCAGACATTTGAAGAGGAAAAACATGCTTCAGGAATAAGGAAAATGCCTGCAGTGAAAGCAAAGGGTCAGGATGAGCTTCAGTGACTGATGAGTTCATTTCAAAATCCAAGGGCACATAGATGGTAAATTAATACATATGGCAAATACAGTCAACGAGCAAACCCCAGCCACTGGAAGGAAAGGGAATTTTAGCTCTGTAGTCATCACATGCCTGAACAGAGAGTCTACATATCTTAAATGTAGATCCGAATCATTGCTCTTTTATCCCGCTAAATGCTGATTGCAAAGAAATATTTGGGCATTGTTGACTTTCCGTCCATAAAGAAAGGCCACCAAGATTCACAAAATCCATCACCTGCACTCATACATGCATGTGTGCTTGAAATTCCCCTAGGATGTGAAACAGTTAGGCAGAGAACTGCACTGTGGTCTCCCTTCCTCACTTCTTTCCCTCCCTGTTTTTCCTTTTCGAAAATGTGATACCTGATCTCTAGGTCTTGCGGGCTGAGAAATTTTTTGTATTTGTATAATGCAGTGTCTGGCCTTCCCCCTGACCTGCTGATGTATTTTTGGCCTCATTAGTAGTCAGGGAGATGCCTTAGTGCATCCAGCACTGCAAGTCAGGGATGAGACACACTACAACAGGAGAGGGAGCAAGCGCGAGAGGATATTAGAAGAGAGGCTTGTCTCCAAGATATGGAAGGAAGTGAGAAATGACAGGGCTGCAAGCTTTGTATGTAGGAGCCCGGCAGGGCGGGGGAGCGGCGAGGAGAGCCAAGTGGATTCTCAGAAAAGGGGGGAAGCCATCGAAGAGCTAAAGGTGATTAGAGGGGGATATTGATTTCTTATTCTGCCAGAGATTTAAGCAGGCATGCGAGGAATCTGCACCATGGTTGGCAAAAAGAGACCCGTTGCCTCCTGTAACCAGACACTCAGGCTTTCCAGGAGCCCAGGGAGCAAGCCGAGAAGAAAGGGGGCAGTGTGGTCTAGGAAAATTCAACTTGTCGCTGATTTGTGCCTGATGCCTGCTGTCCGTCAGCAGCCTCCCTTACAATCTTTTTTTCTCTCTCTCCTTTTTTTTTCCTTGCCTTCTCCTTCTTCACTGAAGCCTAGGGGAGCCAGTAAAGATTAAATGTGCTTCTCAAAGGCAGCCACTTCATGCTGCTATGTCGAAAGGGCCATTATTATTATTATATTTTAATGGTAAAAGAGAAAAGGAGAGAGGTTGAGCGAGCGAGAGAGAAGCTAGGTGTGATGATGACAGACTAGCTTTTCTGAGAGGAAAAGGAAAAGGGAAGGGAGAGAAAAAGGAGAGCCTCTGAGCTCAACGGAGGATTGTGCCTGAGAAGAACCCACAGAGGTGAGAAAAAAGTTGTCTTGAAGGTGGGGGTGGGGGGGCTGCTAAACAGACACTGTACAGAGGGAGAAGAGACATAATTTAGCTGTGTTGCTAGTATGATTCCATTTTTAAAGGAGGGGAGGGGGAGAGTCTAGAGCTCTAACTGTTTTTAGTTGCATATGGAAATATCTAAAAAAATATTTAGCATTTTTACTAAGTGCGTTGAGGCCTCTCCAGTGTCCTCCTGGCTGTGGCTGCTTTGTCATTCTCTTTGACTAGCCAGCCATCTACCTTGCTCAGGCCTGGAATAAAAGAAGAACAAGAAGAAGAAAGAAATGAAATGAAAAACAGAAAGAAAAAGGAGAAGAAACATTTGTAAAAGGGTCATCTTCCCATCTGCCTCCCCTCCTTTTCCTTTCATTTTTGGTGGCGGCACAGGAAAGCCCCACTTCCAGTCTGATGAGGAAAGCGACAATCTATCAGGTACAGAACCAGGGGCTGTCTGCGAAGATGGAGGGGAATTATGCTTCGGATTCCTCTGAAATATTGGCCAAAGGCTTCAAAGAATCCGCAGCGGGAGGTGCGGGGGGAATGTCTCTCCCCAGCCCGCACCCAGCCCTTCCCACTTCGTGTCTACCAAATGACAGCCTGGTGCTCGCTCTTGGTGATTTGGCCTTGACTTCAGCCAAGCAGCTGATGCAGACGAAGCCTCCGTTTGCAGGACTGGCAAAGTGCACGCTAAAGAAAGAAGGAAGAAATTTTTCAAAAAGCAGCTCTGGGGAGGTTTCATACTCCCCCCCCCCCCCCGCCTTTTTTTAATTTTTAAGTGAATATTTTCCAAATTTGATCAGTTCCAGCCCCTCCCTCCACTCCCACCCAACTGCCCTTTTTTCTCTCGTCAAAGCATAAGCTACAGAGTTACAGTCTCGAGATTTGGTGTATCGCTTCCTGCCCCCGCCTCCCCTCCCCGCCCCCGTTCTCCGTCCTCTATTGAAACACCTCGCCCAGCCTAGCGCACTGAGAGCTCTCATTTTCCCCCCTTGCTCGGGATGGTGCCACAGGAGGCTGTGCGGGCCCCGCTCCGCTTCGAATGGGTGAGTTCAGAACGCTATTCGTCTTTACACTTCTATAGCCTCCGAATCCTACTTCTTGGTCTTCTCCTTTGAAAACCCGATTTCTATGATTTTTGCATGCGGCATACTTGCCCTGGGGGAAAGAGATGCCTCCTATTTTCTCTTCAGTCATTTGTGCTAGTCGTAAATTAAAGCTTTGAAAAGACACTAAATCCTTATTGTAGACTATGGTTTTAAAAACTTGGGCATTTCTGAGTCTGTGCATATTATTTTCCGTTTTAGTGAACTATTTTGCCCAAATCTTGAAAGAGTTTTCTCTGATGTACTCGTGATCGTATGTGTATGTGCGTGATTGTATATGCGCCCCCAGATACTGCGTATGTGTGTATATATGTATTAGGCTTAAACGGAATCTCAATTTTGTGAAGGAAAGGAGCTTAGAGAAGAAATACCATACCACCTGTTTGTTGCATCTTAGTTATGAACCTCGAACAGAAATTGCCTGTCATTCTTGTTTTGCTTTGCTTTGTCTCAAGAAAGAAAACATTGTTGCGCTCCTCTCAGTCCCTGAGACCCTAACTTGTGATGTTTACCGTTTAAATCCACGGGTTAGGCTCTTGGGAGCTGCGAGTCGTGCTTTTGCATCCTGGAAATTTGGTGGAATTTTATTCTTTAAAGCAAAAACAAAAGAAAAGAAAGTTTGTCTGAGGTGATTGAGTATACCTCTGAGGTTTTCATTGTTAGATGGGATCAGGTGACCAGAGAGTGGCAGCTCCTGGATTTCTGTTAAAGTAGGTATATATTTTGCTTTAATAGCGTGTTGGCTGCTATGTGTATGTATGCATGTTATTGATGCCTGAGGCTTGTGGAACTCATCTGCCTGGTCTATTCCTTGAGAGCAACACGCAGTAGTATACGAGCGTAACAAGAACAGCTCAGTACCTGGTGCTTGACCTCAGAACATCTCAGCTGAAGTCCCAGCATGCCCCATGTCTCCAACTTTCAAACTCCACAGTTAATCTTAAAATTGTGCCCAATTAAAATGGGCATGTGAATATATTATATATTCAGTGTCCACACATGTGTATCATGGATGGCTAGACAGTGAACATACAGACGCAGATAAAGGCAAACTAATAGTTTGGAGTAAAATATTAATAGGTTAAAATTCTATTCTTGCAATTCCACACAAAGGATGGAAGTTATGGTATTAATAAAAATTAAGTTTGTATGACTTTGCAAGATTTTTTAAAAATAAAAGGAGGGATACCACCTCCTTGCTTGGTATCTTTTACAAAATGTTATACTTTATGGATATAAAGGTGATAAAGATTGGAAATAAATCTTCTAAATATGTAAAATGAAAGCAACAGCAACAGCAAACACAATTATCGTATTCTTTGGGAGTAACAAATACTGGTTTTCATTTTAAAACTAAGGAAAATTTTATCAGTACTTAAATTCAATCCAAAAAAGGTTTTATAACACCCAAACTGTACATTTAAAATTATCCTTTCTTAAGGTAATGGCTAGCATTACCTAGTTTGTAGTTTTCTTGAGCTGTAACTTTTTATAACTGAATCATTTCAGTGATTTAGGGCTGTCTCGTAGTTGGGGAAGAGAAACAGTAACTTACCTTTCCTTTGTTGTGAAAAATTCTAGTATAAAATATCATTTAAACAATTTTCGTATTATTGGGCCAACATTTCTCTTCTATGTTTGAAAAACACCTAAATCAACCCCAATCCAAATGCTTTCTTCTTCTAAAGACTTTATATTGGTTGTAGCCTTGTTTTATACATGTAATTGAAGGTTAGGGAAACTGTTCTTTGCCTGTTATTGTTTTTTATTTTAAGTGTTTATTGCAATTTTAGTCATTAATGCCAAATTGCAATCAAGAAACCATTTTGTATCAGAAAATTGAACTGAGAATATGAACTATGCAACGATTGCACCACGTCTTTTGTTGAAACCTCTTGTGTAGTAATATTAGAATATTACTTTCCAGTCTTTGATAGTCCGAATGTGCTTCAAAAAAAATAGTTATTTGATTGTCGAGTCATCGTTAGTTTATATTCAATGGTTTAATGACTTCCCCTACCTTAGCTGATGTGTATGCATAGGTATTTGGAAATTATAGCAAGGCATCTATTTAACTTACGAATCTATATTACCACATTATTCATATCCAACATTTGTAAAACAGTTGGTGCTTTTTGAAGTTAAAATATATCTGCAGTTTACTCTATGAAAATGTATACATGGATCAATAAAAACATGCCAGGTAAAATTCTTCCGTGATTTTCAGTGATAACAGGGTAGTAATTTAATACAAGTGTTTTAATTTGTATTTCAAGGCACTCTCAGGTTTTTACATGTTTTCAAGTGGATTGCTCATGTTCCGAGGTTGCTATCATACAACTGATCACCCAGGCATTTAAAAGTGCATAACGACACAAGATTTTATATTTCAGCAGGCAACTGCTTCAGTCAAGGGCAGGTTTCTCAACACCCCTTCTTCCTCACCGAGCCCATCAGTGAAGTTCAGTGAAATGAATAACATAATTGGTGGTTGGTTCAATCACTACCAGTCTAGACTAGCCCAGACGCATCAATTAGAGGGGGCTGTCTTTTAAAGGGAGAGTGCAACCGAAACAAGCAGGGCATTATTGATACTGATCTTTAAAAGTGCAAATCCAGCTTGGCAGATTAAAAAAAAAAAAATAAGGCGGGGAACTGGGGCGGGGGTGCGTTGCGGGAAGAAAAGAGAAAGAAGTGAACTGGAGCTTTCGGACACAGAAGGACAGGAAGCTTGAGAGAAAAGGAGAGGATAATGAGTGAAATGCAATGCAGCACCTCCTTGGAACACACAGTTACAATTCAGTTCACAGGGCACACTGGCTCACCGTATTTTTAACTAGTTTCTCTCCCCACCTCCTTTTTAAAAATTCCTTTTTTGCCTCTGTTTCCAAAGAAATGCCAGCTCAAAACCAAGGCAGTTGGAATTTAACAGCTCTAGGAAGCTCTAGTGAGAATAAAAGCCAAATAATATGAACCAGCCAAAATTCCTTTTGCAACATTTTTCCCCAAAAGAAAAATACAGAAGATATTTCTTTTCAAGTCTCTAATTCTACCTTTAAAAAATATGTGTACTAATGAACAGTATTCATTTTAAATCTAGAACCTGGGAATATATTACTATAGGCAAGACACCTTTAGGTAAAGAGCTCATAATTTTCCATTGAATACAGTAAAATTATAAAGAATGTAACAAAGGCTTTGGTAATTTGGTAGAGGGGCTTTTTGATGAAAAAAAGACAGATGATTTAGAAAGCGAGGAACACATCAAGCCTCAGGGAAAGAAAATGTTTGATTGGTATTAATTAAAACACTGCTAATATATTCTAATAAAATCAAATTTAACATTCTAAAGTAATCCTCTTGGTATGTCAAAGGAAAAGAAAAGTATTATCTTATTTGCATCTCTGCAATCCAAATGCATTTGCTCATTCAGCAGAATTAATTTTTATCACCAGCCTGTTTTATCTCCTCACAGATTTAGTCAAAGTTATTCTTTCAAACTAGAAAGGATCAGGGTGGGGAATCCATGGAAGGTATTGGAAGACTAGTGACTGTATTTAGTACCGGCTTTATATTTTACGATGTTCTTTCTCTTCATTCGCTGTAATGGGGTGTGGAGGGAAACGGTGAGACCGCAGTGAGAATGATGAACGGTTCATTTTTCCTCTTTCTCTCCTTGTACCTGCCAGATTATTTAAGAATTTCAGCTGCCAAATTATACGAATGCCATTTATTTACGTGACTGGTGTTGGTCTGTTGATTAATGTCTAATGTTTTTCTAATTTCAGACTTTAATTTACCGAAAATTCCTAATGAAAAAGGCTCTTAAGCCAGAAACCAATTGCCTCTTATCGGTTATCCCCAACTGTAGATCTTCTATGAGAAAGTGGGGAAGTGAATGTAAAATTTTATTCACTACAAACTGAGTTCTTTGTTCCTTTATTAAGTCAAAATTTCTCCAGGAAAATTTCATATTTTTATGAAACAGCAAGTTTTATGTTCTTTATTGTTAAACTCTCACAACTGATAAAATTATCCCGAAATGACATAACCAAAATGCTTCTCCTCTCATTAGTCTACCATGACTATGATATCTTATGTAAATATGTGACTAACAAAAAAAAAATGAATGGGCCATAAATACTGAGGACCATATTTGCGTGTTTCCAAAGTGAGGGGTTCTGCGTCCTATCAAGGAGATGTAAACTACTGACTACACTACCGATGATGCTGGCTTTTTGCTCCATTGCCTTTTCAAGTCTTCAACGTAAAAGAGCAATCGCAGTTCGGTTTCACATGTATTGTTCTATAATCCAGGCAATAAATGCTAATTAGTAATGCTCAAGGATCCGACCATTCAGAGTAATTATCATAATTTACTTCTTCCTTGTTAAAGACATTCCTTGCTGATTAGAAAAAAAAAAAAAAAATTAAATCGTCGTTTTACCATTGCACTGCAGTGGAAATGCACTAGAGAGATGTTCAAGGTATAGTAACACTGTTGCGGTTGCATTCCAAGTCACCGACCTGTGCCTCTTAGCTTATTACGAATGGAATTGCCACTTAATTTCTAAGAAGAAATTCATTTAAATGCATAAAGTTTGGCATGTAGACCAGGAATATATGATTTTATTTTACAAACCCCAGGGCTCCACCTTCCCGGCCCACCCTCTTTCTAAAACCACTTACTGAGCAGAACAAAGGAAACAGCTAACTATAGAGGCATCATTAAGTGTGAACTGCAACAGCATGATAAAGTATGTGATATGACAACATATTTTATTGCACAAAAGTGCAGATAATTAAATAATTCTATAGTAACCCTGACTAATTAGCCGAAAGATCTTGAAGGAGGAATCAAGAAAATGGATCCAATCACCTTGAATAATATGCTTCGTTCTCCAAGATCACAAATTTATTTTGGTTATTTGATGATTGATTAACTCATATAGAAAGATGAGGACAAAAGCCTGTTTCTCAAAGCAGAGCTTTGATCTGGTGTCCTCTTTAGGACAAATTAATCCTATGTTTTAGAAGTGCTGAATTTAATGTAGGGCTTTCTGTTTTCAGTCAAAGATATAACCTGCCATTCTGTTGAACATTTCTCTATTATCGAGTGATCTAAGAAATTATCAACCCTTAGCTTCTTATATCGCTGCCTCAAAATATAGATGTAGCCTCGTTCACATTTTCTAATGAGTCTCCTGTTTAAGTTTGTTTCTTATTGCTTGAAGCAAATAAATATCATGGGCACAGAAGGAAGAGAATAAATAACCGTGCTGAATATTATGTATGGTGAAACCCTCCCCCCTTCCTTTATCAAGGTAATATTCCTAGTGTTCATTGTTCATTGGTCCTTTAAGAGAGAGCTTTAGCTTTTACTTGAGGGTTGTAAGCACATTAGAGGAATAATTCCCTTTGGATACTATACAGAAGGAGCCACCTGCAAAATGTTGATGCTGTTATTGAAGTCTCAAGTGGAATCAGCTTTCAAAAAATTAGATATTAGATACATCCGATATAATTTGCAATGTGTAATTATACTAATGTGCATATAGTTGTCTGTTGCTTTACATGTTGCCTACTTGAGTTTTTTTCTTTTCTTGTGCATTTCTCATCATTGAAATGGTTCCTGAGTAGAATCTTTTTAAAATAAGCTTATTTTAAAAAAATTCTTTGTTAATTAATATAGGGATACGAGGACTCTACGATCTGTGTTCTTATGCAAGAATAAATATGTGCGACCTAGATGTTGGAAATTAATTATCTCTGAAAGGGTTATCATTGTGGACACTTGCTTAATTTGTAAAATATTTGCTACTCTTGATTGATTTAGTCTTTTTCTGACTTTAGACAACTTGAAGTAATTGAGAATATTAGTTCCTTTGTTGGAATAACAAAATAGAATGCCAGGGAAATGACCTTAGGCAGAGATAATAATTTTAATTTAACCAAAGTAATCAAAACAATAACAATAATCAGCAATTTCTTTTATTGTTTTTCACTGTTTTGCATGGCACATGTTGAATACTGAAACTCTGCCTTAGGTTATTTGTGCACTAACATCAACTTCCCTTTTAACGTCTTGACATGATGTCCAAGGTCTACTGATGGCCCCACTGGAGAGCCTCCTTCCAGGGAACTGATCCCTGAAGATCTACCTATTAAGGAATAGCCCAGTCAGAGCAACAGCGAGTTGGCTGGTCAGCCTGGTAGTTGGCTCAGTAGGTGAAGAGGCTCTTGATGCAAATTTGGAGAATCATTACCATCAGGTCACAGAAGGACCCCGGGCAAGGCAATACAAGGGTCTCGATTTATGCTTATGTGTTTGGGAGACAAAAAGGATTCCAAGGGAGGCTTATATTGAGATACAAGATATGACTCATTGCAATTGAGTAGGCATAGAGCCCAAAGAAAGCTGATTTGTAGAACAGTTGACTCATAGTAGACACCTAGAATATGGTCATTCACATATTTATACTATCTGTTTCTCAAAATTTGTTTTAATGATGGAGTCCCTATTAGAAAGAGACATTTTGCGTGATGTATAGCTACCTAATACCAAAGCAATACAAGGTTTACTTTTCACCTGCTCATGTATTCAAGGATTTGCCATCATTAGATATCCAAATGAGCCATAAAAAATTGTGCAAAATGTTATTCCTTAATACATAATATTTTAATTTATTAAAAAATGAGTTTTACAAATGAGTATCAAAAGCTTAGCACCCCATCATCCCTGTCAATGTTCACAAAATAATAAATTCTAAAATCTTTAAGATGTATATTTAATTACTCATCCAAGATCAGTTATTGCATGCTTAATCAGAAAAATACCTATTAACGTTTAACACTTAGTTACTTTACAGATTAAAAAACATATTATACCTGCCATCTAGGGAGCCAGCATCCTCGGTGTATCAAAAGTGTTTAGGGCAGAAAGCAGTGATGTGTCATAGTGTACCCCTTTTGGTGTGCCTGACTTATTAGACATCTTCATTGTGTAAGCATGATGAAGAGGCTGATGATAAGGTCTTCAGTTAAAGAAACATCTACCTGAGAAGTATATTTTATTCATAACAACTTTTATAAAAAAAGAGAAACATTAATAACAACTCTTCTCAAATACCCTTATCTTTAAAATGCATGGGTTGGATTAGTTGGGCTCTAAATTCTTTTACAGCTTTAAGAATTTTTGAAGGTATTCTAAAGTATGGAGGCATAGGAACAACTCCAGAACCGGTGGATCTGGAGCTCATTTGTTCCAACAGTCGTCCTTCAAAGTTATATTTGATTCCACCTCCACGTTCTGTATTTACTAACATATTTTGCGTTGATGCTAAAACAGTAAGGACTGGAGTTCACTTTCAGGAAGGGGCAGTAGCAGAAAAGAAGAACAGCTGAAGAATGAAAAAAGCTACACAGTGGGAGAAGCAAATTCTTGATCTGAGTTCTAAGCCCATTTCTCTCAATTAACATTAACATAGAAGAAACCCCGACAAGCACCTGCCTTTCTATTTTAAGACTATATTCTTTAGGCCTGCCTTCATTTAATTTCTTGCAGTATGGTTCGTTTTTTTCCATTGGATTAACTCCTTTGAGTTTCACGTTTTTCCTTCCACTTGATTCATTTGAGTCATCTTAATATTCCTCTCAGAAGCCTACAATAGTTACAGTAACACATCATACTTCCCAAATTAAATCTTAACGTGTTCAAAGCCACCTGGAAATTGCCCTACCCCATTTTCTAAAACCACTCAGAATGTGTAATCTCTTCTTGAATTAAGTGAGCCTGCTTTCTCTGGCTTCTAAGTCATTGAATATGCTCCAGGATATGCTTTTCCTTTCTGCATAATCTGTCCCCCCACCTCTTCTACACTTTGAAAACCTTCTTCTTTATTTCTCTCCTTCCCTCCATCCTTCTCGGTTTTTCTCCTTTCCCCCTTCCTCTCTCTTTTTCTTTCTTTTCTTTCTTTCTCTCTTTCTTTCCTTCCTTTCTTTTTCGTTCTTCTTTTTCCTTCTTCCTTCCTTCATTCCTTCCTTCCATCTTTCCGTCTTTCCCTCTTTCTTTTTTTTTTCTTTTTTTCTTTCCATACCATGTTCTGTGCCATGCGCTGGGAATACAAAGACAAATACAAGGAATTGACAACACCTAACAATTCTAGTGACTTCATTCAGCCCTGCATTCCTAAGCAGTTATGTACCCACAGCTATCTTACTTTGTTTTCACTCCTTGGATTTATTTGAATCTGTCCTCAATGTCATGTGTTCTTTTGTTCTTTCCCTATGTGTCCCATTTTAGTAAGTTCCCTGTTGGATAAACCTGAAGCTTTTCTTACACAGCATTTTCTCCCAGAGCCATTAGAGTGGTGTCTCACACACACTCAGGCAATGCCATTGCTGACTGATTCTTTAGCAAGGGGAACAATGTAAAACAACAGCATTTTTCTAGTGATGCAGCATTTCATCTCTAGTGAGACTTAGCATGGTCCCCAAAGTATCATTACATTTATTTATTATTATTAAAGAGTCAATGTGATAACTTTCTGTGACATGTTCTGTTATTTTTTTAGTTGTGTTGATGTTCCTTTCAGCTGGTCCTATAGTACCCCTCCTCAGGAATGTCTCCCCAGTGCAAGGACAAAGACTGAAGAGACTGCTATATTGATGGACTCTCAAGCCAACTATGAAGTTGAAACAAAGAAAGTGATCACCTGAAGACACCTCCTCTGCTAAGAAACACCCCCAAATTGTGCAGCTTCTGCCACTAGAACTCTCAGAACAAGAGACAATCTTTTCAAGAAACAGAAAAACTCAATAATGACATCTAGATTTTCATGAGCCAAGAACTTTCCCTTCCTCATGTGTATTCCTCTGTTTGTACTTAAATTCATGTGACATTCATTTTTTTCCTAGTATGGATATGCTTATTAATGCACTTGTTTCAAAATCCCAAATTGCACAAATGTGTTAATATTTTAAGAAACAAAATGAATCCTACAAGGAGAATGATTTTTAGCCACACATAGGGTTGGATCTTGAGAGTGACCTACAGAATAAAAGTACTTTTAAAATAAAGTAGTCAGAGGCTATTCAAAGGGTAAAATAATCATAGTACCACATTGGTCCACTTGACACTAACCAATCGATCATTTTTTTTTAATCAAGAAAGCTAGATTCTATCAGATAAAATCACTGCTTCTAAAGAGTTTAAATCTAGTTAGAAAAAGTTATAGAAATGTTTGCAAAGATAAGTAACAGATAGAGTCAGTAGAGGATAAGATCAAAAACAAAACCAAGCAAAAGATGAGTTCAGGGGAGTTTGCCATCAAGTTGGCAAAACTGACTTACTTAGGGAAGAAAGTTATAAAACAGGAAAATATGAGATGAACCTTGAGTGATGTGGAAGATTTAGATAAATGGAAAGGAAGGAGAAAATGGAGTTCTTTAGGTGGTTGTAATTGGAGGAGGAAATGAATACACACATCTTGTTGACTTAAACCCAGACATTCAGCAGCTCTCTATACATATCTGGAAAAGACTGCACAGTCACCTCCTGTCTCTCACCCCAGGTATTACTTAGAATTATTATCATATTTCCCTTCCTTTAAAGTAAGTAAGGGTGATTGGTGACAATATGGAGAACTATGATTTTTCCATTAACCTAATAATAATTGGTATTTATTGAGTTCTGTTAAGCATTTTACATATTAACTCACTTAAGCCTTTCAACAGCCTTGCAAAATAGGTATTATTATCCCCATTTTACAGGCAAGAAAACTGAGGTTTAAGTAACTTGCCGAAGTGCCATATACAGGGCTCACATTCAGTATTGCAGTTGCAAAGCTCATGATCTATAGTGCCAAGTTGCAATATTGTAGTCAATGTCACAATTATTACCCCTTTTTATATTCCTTGATATTTTTCCATGGCAAACAATTAGCTATTTCATTTAATAATCACCTAAAACTTTTCAGTCTTCTGATTAAAATTACGCTGGAGTGATAGAATGTATTTTCATGATAGAAATTGGGAAAAAAAATGGGGAATGAAGTTTATCAGCATTTCAGACTTGTTTTTTTTTTTTTTTTTTGCAAGACTTTGATGAGATTGTTCACTTTTGTCTATGTAAAATCCCAAATCCTTGAGAATAAAAAAGGGGGAGGTTTAAGTCACTTGTTGCAATGCCCTTTTTAATAGAGGCAATAAATCTAAAGGCCATAAATTTAGAGTGACTTACAGAAGATCGAACTTTGGAGTGTGGCAGAGTAAGGGATGGAAACCGGGCCCTCCAGTTCACTATCAGTAGCTTTTGCACTGGTCTGCCCTTCCTAAATTAAGTATGCACTTCAATTTGATGAGTGGAAACAGTCTATCTGGGCAGTAACCAGGGAGCTTTGTGCCTAGTAGATTGCTTCTGTTCTGCACTTCTTTGGTTTCCCACCTCAATGTAAAAAATAGCTAGCAATGAAGTCCAGAAGTTGTCAATGGTTCATCCCCAGAAGAATGCATAATGTCCAAAGTTGTATGTGTATGATGTCTTCAATGGTATTAAGTTATTTCAAATTCTTAGTTCACCTACATAAATCATTTCTAACAAGCATCTTCTTAACCAACTTTATGCACAGTGTATGTTTGTAAGTGCTTCTGCACGAATGTTTATACATGACTGTTTCCATAGTACTTATGTTTTTAAAAATATTCAGTCATTTCCTACTATAATCCTCATGTATCCATGTAACTGACTCAAAAATACTTCAGCCACAGAAAGCTAAAACTGAGCAAATCTCATTCTTCTTTTCCATCCCCTTTGCATGTGGCTGGCATTTAGTAATGATTAATAATATGGCCAGCTGAATAACAGAGGTTTGAGACACAATTCTTTCTCAAAGGAGTCAGCTAAGCTGGGTCTACTTATGGACAAACATCTAAATGTGTGGAAGTATCTGATATTTGACAATGGTAAATTTCCACTTAGCTAGCTAGCATTGTCAGACTTCAATCTCCTCATGGCTCTGGCCGTCCTGTTTTAAGCATGATAATTGTTGGCCACATCTCACATAGTTCTCATTGAGTGAGTTCATAAATAAACAGGGTTTTTTTTTTTTTTTAAAGAGCAGCCAAGCACAAAGTGTGACTTTGTTGACATTTTATGTGACTTTGTCATATGTTCCTAACCCCCAATAAAAGCAATGTTGCATCAACTGTGAATTTGTGTTGATTTCTTGAAAAAGCATGCTCTTATAATTTATTTGTTTTCACTAGTGTATATCAAAGTTAGTTTCAAGATCCACGAGGAACAAGTCAGCTAATGTGATAGGAAAATTTAAATGTGGAGACAACTTCTAAAGGATCCCATGTTACCTTTAAATAAAAGGTACTGTCATCTACCAAGTCAGAAACCAAGGTCTGGTCCTTGTCTCTTCCATCTCCGCCAGCCATGGTCAATCACTCAGGTAATCTTTTGATTTTTTTTCTCTTTCCATTGTTCAAATATGTCTACTTCTCTCCATCTATGCTACTGCATTAAAGAACAACACTCATTTCTCACCTGGACTACAGCACCATGCCTCCAGTTTTCCTCTCCACACTGCCAAGGGGCAGCCGGGGAAATCTCTCTAAACCACGAATATGATTGTATTATTCCATGGCTTCAAACTCTTCACTGGCTTCCCATTGCCCTTGAGATATCGTGACACCTAAAGCCCTTCATGCCCTGATCCTGGCTCCAACAGTCCTCTCTGGACTCATCAACTCTTCAGCCCCTCTGTGATTCTAGGCTCGTGCCATCCACCTGCCTTTTCTTAATGTTCCCTCTATCTTCTGGGCTTTCTCACACACTTCAGCTTCTACCTAGTACTTTCTCCACTACACCTTCCAAACTCCATCCCTCATCCTTCACATCCCATCCTAGAAGTCATTTTCTCTGGAAAGTTTTCACCCCAACCTCTACCAGCGCTAAGACTAGCTTCCCCACCTAGGCGCTTTCATGTCATTCTGAGCTTACCTCGTATTAGCATTTATCTTCCAGTGTTGTGCTCATATTTGAATATGAGATTCTAGAGCTGCACCATTCAACAAGGTAGCCACTCATCATATGTGGCTATTTCAATTTCAATTAATTAATATTAAGTAAAAGTAAAAATTTAGTTCCTCAGTTGCATTGCTCACATCGCAAGTTCTCAATAGCCACATGCAACTGGTGGCCACTCTGTTGAACAGCACAGATATAGAACACATCTATCACTGAGAAACTTCCATTGGATAGTGCCACTCCAGAAGATAAATGCTATGTTTTGCTTGTTATTTTATCCTCCAGACTTGCAGCCCTTTCTTAACTGGGGTTTGCTATGTGAACCACAGAGAACAAAGATATGATTTGAATGCTATTTCCTCAATTCTCCCAAGAATGATATATTAAAAATACAATTTTACATGCAAAGGAAGGAAAATAATTCATCACGGGTAAAGACGCTCAGAGCATTAGGGTTCAATTCTAGCATAAAACCCTGGTCAGGAAAGTCTACGATAGCCTACCACAATGCTTGGCATCAAAAGTACTTCGTAAGTGTCCGCTGAATGAATATCACACCTGGACACATAAAGACAATTAGTTTTCTTAATTTTTACCTAGATGTGTAAAGTCATGTAGGAGACATGTCTTTAGCTTCCAAAGGGCCCCTTCTCTAGAGAATGTGATAGACAATTTTTTAAAATTTCATCCTAAGGATAGGTGAATTGTATTGCAGCAAAATATTACCTATTATTTCACTTTCTTTTGACGTTATACAGACCAAAAAAAGAAGAGAATTGAGCTCTTATTAAGTGAATGAGATGAACATAAAAATGATTAAAGTAGATACAGCCATCTACTTTGATATGCCCTATATCTTTTAGTAATTGGCCAAAGTTTCCTAAAAATATTAACTATTTACTGAGCACCTACTACGTGCTGGGCACTTTGTTCAGGTTTGAGGATACAGGAAGGAACAAGATGGACACAATTCTCACACTCATAATAGATAACATTAATATGATTATTTCAGTTCCTTACTGCACTGTATCCAAAGCATGAGTTTTAAACCCTGGCTGTATATCGTAACCACCTGGGGAGTTTTGAAAATACTGATACCTGGGACAGATTCTGACTTAGTTGGTGTGAGTGTGGCCTAGGAATTTGAATTTTCTAAAGCTCCGCTGGAGATTGGAATGTGCAGGCAAAGTTGAGAACTGTTGACTTACGGGAACATAATCTTAGACTCAGCTCAGAAAATCGAGAGTTTTTGGTATCAATAATTGATAGCATATTAGAAGGAAAACCATCTGTTTAACACAGTTTTGTTTATTCCTCAGAATATAAACTGATACTTAACAGTTACTGAGTTGTCCAGGTCAAACAGCCAGGTCATGATTGAGATAAGACCTGACCCCCAGGTTTCTGATTTTAACACAACACTCTTCCTGCTACACTAACTATCTCAGGGAAATGGAAAATATAATTATTTTCAAATCAAGAGACAACCAATATCCACTGTAGTCATAATTTTTAACAGCAAAATTGAATTTGGACCAATTTGAATCCCATATACTCAAATAATTCTGCTAATCTGCTAATCAAACGTGAAAATGCAGCTCCTTTAAAAATATCCATATATATATGTATATATATATGTATACATATACATATACATATATATACACATATATATGCCCATAACGAGGGTACAGAGGATGCTCATTTCTCCAGGAATCCTGAGCACATTTTTACAAATTCAAAAATCAATATACATATATTAAACTCCACTAGAAGGATATTTTGCCTTTAAACTTGAATAACTCAATAGCAGAAATGGTAGTGGGAAGGCAAAATTAAAAATTGCATTGTGCTCCCACATTATCTGTCCCCACCCAACTTATTATATTCCATTCCATTCCATTTCACATTTCACAGTACAGGTAAAATTGACACTCTGTCCCCATGAGAAAAGTTCATATTAAAAAATAACCACTATAAAAAATAGTTACTTCTCACAGTTACCACCATGCATCGCTTTTAGATTCTACTCATAGATCAAGAGAATCCTGGAACTCTGTCGTCAAATCTGCTCTTCTTCATCCATGTAAAAACCACATAGTGAAAATGTGCCGTTCCATATTTTAAAGGCATCAAAATAAAACTAATGTCCACATGCTTCCTTCAAAATGGATTTCAGTGTTTGAGATTCCACACAGTTGGGAAATTCTTATTTCTATTCCAAATCCCTCACGCTGTAGTTTAATCCCATTTTCTCTTGTTCCCTGTGGAGAGAAAGAACAGCCGGCCTCCATTCTTTTAAACTCAATCCCTTCATGTCCTTAAAGACAACTACCTCCCAGCCTTCTCTTCTCTGGAATAAATAAGAACAGTTCCTATCAGGAAAACGTCTCTCTTGGATTGTGCATATTCCCTGCCATATCACAGATATTCATGCTCATCACATAATGCTCATAGCTAAAACAAGCCAAGGCCAAGAGCAAAAACAAGCAAATGTATCATTGTTTTCATGAATGAAGTTACAGAACCAATAATAGACACTGAATAAATAGTTGAAAATGATGATCTTCCAATAATTGTGTGCCAAAATTATCATAATTTCTTTTACAAGTATTGGCAATGTGTTGCTTTTAGAGAGGTGAATTAAAAATTAAATGATTAGGTTTCAATTTCTTTTATGCAAGTTCTCCCCATGCCCTGCAATGGAATATTCCATTCAGCATTCCACAGCAGGAACCACCATTGCTTTGACAAAAATAGATACAGTATTGGAACATTCAGTCAATGGAGTAATCCAATTGTCTGAACATTCTTTTCTGCTTTGTCATTTACATTTTAATAAATCCCAGAATATGTCAAGCTGTATCCAGTCGTACCAAGTGTAGCTAACCACATGCAGTTACCAGATGCAATGAGGGAATCATAACATGCAACTCCTACAATGAATCAACATTTGGTTTGTGTATATTTTTAGGCTCCTACATTTTAAATAGGGATACTTTTAAAAATGAAAAATAGATATTTTGAAAAATCTGTTAGTATATTGTATATTCAGCTTTTACAAAGGAAGTTGTGGGCAAAGGGTGCACTATTTAATTGATCTAGGAATTCTGGCATCTGCTAACCTCAAGGAAAACACTATATATAGATAACAACAATGTGGAATGTCAAATTATTATTTTATGCGTATTTCTCTGCCAGTTTACTCTCTCTTCATTTAGGAGACTCAGATAAATATATATATAATATACATGATATATCATGTATATTATATATATATATATATATATATTTTTTTTTTTTTTAGACTGAGTCTTGCTCTGTCGCCCAGGCTGGAGTGCAGTGGCATGATCTTGGCTGACTGCAACCTTTGCCTCCTGGGTTCAAGCGATTCTTCTGCCTCAGCCTCCCAAGTAGCTGGGACTACAGGTGTGAGCCACTGCACCCAGCCTCAATTTTTGTATTTTTAGCACAGACAGGGTTTCACCATATTGACCAGGCTGGTCTCGAACTCCTGACCTCATGATCCACCCGCCTCAGGCTCCCAAAGTGCCAGGATTACAGACATGAGTCACCGTGCCCAGCCGATAATCATATTTTAAAGACATTTGACATTTGACATTCCATGATGTCAAGACTTCAGGCAAACCAGTCCTAAAAGATGTGTGTGTGTGTGTGTGTGTGTGGGTTTATTAACTTATATACATAACTTAGTCCATGCATATATCAGCCACCAAGTTTTTCAACACTTTGAGAAGTTGGTTATCCTGGCTTAAAAGATCCTAGTGAATTTTTACTAGGATGATGAAAATAATGATGAAATGAGCCTCAGCGTGTTGGGTTGGGGATCCCTAAGTGGCAGGTACATGCTTAGAAAGGAGGGTTGTCCAAAGATGAAACTATTAAAACTAGTCTCTCCTAGTAAAAATCACATGGGACATTACACTTGGCTCTGGTTATACCCTTTGTACATAACTATCTAAGTCACTTAATTTCCCACATTAGATAAGTGCCATTTTAGGTTTTTTCCTCTCAACTTTCTGATTATTACCCTTTGGGATAATGACTGCCGAAAGTCCCAGGTCATTTACTGACATCAGGTAAATCCAATTAGGGTTAAACTTGTGATATACTCAAGGACTAAAAGGAACCACAAAAAATTTTTTTTGTTTCTTTTCTTGCTGGTGCTTAGAGCAGTGTAAATGCTTGCCACAGGGATTGTGAGCAGTGCACCATGATTATTACAGTACCCAGCATTAGGTATTGTGTTGAGGAGGCTATATCATTGCTTACCAATAGTGGGAGGGAGAAAATTAAAAGTGCAGTAGCACTGTAATACACAAGTATTACAGAGTTTTTCCTTACTCTGCTCATAGTGTGATAACTGGTAGGTTCAGTGGAAAAGTAGGAACGAGCCAATGGTAGAATAATCACACTATCTAGAAAAGGACCTCTGCAACTTATCTTGAAGGCCTCTAGAAAAGGACCTCTGCAACTTCCCCACGCACTTGGAGTAACAGCAACACTTGCTCTCATAAACTACTATCGTGATTGTAGACTATGACTTATTCAACGAACTTGAATTAATAAACTAAGCAATCAACATTAGGGAGAGTTTGGGGAGGAATGTTAGACAGTGAAGGTCAAGAGACACATGTTCAAAGTTTCATTTTCGTGAATCAAAGGGGCTATGTTATAGATCTAACTCTATCGATAATTATTTTCTTTACAATTTCCATAGTAGAGTTAGCTCTTCAGTAAGAAGAGAAACAAGGTAGTTGACTTGTTCTTACTTTACAGAGATGTTGAATGTAAATATGGTATAGTGTTTTGAGAAGGTCTTTAGATTACACACCACTGGCTTTTAAATACCCAGGTTAACAGAGAGGAGCAGGGTGCAGATGTTATAAAAAATGAATATGGTCTTCAGAATATGCCTTAGATGCTCACTTCAGTCAAATTCCCTTTTTAATTCTAGGTTCATAGACTTTCACTGATGAAGAAGCCACAAAGGCCATCTTTTGCTTGAATTTCCTGTTAGCTTATAATGGACCACATTCCTGATCAGCAATTCCATCTTTGGACAACTCAGATCATTTGAATACTTTTTCTTTCTTTCTTTCTTTCTTTCTTTCTTTCTTTCTTTCTTTCTTTCTTTCTTTCTTTCTTTCTTTCTTTCTTTCTTTCCTTCCTTCCTTCCTTCCTTCTTTCTTTCTTTCTTTCTTTCTCTCTTTCTCTCTGTCTCTCTTTCTTTCTTTCTTTCTTTCTTTCTTTCTTTCTTTCTTTCTTTCTTTCTTTCTTTCTTTCTTTCTTTCTTTCTTTCTTTCTAATTGAGACAGAGTCTCGCTTTGTCACCAGGCTGGAGTGCAGTGGCACAAACTCGGCTCACGCAACCTCTGACTCCCTGGTTCAAGCGATTCTTTTGCCTCAGCCTCCCGAGTAGCTGGGATTACAGGCACATACCACCATGCCCAGCTAATTTTCGTTTGTTTGTTTGTTTGTTTGTTTGTTTGTTTGTTTGTTTTTCAGTAGAGATGGGGTTTCACCATGTCGCCCAGGCTGGTCTCAAACTCCTGACCTCAGGTAATCCACCTGCCTCGGCCTCCCAATGTGCTGGGATTACAGGCGTGAGCCACCGTGCCTGCCGAATACTTTTTCTTAATATTGAATCACAAAGGCATCGTCTTTTATTGTTTCTTATTTTAGCCTTAGGAGATATAGTGTAAGTCTATTAAGTCTAGTCTCTCTTCTATTTGTCAGTCTTACAGATATTTCAAAGAAGAAATCATGTTCCGTCCAGAGTCATTTTTCTCTGGGCTGCACACCCTTAGCACTTGCAGTCATTCCTCCCATGGCATTATTTCACATGCCTTCATCATTCTTGTGAGTCTCCACATTCCAGTTGGTTTGGTTGCCTTGTTAAATGTGCTACTCTGGATTGAATGCTTTTTTCTAGATGTGGACTGACAAATGGGAAGAAATGCATGATGATCACCTTTATAAAATTTTTCCCTAAGTACTGGATTTCCAGGAATAAAATTCCTATTAATCTTTTTAGCAACCATCTATCAGTATTGATTCATCTTATCTTACCATCTATTAAAACACTTAAGTCTTTTCTATACATGCTGCTGTCAAACTCTATTTCCCTCATCCTAAAATTCAACTCATCATTCCATCTCCCAATATTTTTTTTATCCTAAGACATCTGCTAAATTAAGATTGTTTTTCAGAGTCATCTTATTCAAATGTTTGACTCAAACTTACCCAAAAGAGATCATAAGAAGCTGAGTCAAGTCACATACTGAAGTTAGGATTCCAAATGTCATTCCCCAAAGCTATCAGTCTAATAACTAACAAAGAAAGAAGTGAAGTTAGTTTTGCATGGTTAGTTTTATTTGTTTGTTTTCATTGGCCTCATATTTACATGTTTTTTTTTTTTTTTTTTTTTTTTCTTAACAACTACTGATGCTAGGAAGAAGCTATCTAGATAAATGATGGATAGCCAGAGAAAGTTGATCTGGGATCAACATTTTGCTTCAGGTAATCAAAAAAGGCAACATTTTGTATGTGAATAATTGAGATTACTATAGTGCATACACTGATGTTTTAAATAACTGGATTTTTCTCTTTCTTGCTATCTTATTGGGTTGATAATTATCCTTACTTGAAAGAGGAGATTTAGGGTAAGTAGAGTAGGAAATCTTCTGTCTATACTATTTATGGATATTAACATGTCTATATATCCTCAAAACTTACCTATCCCACAAAATAAAGTAAAAGTAAATGTGATTCAAAAATATATGTTTTTGGCTTCTCACTATAGTAACAATCCTCTATATAAGGTGGGTATGATCTGGCACCTGTTCAAGGGGCTTATCTACCAAAGTGCCTAAAGAAATTAATAGTAAGGAATTTCAACTCAATTAGAATTCTTTAAATGAATTGAAATTCATGAAAAAGCAGTTTCACAATCTGGCTCCTGAAGACAGAATTCTTAGCAAGGCTCCAATGTACTATGCTGTTGCATGGTGATGTGTATTGGGTCATTGAAAGCACCCTTTTCATTCCTGCCCTCACTCCTGTACTGAGAGTTGGTGATTCTTTCTCTGTATTCCATTTGCTTTTGCCCTTCCTTCTTTCCTTTTTCTCTATCTTTCCTTTTCTCATTGGTATTTCATGTTTCTTTTTTCACTGATTTTCTGAAAAGTCATGGTTCTTTCCACTAATTATGATTTTTTTTTTTTTTTTTTGAGATGGAGTCTCGCCCTTCACCCAGGCTGGAGTGCAATGGCGCAATCTCAGCGCAATGCAACCTCTGCCTCTCGGGTTCAAGCGATTCTCCTGCCTCAGCCTCCTGAGTAGCTGCGATTACAGGCATGCACCACCATGCCCAGCTAATTTTTTGTATCTTTAGTAGAGTTGGGGTTTCACCATGTTGCCTAGGCTGGTCTTGAACCCCTGACCTCATGATCTGCCTGCCTCGGCCTCCCAAAGTGCTGGGATTACAGGCATAAGACACCATGCCCAGCCAATTATGGATTATTTAAGAGCCATTACTGCTTGAATTTGGTGTACATATTTGGCTTTGCTTCTGATGCTACTATTGTTCCCTTAAAACTTCATTTGAGTAAACCAATGTTAAAATTACTTCTAAAACTTCATGTAGGAAGTCATATGGATTCTGTACTCTCCTTGAAGAAAAGGAAGAAAGAAAGAAAGAAAGAAAGAAAGAAAGAAAGAAAGAAAGAAAGAAAGAAAGAAAGAAAGAAAGAAAGAAAAGAGCCCTTTCTAGATGGTTTCTATGCTTTTTCTCCGAGTTACTTGTATACTGTCCTCTTTTGCTATCTGGTTTCTTTCACAGGGGAAAAGATTAAATACTTAAAAGCTGTCCCAACCCTTCTTTTCTGTTTCAATGAGTATCACTATTCACTTTCCCTATTCTCTGCAAGACCACTGCTCCTGTTCACCAAGTGGTTCTTCAACTAGGCTGAGCATCAAAATCACCCTGGAGAGCTGGTAAACCACAGGTTGTTAGAGCCCCTCTAGACTTCCTGATCCAGCAGGTGTGGGATAGAGGCCTGGGATTTACATTTTTTGTAAGTTTCCAGGGGTTGCTGCTGTTGTAGGTCCTGGGACCACACTTTGAGAATCATTGCTCTAATTCCAAACCATGATTTCATCCTTTCTCAAACATTTCTTCCACAGGATAAATAATCCCAGTTCTCTTAATGTTTTTAAAAAATACCATCTATTTCTAGAACTCTTACCATCAGCATAGCTTTTCTTTGAACTGTTTCTGAATCTATCCTTAGCTGGATGGCTAGAACTAGATACAGGGCTGTAGGTAATTCTGGTGTAATAAAAATACAAACTCCTTATATTTTAATGATTTCTCCCAAAGGGTTAGAGCAATACATTTTAATCTATTATTTAGTTTGTCTGCCTAGTATTCATATGATATTATCTCATTTTGGTAAAGGAAATATTTGGGGTAGAATATTGAGCAGGTACCATGAAGACCTGCAGGACAACACTTGAGCCCAGTTTTCCTGACTCCTCGTTCACAAGTCTTTTTTGTGAAGACTTGAATTTTTGGAGGATTTTTGTAAATTTTAAAATCCAAAGTCCAGTTCAGTTCATTGAATCAAGGTGAACTGCTTCAGCCTACTAATACACTGTTTAAAAGGGAGAAATTTGCTTGATTTTGAGTCCAAATTGTTATTGGCTGTGCTTGATTTAAAGAATTCTCTTCAAACAATATGAAAAACTCGAAGTCTTTTATCTAGACTTTTATTTATTTATTTTTATTTTATATTATTTTATTTTATTTTTGAGATGGATTCTCGTTCTGTCACCCAGCTTGGAATGCAATGGCGTGATCTCGGCTAACTGCAACCTCCGCCACCCGGGTTCAAGCCATTCTCCTGTCTCAGCCCCCCGAATAGCTGGGATTACAGGCATGAGCCACCACACCTTGCTAATTTTTGTATTTTTAGTAGAGATGAGGTTTCACCATGTTGGCCAGGCTGGTCTTGAATTCCTAACCTCAACTGATCCACCTGCCTCAGCCTCCCAAAGTACTGGAATTACAGGCGTGAGCCACTGCGCCTCACCCCTAGACCTTTATTTTTATGACCACAGGTAATGTCTTCATACTGTGTGGCTTTTAGTTTACTAAGCATATTAATGTGGGTGCAGTGTGTCCCAAAATTTTACCTCTTGTAGTAAAATAGCCTTCTGTCTCTACAAGTTGATTAAGACATTTTTTCATTGTTTCCAATCTTGCTATTCACAAGATCATTAGGAATTTCTACATTTATCATTTGCTTGACTTTATGTACGTATTTCCACTTGCAAAAATGGAAATAGAGATTAGAGGGAAAGCAGTTTCTCCACCTACCAATTTTATTATTTACTTGATCTCAAAGTCCTTTAGCTCCTTAAGCCCCATGGTCCCCTCTCTGCTTTTCTTACATCCTGTCTTATCTCCCCATCATGAAAAAAAAAATGAAGAGCCTGACAGCTTATAAGGCCATAAAGCTGGATTAGATAGGTTTTTAAGGGTCTTATTGTTTGCCCCTAAACCATTATTGCAAAAGTGAAAGGCTCCAACTGTTCCACTGACATTCAAATTGCCGTCAGCAAGGTATTAGAAGGAATCTCATTTATTACCACCAAGGAAATAAATAACACCAATGGACTGAGTGTCTTTCATCCAAATTAGACTAACCAAATCAATTCAAATCATTAGAATACATTATATCCAATTAAATATAAATCTGCCTTGTAAATAGCCACTTACCTGCTTGCCCAGAGCAATGTAATGCTTTATGCTAAACTAACAGTTTAAGAAATTATAGAATTGACTGGCAAAATATCTTAATGAGTTGTTACATATTTTTATAGTTAATTCATTCAATAAACATTAATTTAGGACATACTATGTCCTGGGAATACAAAGATGAATGATACATAATCCTTGTCATCAAAGAACTCACCTCATTAGGGGAAACAGACATGTAAAGAAATGCTGACCCTTAGTAACATTTAGTCTCTGGAAAATTAACGGTGTGAATTTCTGCCTGATTCAAGCATGGGGGGACAGCAGGAAGATGAAGAGACTAGAGAAAATATCTAGAAGAAAGTAAAAGATGAAAACTTGAGACAGACTGCATAAAGGATTATGTCCAGTGCCTTCCAGTGGACATGGAAATACAGGTTTAAGTTAAGTTGAACATAATGAAGAAGGTGGGCCTGTGTAGGAGTGGTAAACATTGTATTCCAAAGTCAAATAGAAATGACTTTCTGATTATCAAGAAGGTTGAAGTACCTGTGATCCCATTCCATCTGTTCTCACAGATAATTATACCAAATACGCTAAAAACATATTTGCAGGGGAATCACTAGCAATGGGGGAAACATTCACATTCTTTGACTTATGCTTCTATCCCCTAGATAGTCCATTTGCTTAAGTAATAATATGCTCTTTCCTTTATATATCAAGCTTTAACTCACCCACATTTAGGTGAAAACATATGTTAAAGACACACAGGGAGCCACCCACACTTTCCTTAAATAATGGCCCTGTTCTCTTTAAACAATGGCATTTGGTAGGTGGCCAGCTGGACTTAGGCTGGACTATCTGAGATCATGGTACATAGTGAGGACAGACAAGTGTTTGTGCAGTAGAAACTAACTGATCTATACAAGGATTGAATTTACATCTTGAACGCCAAGTCCAAACCAGCTGATTATAGAATCATACTAGGTAAGAAGATTATCTTTTTCATTTTAGGTTTTCAGTATCTTCTTTGAAAAGGCACATTCCCCACTGAATCTCTTAATTGAGATTAAGTGCTGAGTTTGAGAACCCCCACCATGGTGGGTCACCAGGGCCTTTTTTAGACCTTTCAGAGAAAAGAGGTTCTACAGTGAAGTATCAAGTTCATTGAATGTACAACCAGGTTGACTCCAGAAATGAAATAACCTTAAAAGCAATGCTGAGAAAAATGTTATAAGTAGCTTTTGAACCCTAAAAGAAAGTCATATAAAAAACAAGTTACCTTCTTCCTGAGTCATTCATTTTTACCTTTTTAGAAAACTATTTATTTCCATTTTCAGCCCTACTCACCATCCTGCATTGTCCAAGATGTTTTGCAATAATTATAGTCTTATTATTAGCTAATAACCATGAATTCACCTTTTTACCCGATTCTTCAGTTTATACGTTCTGCTCTAGAGAATGTTTAAAATCTTGCTATCAGGTTCTGCATACTGGCATTTCTTGTGTGTGTGCGACCAGCTTTCAATCAGAGCATTGCTGAGTTCTCATTGGCCAATTTTCTTACGGTCTGAATGCCAGTCAGTAATGCCCATTCACAAAAGCATGGGATGAGGCAATCATGCTTGCAGTGAGGAAGTCTCTCTCATGCTTTTTATTTCGTATGTAGCTGATAATCACTTTTTCTTGCATCTGGCTAAATGTCTGACCATGTGAAGTCCCATGAATACTAAAGAGCAAGTGCCCCAAATATGTGCACATTTTTATTGTATAATTGATGCAAGTGACTGCTCTGTGAATAAAATGTTTGCACATACAGTGACTTTGTGTTGGGCCAGGAGCTATTTACTGGGAGCCAGCAGAGGCTCTTTATACAACTGAGGCCCTGGTTGAGCCTCCCTTGTGAAGTTGGACAGAATTTTCTCCAGCATTCTCCCATGTGGTAGTGCTCTGCCTAACCCGTAGCTCTGTCCTGTGTCTCCTGCCCTTAGGGTCTTGAGCTCAGCTCTCTGTACCTGTTAGAGAGTACCTGATAGAGTAACGTTTCTCTAACATATTATTTAATAAGCTGGGGTCCTCCCATGGGTATTAGGGCTTTAATAAAGGAACCTAGAAGACTGACAAGACTTCTCTGCTCAAGGAAGGATTCTCCAATGATTGATTTTTTTTTCTTTGACCCCATGGCAGACTTGCAGGGGTGAAGGGAGGAACCCAAGATAAATCACTCTTATTATATTTTTCAACACAATTTGTCTGGGAAGACTGTTAAGCAGACAAAGCTTATCTTTTGTTCCCGCAGCTCTACTTCCTACTTTGCTCCAATAACCTGGACACTCTATGCCCTTCTGTTTCTGTCACTTGCTTTCAAATCCAAACCCACTGAAGTTCAATTACAGATGTGCCCTGAGACAGGTTCTTGCTCCTGTGTCTCCATCATTATTGTGCCAGCAGAGCGAGAGACATTCATTCCATCCACGCAGGAGGACCAGAAAACATGCTACTTTTGAGGAATGTACATGAGCAAAAGGATACCAATTGGTATCCTAAAAGGTTCACGTGACAATAGAATCATTAATACAGTGTCTCAGAGTTCCAGATGCACCTTCTCCCTTTGCTTTTTAAATACTTAAGATTTTAATCACTGGAATGGAACTTAGAGGTCATCTATACAACTCCACTTGCCGCCTTCTTCTTCAGTGCAACCTTCAGCCGTCCCATTTGTTTTCCTAAGTTCCCCATTTGTTCACCTATGTTTACAAATAGATATCCAGCCCCAGCAAAAGCTGCAGAGAGGCTAGCCCCAACCCCTGGCACTTAATCCCATCTAATGAAAGACCAACTTAGAATTTCCTAAACCAGCTTAGAATTTCCTTTTAGCCAAAATTCTTTCCTTAAATTCTAAATGCAGAAAGTTTAACTACAAACAAAGATATACTTCTCGGTTAAAGGTTTATGGGTTTTATTTGAGCTACTCAGGACTGATATTAGTGGTATACTCACCATTTCCTCCATTTTGCCTTGTGTTTAATTTCTTTACTTCTTCAGATTTATTATTTATTCTTTGAGCTATTTCCTCCCCTCCCCCTGGCCTTATCTCTGTCCTGCTTTATCATGTTCTTCTCCGGGCCATCCTTCTTATTGTCTGCCTACTTTATTTTCCACACACACTGAAAATTACTCCACACACACAGATGCTAGACCACTTCCCACCTTCACAATCCCAGAAACATCTGATTGCAGGGTAAAATGCCTTTAATGGCCATTCTATTCAGTCCCCTGCAGTCAAGTCACTGCTCTGCCTATAAGCAACTGCTATCATCATTCCAAATCTGAACAGAAATATCGACTCCTCAAGAAAGCCTTCTTTGACCTCCTCCCAATTAGATCCTGTCCCTTTGTTTGTGTTCTCATAACTTGCTGTAATGTTTTTCTTTATACCATTCATGGTTTGTAATTATGTATTTCGACAATGATTTGATAAATGCATGCTCCTCCCATAGGACTTCCCTCCAGAGAAGGGAGATGTGTATGGTTTACTCACCACTGCATCCCTACCTCATAGTTCAAGCGTGGCTCATAATAGGAAAAAATAATAATTCACTCTTATTATTATTACTAATACATCTATGATCAGCCTTGTTTTTATTATAAAACCAAACCTGGTGATAGGTCAGGGAGTTACAGATTTGCTTTTTCCTTTACTCACTAATTCATTCATATATTCATTCATATATATTCATATATTCATATATATTGTTATCAAACAAATAACAAAAAATATATATATTTCATGATTGCTGTTTAAACCCCTTTTCAAGCAAACAAGGGTGAAACAGCTAAAAACTCTACCAATAGAAGAAACTTGTAATTGTTTAGGGGATAACAGGCAGATACAGAAACATACATGATTCTAATACAAAATAGAAACTGTTCAGTGCTCAAGAGAGCACTTTGAGCTTGGAGGACTGGAGAAAGATTTACAGAGGAAGCAGCCTTTAGCTGAGACTTGGTGGTTATGGGAAACTTGGACAGATGGAGATGGGAAGAAACAGTGTTCTAGATGGAAGCAAGAGTGAGATCAAAAGCTTGTACCTCTATCTGTAGAAAGTCATGTGCATGTATAGTAAATAGTCAATATCTTAGTAATCTCAAAAGGGAGATGGTGCAGAAACTGAAGACTGAAAGCAGGTCCTGGGAGAAATTGAATGTTGGTCATAGGAGCTTAGATTTTTATTCTTAGGCCAGGGTGGAGTCATTGGAGGCCTTTGAGAATGGTGACCTCATCTGAATTGTGAATTTGGAAAAGTAATTTAGCACCACTGTGTCTCAGGGTTAAGTTGGCTGTTGTGCTAATGTCAGAGACTCCTGTCTCTGATGTTTATTACCTATTCCTTAGTGTCCAAGGGCAGGGACTTTAACCTCTGCTGCTCTGGCCTGAAATCATCTACTAAGTGTCCCTGATATTCACTGCCTGCAGTTTAAAACTCTGCTTATCATTTGCATGTTCTCAACTGACACACTTGATCTTGGTCTCCTTAAATAAATAGACAACTCATAGCACATCTTTCAAGCCAGGTCTTCTTCCTTCTATTTTCAGATGAGGAAACTGAGGCTTGTAAATGGCAGAATTGATTTTCAAACCCAAGTCGTCTGATCCCAGGTCTACAGCTCTTTTCTGTCATAAGTTGACAATCTCTGTTAGCTCTAATGAAGGTTAAAAAATGAATTAATACAAATCAACCCACAATAATGAAAATTTATTGAATCCTTTCTATGTGCAGACCCTGTTCTGAGTGTTTTTATGTGTATCGAATCACTTAATGACCACAAACATTTTGTGAAGTAGGTACTATTGTTATCCCCCTTTTACAGGTGAGGAAATCATGATATGAGAATTTAAATAATGTACCAGTCATACTATTAAGTAGAAGAGCCTGGACAGAAACCCTGGCATCTGATTTTTGAATCTGTGCTTTACTGCTGTGCAACTGCCTCCTAAGTTTAGGGATATACACATGCGAATGCACCTATTCATTTTCCCATATGCAGTGGGTGCTTAATAAATGTTGCCTGAATGTTAGTTTTATCTTTGATTTCAACTGACATTGCGTGCATCCCACTTGTCTTGTGCCTCAGAACAATTTTGCTATCTGTGATTTGTTCTCCAGATGCTCCAACACAGGTGGTCATCCCTAGATTAATGGCTGTACTGCTGTGCGTTTATTTCTGGTCCTTCACCCTCTGCAACCCCAGGGGTCTACATTCACTTTCCATCCTGGTCTTTCCAGTCAAATTCAAACCTGCCCTGTTCTAGTTAATTACAGATGACATTTGCTCTTCTGTGCTTGCAAAAGACATGGTGACATGTCACATACACACTTTTAGGGTCACATACACACTTTTGGGGAATGAATCTTTTATAAACCTATTACCCCTCTACCAGCATTGTATGGGTTTCCAAAGACTATCAGGAAAGATCTTTTGGAATGGCAAGCAACTCACTAAAAATTCATCAAAGCAGTTTAAATTTTTTAAAGAAAAACTAATCGCTGTTGTATATCTACTATGTTATGCTAGGCACTAAGCATTTTCAAATATCATGTTTCTTATTTAGAAATCACAACAATTATGTGAAGAATTATCACTTTATTTTACGGAGAAGAAATCAGGCTCAGAGAAATAAAGGTGCTCATGGTCAGGACTAAGGAGTTGCGGAGCAACAGTACAAATATAGGTGTGTCTGACTTCAAAGTTCGGTCATTTGATTGACAAATATTCATTAAGTGCCTACCATAAGCCAAGTACCTGTTAGGTCCTGGGGATGTGTCAAGAAGCAAGATAGGCATGGCTCCCTCGGTAAAGAGCGCACAATCCAGCAAGAACAGATAACTGCATAAATGATGATGTCAAGTGTGATAAATGCTGGGACAGAAGAAATGCAACTAATATGTCCCTTCTTTGTATTCCAAAGGTAGTAAACAGTGTAAGCTTTAATTTTATTTTTTAGAAATGTACATCACATTTAATAAAGTAATTATTCCCTTCTCTCCAATCTTCAATCTTCACATTCTCTCTCTACTAGGGGAGTTTATTTGAACAACTGAGGATCTTAACACTATGCAATTCACCATGATATCTACTGTTGGAAAATTAAAAAATATAGGTGCGATGTTAGGCCATTAGAAGCTTAGACAGGACTGCCAGTGGTAATTTGCAAGATGTGCTAGAAAAGTTTAGGAAATCCTGTAAGAGGGTCCATTTTGGTAACTAAGCTCCTTTTGCATGAATGGTCAGGAAAACCTTGCTAGCGTGGGATAGTGCTTTGGCAATGGCAGTGGCAGGCTGTGGGCTGTGAGAGGAGCTTGTGCCCCGGTCTTGTTTACAATTTGTCTGAGGCTCCTTGAGCTCAGCCCAGCCAGATGGACTCTTCCTCTCAAATATCAGACCTGATCTCTTCAAATAAAACAGTACAAAGCACATTAAAAGCTTTGATCCAACTGTTCACTTTGCATTTGTGTGTGTTAGGGAAATGGGGACAAAGGAAGGATTTATGAGGCCTTGCTGTGGGTGGCCAGCACAGACACTGGGTACGTTAGAGGGAGGACGGGAGTGCATGCTCTGTGGCGAGGCTCGCTGGACCCATGGCCCTAGCCTGCTCGGACGCCCCCGTGTGCTCATCACCTTCCCGGAAGTTGCTCTGTGGGCCTCTTTCACATTTCAGTCTCCTGGTCATAAAGGGAAAGTTCCTGCAATAGGAGCCCTGACTTGGCTGGTCAATCTTTTTCTCTGCCTCAGGGCGGGTTGGAGTCGGACACCTTTCTTTAGGATTTTTCTGGAAAAGAGGTTTGTCAACATCTCTTGGTGACACTGTCTTCCATTTTCATGACCACATTGTACCCTTGAATCATTTCACATAGAGTAACTTATTTGATTTACATCGTTCCAAAACAGGTGGTTATGTATACGTTCTCTCTCTCTCTCTCTCTCTCTCTCTCACACACACACACACACACACACACACACACACACACACACAGTACAGACATTTCTATTACACATATTAGAAAACTGGGTGTTTGGATTACAGGAAGGAGGAATCTTTAAGTGACTCCTATTATATACCAGACACTTTCAACAGATGATCTCATGAATCCTCTCATTCCCATGAAGTAGATAAGATTTGCCCATTTTAAGGATGAAAACTACTGACACTCAGAGAGTTTAAGAACTCTCTGGTTCATTTGTAACAGATACCTATTATCATATTACCTATTATGAAAACTATGATTACCAAAAGGATGGAGCTAAGATTCAAACTCAAGTATGTTGATTCCGAGGCCTGTTTGGTTTGCTCTTTGGCCTGCAGTTGCAAAGCTGCACCCCTCACAGGACTTTTGTCCTCTAACTTCTAGCTCAGTGTTCTTTGCCTCTACCAAACCTGCGGTGTAAAGGGACAGCAGCTCTCAGAAAATACTCTTTTATGTCTGTTTTCTTTTATTTGTGTTCAGTAGAGACCGAGAAGATCTCACAGGAAAGCTTCAATACAAGTTTTGAGATCAGTAAATGAAAGGAAATTATATGGACAGAATATGCAATATATTGAATGAGGATCCAGGAACCTTCTTATGCTTAGGAATGGGGATATAGCAGAAAATTGCAGCCTTCCTTTTGCTGAATAGAAAAGCAACTCTGATTGCTTAGTAAATACTTTGAGTGAAGTCTATAGAATCCATGAGTGCTAATATAATATTGCCCTCTTATTTCTCAGCTTCAAGTCACCTTGCCTCCCTCACCCCACCCCACCAACCCTGCATCCAGATAAAACTGTTGCACGTTAAGCATTTGGTCTCTGGATAGTTCTGGGATGGGCGCTAGAGAGAAAAGGAATTTAGAAATTCCAATACAAACACAATACATAAAGCTTAATAAATTTCAGTGATTAATGAATTTAAATGCCCCTTTAAAAATCAATTCTTCCTAGATTTCAAAAACAAATGAAGCATTTGGAAAAATAAAGATAAAACATGATTGTTTCATGTTTCTCAAATAGTATTTAAAAATAGCTAGTCAGTGTGTGTGTGTGTGTGTGTGTGAGAGAGAGAGAGGGAAAGACTAGGTACTGTAATTTTAATTGCTTGTAATCTAACTTGCCTTTTTGTTCCTTTTTTCTTCCTTTCTTTCTTTTCTTTTTTTGTATCAGTTAATCTGTTGGTTACATTTTCAGCTTTTCTTTGCTTCTGGTTTCATTTTCAGATGAAAAAATGCTAGGCACACAGTGCTGCTGTCTGGTTGCCATGGCGACCACAGCCTATTATCCTGCCTTGTCATTCATCAAGAAAGAATTACACTTGACAGAGGCAGAGGAAAATGCCTGCAGTCTGCAGCATAGGAGGAAAAAAAGCGTTTCTTGTCTTCTATGTATGTAAAAGGTCTTTAATGCCCATTTAGTTACATGTTTTATTTAGCGTTATTTATTACTTGTAAGGACAATAACTGATACCTGTAAAAATACGTCCCCTCCCTCCTAAAGTATTTAACTTGCAATTTGTCCATTTGCCTTGCTTCCCCGTTTCAGACATATACCTAGTGTCATGCTCCCACCCACCACCACAAACACCGCTTCCACTCCAGCAATAGAAACAACCAAATGATTACATTCTCCACGGAGAATGACCACTGCAAAGGTAGCTAAGAGAGCCAGTTTTTCTTCCAAAAATGTTTTTTTCTAATCAATAGTTCTGTTGACCTGCTATTCTTAAAACTAGTGAGTGCCATACATAATCAATGAATAATTGAATACATTAATAAGTTTTGATTATTTCTCCAAGTGTGCAGTGCCCATGAAGTATAGCATCAAGAAACTAATGCAAAACTGCAGAGATCTTTCCGTGAGATAATTGAATATAAAATCATGATTGCTTTTTACAAATTTGGATTCATCCCAAATCCATTGTTCTTCAAAGGCAGGAAAAGGTAATTACTTGTTATTCAACTATTCCTCATCATGGCTATTTGGATTAACCCAAATTATTTCCAAAAATAAATGGTGTGATAACTTTTGTATGTTTAAATATCTAGGCTTTTTTTTTTAAGTCTGATATTTTCCCACCTCATTATTCAACTCTTACAATGGCTGTATCCAGTGGGCAATTTTAAACAACTTTTCTCTGTGGATTTCTTTGCTTTTCTCCCCTTGAATTGTTTGATTTCCTTGTTAAGATGGAGAATGTGGTCATAAAAGAGGCAGTATTTTAAGTTGAGATGATCCTCTGCGAGTGTTTTTTAAAATATTTCTGTTTGATCTTTTGTCTCAGTGATCAGAGAAAAGGTGGACGGTAACAACACTTCACCTTGAGCTGTTAGAATACCAGCATTTAGCATAACTGATATTTGTTGCAATTAAGCCATGCTACGTTGAGTGCAAATGGGCAACTACAATGAGGACCACTGGACTTCTGAAGTTCAAGTTCTATTCTGTCTGAAGACAATTTCCCTGCCAGAGGTCAAACTTTAGCACACACATGCCAACACAGAAGTCATAGTCCTGCATTGTAAGTGAAACAGAGTTGGACAATTGTCTGGTCAGTTTTGGTTTTGAAATGGTTCAGATTCTAACCTTCCCACTACTTCCTTAATTATCTCAACAATTCTGGCAAGAGGAGGTTTGGGGGTGGAAAAAGATAATTCTAAAAGAATTAAATAATTATAGCTGTCAGGAAATCTGTCCTGGATTTTATATATTCCTGCATAATAATTCAAAATCTCTGGATTTTTGCCGTATCTAAGATAAGTTCTTTTAATGCATACCTCACAGCATCTTTTATACGTCCTTGCAATGTAAACATGTAGAAACCATGGAATGTTTTTCTTTAATCTTGACATTTGGGAGAGCAAAGGAAACAACAAAAAGGAGAAAAGACGTGTTGAGTTTAGAATTGTGGTTATTTCTTATTGGTTCTAAACTTTTACTTTAATGTTGCAGCAACACCACTGTTCATTTCCTGTTAAACTCCAAGCCTACCTTTTGATTTTCAAATGTCCCTTAGGCTAACGTTTTCACTGAGGAACGAAATGAACAGGCAGAAACAATTAAGCGAGCAGATACAGTGAAAACAAACACCACACCGCACTTTCACAGAAATGGAAGTGTATGAAGGAATTCTGCTTGGAATTTGATCCCACAGCAGCAAAGCTTTTGCTTCTTGTCATTTTTCTTCTGCCTACCCCCAGTGCACACCACTTCCCCTGTATGGGGAAAAAAAGATCTAGGCACACAAAGGAACTCCTAAATACTCACAGGCGTGGGAAATATTTTCTCTGCTTGTTACTAGTACAGGATAATCTCCAAGGAAGAAAATCCAGCTAGATATTCTACACTGCAAATGTCTCCCAAAGCCTGTTAAATGTTCACATATGTCTGTATGAAATTTGTAATATGGATTGTTTATATAGTCCTGATTAAGAGCATGAACATCATTAAAAAGGATAAAGTCAGTTTGAGGACGGAAAATTATAATGTCAGCTAAAACGGTTACCTACCAAAAAGTATGGATTTTTTTTTTAACTTAATCATCTGTGGCTCTTTAAAGAAAAAGATACATAAACAGCCAAAAGTGAGTTGTTAAAGAGCCTTCTAAATTCTATCAGGAATTAACAAAGAAGTAATTAACTCTACCACAAACAAATCAGCCATCACATGTTTATAGCATTTTTGTCCCTCTGTGAAAGCTATATCTTCTTTTTTAGTCCCACACTAAGAGATTTTACATTGCAAGAGCTTGGCATTCCTATTTTTGGACTGACTGTGTTAAAACAGGGTGCTATAATACACAAAGGAGACTGCTTACAACATAGCAAGGTAAAGGGGCTTAAGGAAGAGGCATCATTACATCCATTCCGGGAGAATCTATATAATTATCAGATACAATGCTTGTATGATTGATTCAAGTTGAGCTCCGTCTGAATTCAAACTTTATTTCTAAAGACAGTATGCATTTGGAAATTGCCTTGTGAAACCGTCAGAATACAGAAAACACAAAGTTTAAACGTTTTGGATGCCTTCTGTAAGGTAAAGCAGTACCTCAGCAGTGAATCAGGAAGATGGACAGCATCGGTAAGATTATACTGAGCGGAAGGCATGGTTTTTGTTTTTTATTGAATCCATCCCATAGTTATTTTCCTAATAAAACAACTCTTGTAAACCAGGGTCTTTGTATGTTTGTTGTTGTTACAGGAGTTTTTTTTAATACCAGTACAATAGTTTTACTCTACAATAGCGAAGATGGGAAGACAGCTGCTAGTAAACATAAAACTGGTCATATAATGGCATTACAATGGATTTTTTATTTGAGATTCCAGGATGGGGTAAATTTGTTACCCCAGCAAATAGCTGGTTACATGGAAATTGACTTTATATAATAGGGAACATTTCTCTGAAAGAGAAGGCAACTTATATTGGTTAAAGCACTAAACACCAACACACTTCCTCTTTTTTGTCGTTTATTCAAAAACAAAACAAATCAGAACATACCTATGTGGTGTCTAGACATCAGAACTTTCTAGTAAACCATTCTTGAAGGTGTTATAATACCATTCTTGAAGCAATGAAAGGGCACAAATGAATTTTCAGCAGTGCATGGAAGATATAAGTGGAATAGGACAGTTTATCTACCTTATCTGCAGTTATCTACCACTGGCATCACTGAACTAAGAAAACTGAAATCATTTGGTCATCTTGCTTGCCTTTGCAACACAAAAAGATAAATCTAAAATATTCATAGATGTATTTGCATATTTGCCAACACAGTTCATTCTTCTGATTATAGTGCTATATTTGTTAAATGTCTAAATGACCTTACAGGGAAAAAAAAAATAGGTAGCGGTAGCAGCAGGGAAAGTGTAATTAAACATGAAAAACTTCACTAGGATGGGTAGCACTAAACTTTGAAACTAGTCACCACTACAATTTGCAATTCTCTTTTGCTAGCGGTCCATTGTGGCCCCCCAAAAGAGGCTCCCAGAACCTGTGAATGTGACCTTGTTTGGAAAAATGTCTTTGCAGATACAGTTAAGCTAATGATCTCGAGAGGATATCGTCCTGGATAAGGGTGGAGCCTACGCCCAAAAACAAGATTACCTGAAAGAGAAAAGAAAGGGGGAAAACACACAGAGATACAGTCGGGGAGGCCACATGAAGATGGAGGCAGAGACAGGAGTGATGAGCCTGCAAGCCAAGGAATGCCAAGGGCTGCCAGCAGCCATGAGAAGCTGAGAGACACAGAGAACGAGTCCTCTGCCAGAGCCTCCAGAAGGAACTAACCCTGTCAATACCTTGATTTCGGACTTCTGGACTCCAGAACTGTGAGAGAATATATTTCTGTTGTTTTAAGCCATTCAGTTTGTAGTAATTGGTTACAATAGCCATGGGAAGCTAACATAGGGTCCTTCAACAATCAAAGCAAAAAAGAGGACCTATTAGCACATGGAGTGCAAAGGAGGAAGGAATGACTGAGCTGTTTGAAAGTGCAGCGGGATGTCATGGGCAACCAGAACTCAGGTCCAAATTCTGCCAGAACTCTCCCTCTGTGTTAGTCTATTCTCACACTGCTAATAAAGACATACCTGAGACTGGCTGATTTATAAAGGAAAGAGGTTCAATTGACTCACAGTTCTGCAGGGCTGCGGGGGGGACTCAGGAAACTTACAATCATGACAAAAGTGGAAGCAAACACATCCTTCTTCACATGGCAGCAAGGAGAAGTGCCGAGCCAAAGGAGGAAAAGCCCCTTATAAAACCATCAGATTTCATGAGAACTCACTCACTATCATGAGCACAGCAGCATGGGGATAACTGCCCCCACGATTCAATTACCTCCCACCAGGTCCCTACCAAGACACGTGGAGATTATGGGAATTACAATTCAAAATGAGATTTGGGTGGGGACACAGCCAAACCATATCGGTCTCTTTCCTCTCTGCTTCACTGTCATTGAAAACTGGCATTCTTCACTTGGCAGCAAACATTGCTGCTAACATCTTTTGAGTTTTTTATTGTATGGCTTCAATCATCTCAGACATACTAACTTCCTTTCATATTTCCAAATTATCTGAAAGAATCTTACTTTCCTAATTTGGGTCATGTCTCACCCTGAACTAACCAACAGAGGCTAAGCTGCCAGGATCTTATAAAATATGACAGCTCCTAAGGAAACCACTTGAATGAGTGGAGGTGCTGGGCACCCAGGAGTCCATCACATGGGATCTTTTCTGTCTGTGATATGATAGCCATTTTTTTAAGGACAACAGTGTGGCATTTGCAAAGACATTTGTTTTGTGGACAAGACATGCAAGTGAATCTGAGCTCTGCCATTTACTGGAAGTGTGACATTAGCAAGTCACTTGGCCTTTCTGAGCTTTCTTATCTTGTAAAAAATGAGGATAGATTGTTTGATAAACACTCTACACCTAGAAGGATCTCAATAATGTTTGTTAATAATGGTCATAGAAGTATAGAACTTAAATGGACCTTAAAGACAGACAAGGTTAATCACCTTATTTTTGCAGATGAGATTTCAGAATTTAAGTTGGTGAGAAAACCAGGACAAGAATTTAGGTTACTTAACTACCAGATTAGTGTTTCTTTGTTATTTTATATGATCTGCCCCCATCCCTGTGGATATAAAATAAGGTCTCATCTGAAAGGTGTTATTCAACTAAAGAAAAAGCAGCTTTCTTAGAACAGACACTGATATTAGGCTTTAGATTAGATATTAACACAGGGATAAAGGTGTCAAAAAAGAAAGACCAAAGAATTGTGTTGGGAGTTAAAACGTGAAGGACACAGTCAAGTGCCTGCAAAATCTTGCCATTTTTGAGCCTATAAACAGTAATTACTTTGAGACAGCATTCACACAAATAAACTATGATGGGTTCAGACCCCTCTGATTATTAAGCCATCTTGTTTACATCCCTCTATCCTGTGTTTCTTTTCCTTTGGCTATCCTTATTATATAAATAAAAACAGTTAGGAAGAGCCTATTTGCGTCAGTTTGACAATGAGAAAATCAGGAGAAAGGTTTTTCCTTCTTTGGGCCAAGCTTTGGTCCTTGTAAGAACAATTGCTAATATGTCTAGTGACTATAGTTCTGATCATTTTTATGCTTATAAAAGCCTGATGCTGAATGCCTATGTTTTAAAATTTTTATAAGATCAACTTTGCTTTCAGATAACCCTCCTTCCTCCACCTCACAAAAACTCACAAGCTGCAACCCTTCTGATGTCCACTCCCACACAAACCAGCTTCAGGCCTTTTTCAAGGTAAAGTGCCATATTTATTGTAGCATTTATGAACTTCCTAATCGCATAACATGTGTAAAACTGCACTAGTGTTTTTATTAGGCTCCTACATATTTTTATGTGTCACTGATGAAGTGTTTGAATGTTTTGCCCAGTCTCATTTTTGTGCTAAACCTTATGATGTGACTTTTATTGCATGATTTTATGTGGCAATGGCGATTTTTAGGAATGCATATTTCATATTAGGGTAGAATTGACTGTATCTTGTTGGGATATGGGTTATGTAAGCAAATTCAATAGCCAAATATAATCATACTGTAACCCCTAAAATCTGCATTTTGCAACAGGTAAATGATAACTCAATAATAATTAAATCAATATTAATAATTTCTTTCTGCTTAAGGTTTACATCTTAACTGTATATTTGCCCATGATTGCTTATGCATTTCATTTTACTTCTCGGTGAGTAGCAAACTACTCACAGTTCCCTGGATGTGCCAAGTTCTCTTATGGCTCTTAGAACTCAACGTTACTTTTATTAAATTCTCACTTTCCGTCTTTGCCAGATTAATTTCTACTAATCATTTAGACTTTGGTTAAAATATCACTTCTTTCAGGAAGTCTTCCTGGCTATTATTTCCTCCTCAGTTTGGTTAAATGCCTCTTATACGTGCTCTCACAGCATTTTGTGCTTAGCTTTATCATAGTTTTTGCTACATTTGGAAGGAATTATTTGTCATTGCTTTTAGATCCCAACTTTCAAGTTAAGAGCTATGCATTTTAATCCCAAATCTCCATGCCTAGGTCAGTGCTGGCATGAAACAGACTCACAGAGTAATATTATCTGAAAATTATCTAAATAAATTAATGAAGATACTATTTCTTGAGCTAGTTTATTAGTTTCCTATTTCTAATTAACAAAAATGAACACAAGTTTAGTGGATTAAAACAACAGAAACTTATTATCTTACAGTTCTAGAGGTCAGAATTCTGACATGGATCTCACTGGGCTGAAATCAAGCTGTTGGCATGGCTCCATTTCTTCTGGAAACTCTAGTGAGAAATTCATTTTCTTGCCCTTTTCAGCGTCTAGAGGCCACACCTTGTTCAGAATTAATAGATCATATAGGTGTAAATTTATTTTCAACTTTCAGTTCTTGTCTGGTGGAAGAAGGTGGGTTATCTGAAATGAGACAGAGTAACACCAGATGAGGTTGTGTTTGACTCATAATACACGGGTGGATGTGGGTGAACTGAGCAGCTGGTAGATGTTTGCGGTGTGTTTGTGTGGTTCATTAATCTATTCGTTCATCTTTACAGCAATACCACACTTTTCCAATTTCTATACTTTTTTTGTTTTTATGATATTGTAAATGGTATGTTTATAGTTTCATTTTTCAAGTTTTGATTGCTAGTATGCAGTAAAGCAATTGACTTTTGTATGTAAACATTGTATTCTGTGATAATACTAAATCAGCTTATTAGGATTTTTTTAAAGACTCCTTAGAATTTTCTATATATTATGTCACCAGTAATTCAAAAGAGTTTTGCTCTTTTCTTTTCGGTCCTTATGCATTTTGTTTATTTATATTGTCCTATTTTACTGGCTGGGGACCTCTAGTACAAGGATGAATAAGAGTGCTAAGAATGGACATCCTTGCTTTGTTTCCTAAGGGAAAAGCATTCAGTATTTTATAATTAAATATAGTATTATTTCTATTTGTAAAAAATAAGTGGACTTTATCAGATTGAGAAAATTTTCTTTTATATCTAATTTTCTGGTGGTTACTATTATTGTTACTGCTATCATTATAGTTGGCTGTTGAATTTCATCAAATGCTTTTTCTTCAACTAATGAGATAATCAAGTGATTTTTCATTATTTTATCCTGCCAATATGTTTACTAACATTCATTTTATTTTGAGTGTTAAAACAGCTTTGGATTTCTGGTATAATCCCACTAGGTCATGATGTATTCGCCTTTTTATGTATTCCTGGATTTGGGCTGATCATATTTTCTTGAGGACTTCTGTATCTGTGTTATTGAAAGGTATTAATCTGTACCTTTCTTTTTTTGTAATGTATGTGAATGGCTTGGTATCAAGTTAACACTGGCCTCATAAAATGAATTGGGAAGTGTTCCTTTCTTTTATATTTTTGAAAGAGTTTAAATGCAATTTGTATTATTTCTTTCTTAATTGATAGGCTTTACCAGTGAAGCCATCTAAGTTTGGAGTTTTCTTGTGGAAAGGTTTTAAAATTATGAATAAATTTGTTAATAGATATAGGGCTATTCTGATTTTTTATTTCTTCTTGTGTTAAGTTTAATTGTATTCTTCAAGAGACTTGTTCTTTTAATGTAAATTGCCAAATTTTTACTCACAAAGTTGTTAATAGTATTCACTTACTGTGTTTCTGGTTTGAATAATCTGTAATAATATTTCCTTTTTCATTTGTAATATTGATAATTTATATTTTCTCTTTTTTCTTAATGAGTATAGCTAGGAGGTATCAATTTTATTAATCTTTTAAAAGAATTAACTTTTTTTAGTTTTTCAATTATTTGTCAATTTTCTATTTAAGAAATATCTGCTCTTATCCTTATTATTTCCCTCCTCATTTTTACTTTGGGTTGATTTATCCTGATTTTTCTAGTTCCTTATGGCAGACTCTTAGATCACCGTTTTTAAACCATTCTTTTTTCCTAATGTAAATATTTAAAACCTTGTTTCTTTCTGCTTTAACTTCATCTTACAAATTTTGATATGTCATATTTTTATTTCATTTAGTTCAAAATATTTTCTAATTTCCTTTTAATTTTGTATCTGACCTATGTCTTAGTAAGCATTTTAATTAATTTCCAGATATTGAAAGATTTTTCAAATACATTTTGCAATTGATTCTTAATTTAATCCTGTTGTGGTCAGAGAACATTCTCTAAATGATTTAAATTATTTTAAACATATTGAGATTTGTCTTATGGCCTAGCACAAGGTTTATCTTGGTGAATGTTTTATGAACACTTGAAAAGAATGTGGATTTTCTGATTGTTGGGAAGAGTGTTTTATAAACATACTTAGAATTGTGTTTGTTGATAGGATGATTCAAACCTTCTATATGATTATTGATTTTATGTCTAGTTATTCTGTCAACTGAGATAAGAGTGTGAAAACCTCCAAATGTAATTTTGAATTTGTCTATTTCTCTTTTTTGTTCTATTTATTTATGCTTCATGAATTTTGATGCTCTGTTATTAGATGCATGCACTGTTATGATTACTGTGGCTTCTTTATGATTTGACACTTTTATCATTATGAAATATCCCTCTTTATCTCTGGTAAAACTAATTTTCCTGAAGTCTTCTTTGTCTAATATAATTAGAGCTACTCCATCATTCTTAGAATTAGTGTTTTCATAGTATACCTTTCTCCAATCATTTTCATTTCTAAGCTAAATGTGTCTTTACATTATATGTGAGTCTCTTGTAAATAGCACATATTTGGTGATGCTTTTTAATAAGGTCTCACAGTTTCACCTTTTAGTAAAATATTTGGTTCATTTACATTTAATATGTTTATTAAAATAGTTGGACTAAAGACTTCCATATTGCTATTTGTTTTATATTTTTCCCATATGTATTTTATTCTTTTTTCCCCTCTTTTCTGACTAATTTTAGATTATTTTTTACTATTCCATTTTACATCTCCTATTGGTTATATATATATATATATATATATATATATATATATATCACTGTATTTATTTTTTAATGTTATTTTTAATGGTTGTTACAGGACTTACATATGGATCTTTTACTTATCATAGTCTGCCTTGCATTAATACTATCCCACTGTTTGTAAAACACAAGGAAATTAAAAGTTTCCCCTCCTGTACTTTTTTCTATTTTTGTCACACATTTAACTTCTACATGTTTAAAGAAACCTCACAATTCATTGGTATTATTTTTTCCTTAAACAATGAATTATCTTTCAAAAAATTAAAAAACAAAAACATATTATATATTTACCTATCTAATGGCTATTCCAAGCGCTTTTTATTCCTTTATGAACTGAATTTCCATCTGAAATTATTTTCCTTCAACCTTAAAAGTTTCCTTTGACATTTTTTGTAACGCAGGCCAGCTGGTGACAAATTTTTAGTTTTTTATTAATTGTTTTGGTCAAAAAAATAATGTATCATGAAGACTCAGGCACTAAAATATGTCAAAATTTTCTAGCTAATATTCAAAGAAAACTGTCTAACATCCAATCATGTGTAATTTTACTGAGAAAAATAAATGAAGAAAGCAGAAAAAAAGTAGTTTTATTTTCTCTTCATTTTGGAGGAGTAGTTTTCACTGGATATTGATTGTTGACAGTTTCCTTCTAGCACTTAAAAATTGTCCTTCTATTGTCTTTTCACCTGCATTGTTTTTAATGAGAAGTCAGTAGTTTTTCTTATGATTGTTTTTGCTGTGTGTAATATGTCTATTTTCTCTGTCTTCTTTTAATAGTTTTCTTACTATTACTGACTTTCAGCTAATGAGTGATGATATGCTTTGGAGTTATTTTCTACAGATTTTTCCTTCTTGGAATTTATTAAGCTTTTTTGGATCTCTGAGTGTATAGTTTTTATCAAATTTAGAAAATCTTCAACCACCATTGTTTCAAACATTTTTCTGCTCTCCCCCTCTTGTCTCTCCCTCTAGTATGCCAATTCCATGCATGTAATTAGATATTGTCACAGGTCATTGAGGCTCAGTTAATTTTTTCAGTCCACTTAACTCTCTGCTTCAGTTTGACTCATTTCTATTTTTCTGTTCACATTCACTCATCTTTTCTTTTGCTGTTAAACTCATCCAGGGAAATTTTCATTTCATGTATTTTTTAGAGGGGGGAACAAAGTTCTATGATTTATTTTTTATTCTTCTATTTTATTGCATTATTTTATTTTATTTTATTTTATTTTTAGAGATGACATCTTGCTATGTTGACCAGGTTGGTCTGAAACTCCTGGCCTCAAGTGATCCTCCCAGTTTGGCCTCCCAAAGTGCTGAAAATATAGGTGTGAGCCACCACACCCAGCTGAGGATTTCTTTTTTCTTTTATGTTCTTTTATAAAATTTCCATTCTCCATTCTGTTTCTCTACTTGTTTCCTCACTTTATTCACATTTCCCTTTAAATCTTTAACATAGTAATAGTAGTTGTTTTAAAGCTATTTTCTATTAATTCCATTATCTCTTTCTTTTCTGAGTTTGTTTCTATTCTGCTGCGGTCTTTACACATCAAGTAATTCCTGATTTTGTGCTGAACGTTATAGTTCCTATGGTGTCTGATTTTAGTCTCCTTCTTAATAAAGTGTTAAGTTTTGTTCCAGAAAGCAGTTAAATTAAACCATCTTGATTCTTTTGATCCTTAGTAAAATTTTGTTAGAGCAGCCCTAGAGTAGCCTTTACTCTAGGGATAAATTTTTCCTTCTAAGGCATGGCCTTTCTGGACTCTACTAAGAACTGTGGGTGTTTAGAGAGGTCTCTGCTCTCTAATTGGTTGGAACTTAAATGTCTCTCAGCCTGTGCAGGCTATAGTACTTGTTCTATTCACAGCTCCTCAGTAGTTTTTCTTCCTGTAGTAGCTGTCTTTGCTCAGTAGTTGTTCTATGCTGGACCTCATATTTTCTTGGCTTGCCCATGTGAAGCTGTGTTTCCCGTCAAACACTCAAGGGTCCTCATTATAGATTTCTGAAGCTCCTGCTCTGTACAGCTCCCTTTTATTTGGACCCTGACTCATACATTCTAGCAAATACTGGAGCTCCAAATTCTGTTCTCTTTCCCCTTAGCCCAAAAAATTACCACTGTGCTCTGGGTTTCCTCTCCTTCCACTGCAGTTCAGAAAATGCCTCCAAACAGAAAGCCAGGGAGATTGTTGAGCTAACTTTTTTTAGTTTTCTTTATGCAGTAACCACTATTTTGCATTGCCTGTCGTACAACATCTTAAAATGGTTATTTCATATACTTTGTCCAATTTTATAGCTATTTATGACAGGAAAATTAGTTGTGTATCAGTTACTCTGTCATCACTGGTAAGCAGGTATTTTAATGCAAACCATTTTAGTTGTCAAGTTCTTTGAAGAATAGGTCTGGATGCTTTTCTTCATAATCAGACATACCACCTTAGTAATTGCACTCCAGTAAGTTTGTTGTACATATGTAAGTTAGTTTTAATGTATGTATATAAATGTGTGTGTGTAGAACATAATGAGGTTTCAGTAATCACATGAGGTAGCAGTCATTTACTTTTATGCACGCAACTTCCTTGTCAATTTCATGTTTTATGTCAGTTTTCCTAGTTTGGATCTTACTTAGCCCTGTGAGAACTGTAGCTAGAGGAACCAAAATGAAAGCACACTTTTTCTATTTTCTTTTAATTCTAAACTACATTACTTTTTAAAGTGTTATTCACCCAAGGTAAAGAATAATTCCGTTGGTGAGAGAGCTAACTAGAGTCAATTATACCGTATTAGACTTGGCAGACTTTACATGAACTGCAATGTAAAAGTAGGTTTGTTCTCCGTATTCATACGGTTGATTTGGAAAGAACATTGTTCACAGTATTTGTGAGATGTCAAACGTACTGTTCAAGTCAATGGAACAAAAATGGGTCTATGATTCACATGTAGTTTTATTCAAATAGTAAAAATGTATGTACATTAACTTGTAAACAAAAATGTGTTCGTAAATTTAAGCCAAATTTTATCTGGTACTATTTTGAACTTGATTTCTATAGTACAGATACACATAGCAGTTTGCCTTAAGAGTTCCTCTAGTGTACATTGTAATTAGGCTTTGTACATGTGGAGTCCCTAGTAACACCCTGGTAGACATGATCAAAACCAAGGTTGCAAATGTATAGACTTCTGTGATAATATAAATACAAATATTTATCGGGTGTCATTTATGTTTCTACTCCCTCAACAGATGCATTTTGAGTACCAGGTACTGTGTTAGGTGCTGGAAAAAAACATGATTTTAGGTACATTGTAGAATGTGTTTTAGAGAAAGCCTGTGTCTTATCAAGATGTAAATATAAATAACTATTTTCACTATTTACACACTGCATAAACCAAGAATTTGAAAACCCATCTTCCTAACCTCCTATTTCAGGAACACAAAGCCATCATTCATCCCCCACACACACACAAAAATCATCTAGCCCATGAGAATTTCCTCTTTCAAAAAATTAAAGCAGCATTGGTAGTAGTCATTACTACGTTTTATACCTGCTAACCTTAAGATCAATCTCAGCTGCAAGTAAACGCCTGTGGGTTAGGTTTCTTCTTTTTTTAACTTGTGGTTCTTTTTTGTTTGTTTTGTTTGATTTTGTTTTTAGGTCATAATTTCCTTGGCCTAAGTAAAGGATGAAGGAGTTTGCTACTTGGGAATCTTTTTTCTTAATGCTACATGGAATCAGTCTCAGTTTCTACATAGCTTCTAAGAATTGTTAAGAGCTAAGATAATTTTCTATTGTAGTGGTAATGTATTACATCATATACAATAGAAGATCTCTGAGTGATAGTCTACAGGATTCTCATCAGATGCATCTGTTAATTAGTTAATTTTTCTAAGGCATTTTCAAAATTGAAGAAAGAAGATAATTCATTTTTAGCAGCATTGGAGTCTCTTTCTTCATGCAGACTGGAAGTATACTTTGAATCACAGTCATAGATTTTATTGCAGCCGGCACGTGAAGCTTGTATGAGAAGCAAGTGCAGATCAATTTTTGTGATTCTCATCTAAAAATACATAAAGCCCAGGTTGTACTCTGGAGATTAACTAGCTTTATCAATAGCAAATGGCTTCCTTCACCTGAGATTAGTGAGAATTCAGACTTGGTCAAGCTACTTTTATATCTGTCCTGCATGGCACTTTCAATAGATAGTATCTTACCAAAAAATATAGATGTGTCCTTGGTATTTAACATTTTTGAAGAGAAATTGCATCCAGACATTTTAAATATAAAAACTGTTAAGTGTATTAAATATAACAACTATAGATATACTATGTATTGCATATTCTTTTCTTTCTCCTGAAATAAATCTTTGATATCTGAGGATGTGTGTATGTAATTAAAAATGGCTGCAGACACACAGACACACACACACACACACACACATACACACAGACACACACACAAATATAAATCTAAGGATTTTTAAATTCTATTACAGTTTTTTTTACCCATGAAGCTACAAATGTCCAAGCTATGTCATATCAAAATGAAAGAAATGCAACTTATCAAAAAGTAAAAGGTTTTAGTAATCAATTTCATTCATGAAATTTTATTTGGCTGATTTTTTTACAATATGACCAATTGTTTTGACATGATATAGACATTTTGAAGAAATGTGTTTGCTTGTAATTGTTAAATGATTAACTTTGTATGTAACCTATGTTAATTTTATATTTTAAAAAATTCTGGATTCTTAAAAGTTGTTATTTATCCAACTCCAGCATAAGAACTTTATTTGAAATCAGCTACAGCAGAATGATGCCACACAATTCTTTAGTCTTGAAAGGACAGCTAACAACAGAATTATTTCATTTTAATGCAAGGAGGAGAGTTTCTCAGAGACAGATGGAGTTCCGTAGAGACCCTCAATGGGTAAGGTCTACTTAGGAATTTAAAAATAAAAATAACAAAAGGGATATTTTCTTCAGAATAACTGAGAAAAATAAAGCTACTTTCTATGAAATCAAAGGAAAGAGCAGGTTAAAAAACATACTAACATAGGATTATTAATCAGATTTTGTTTAAAAACTACCTGAGCTTAGCATTGTGAGAGAGTCACACTAAAGTTATTCATAAACACACAAAAAAGGTACACTTTCTGTGTTTTATTCATATTTCATTTGTTTAATATTTTAGTGTTTTTAAAATATCAATGTATTTTGATAATATGTTTTAATTTTAAAAGAATATTACATAGGTTAAATTATATACTAATCTATTTAGTATCTTCAGTCTACTTGGAAACTATGAACAAGAAAAAGTGGTTGTTTTAGGGCCCCTTCACTTTAATCCTCAACTTGTGATGAATGGTGTCCAAGTAGACTCATAATTTTTTATGTAACCACTATCATACAAATAGTATCTTTAAGCAATAGTTTTTTAAAAATTTTAATTTTTTTATTTTTAGGAGCTTTCCAATAGTGTTAAAGAAGTAATGACTGTCATTAGTATTTGTGGATTTTCATGTATGGTGGAGGGTAACTAGTTATCCTGATTTGCCTGGGCCTGAAGGGTTTCCTGGAATGTGAGGCTTGCAGTGCTAAAATGGGAAGAGTCCCAGGCAAATCAGGACAGGTAATCCCCCTAAATGACAGACACTGACTTAAGTGGCTAATACAAGTACAGCTAACATTTATTGAAGTCTTAAATGTCAGCCATTTAAGACTCAGGGGCTAAGCACATTGGCTCTTTTTTTAATTGTTATTTTTTTATTATACTTTCAGTTTTAGGGTACATGTGCACAACGTGCAGGTTTGTTACATATGTTTACATGTGCCATGTTGTTGTGCTGCACCCATTAACTCGTCATTTAGCATTAGGTATATCTCCTAATGCTATCCCTCCCCGCTACCCCCACCCCACAACAGGCCCCCGTGTGTGATGTTCCCCTTCCTGTGTCCATGTGTTCTCATTGTTCAATTCCCACCTATGAGTGAGAACATGCGGCGTTTGGTTTTTTGTCCTTGTGATAGTTTGCTGAGAATGATGGTTTCCAGCTTCATCCATGTCCCTACAAAGGACATAAACTCATCATTTTTTATGGCTGCATAGTATTCCATGGTGTATATGTGCCACATTTTCTTAATCCAGTCTATCATTGCTGGCCATTTATGTTGGTTCCAAGTCTTTGCTATTGTGACTAGTGCTGCAATAAACATATGTGTGCATGTGTCTTTATAGCAGCATGATTTATAATCCTTTGGGTATATACTCAGTAATGGGATGGCTGGGTCAAATGGTATTTCTAGTTCTAGATCCTCGAGGAATCGCCACACTGTCTTCCACAATGGTTGAACTAGTTTACAGTCCCACCAACAGTGTAAAAGTGTTCCTATTTCTCCACCTCCTCTCCAGGACGCGTTGTTTCCTGACTTTTTAATGATCGCCATTCTAACTGGTGTGAGATGGTATCTCATTGTGGTTTTGATTTGCATTTCTCTGATGGCCAGTGATGATGAGCATTTTTTCATGTGTCTTTTGGCTTCATAAATGTCTTCTTTGGAGAAGTGTCTGTTCATACCCTTTGCCCAGTTTTTGATGGGGTTGTTTGTTTTTTTCTTGTAAATTTGTTTGAGTTCATTGTAGATTCTGGATATTAGCCCTTGGTCAGATGAGTAGATTGCAAAAATTTTCTCCCATTCTGTAGGTTGCCTGTTCACTCTGATGGTAGTTCCTTTTGCTGTGCAGAAGCTCTTTAGTTTAATTAGATCCCATTTGTCAATTTTGGCTTTTGTTGCCATTGCTTTTGGTGTTTTAGTCATGAAGTCCTTGCCCATGTCTATGTCCTGAATGGTATTGCCTAGGTTTTCTTCTAGGGTTTTTATGGTTTTAGGTCTAACATTCAAGTCTTTAATCCATCCTGAATTAATTTTTCTATAAGGTGTAAGGAAGGGATCCAGTTTCAGCTTTGTACATATGGCTAGCCAGTTTTCCCAGCACCATTTATTAAATAGGGAATCCTTTCCCCATTTCTTCTTTTTGTCAGGTTTGTCAAAGATCAGATAGTTGTAGATATGCGGCATTATTTCTGAGAGCTCTGTTCTATTCCATTGGTCTATATCTCTGTTTTGGTACCAGTTTTGGTTACTGTTGCCTTGTAGTATAGTTTGAAGTCAGGTAGCATGATGCCTCCAGCTTTGTTCTTTTGGCTTAGGATTGACTTGGCAATGTGGGCTCTTTTTTGGTTCCATATGAACTTTTAAGTAGTTTTTTCCAATTCTGTGAAGAAAGGAATTGGTAGCTTGATGGGGATGGCATTGAATCCATAAATTACCTTGGGTAGTATGGCCATTTTCATGATATTGATTCTTCCTACCCATGAGCATGGAATGTTTTTTATTTAATCCTCATGACAGTTCTTTGAGATAGGTGCTAAATTTCATCTCATTTTGTAGATGAGGAAACTGAGTCACAGTCAATTGTAAAACATAGGTTTGATTAACACATGCACATTGAATATACTAGAATATATGTTCTTCTAAACCAGTATTTCTTCTTATGACTTAGTATGACTTAAACAATATTGTTTTATAGTAGGCTTAATAAGCGATTAGACTTTAAAGGTAGGCTTTAAAGGGAACTGTTTCAGATATCTACAATGAAAACTTCAAAACACTGATTTACGAAATCTCACAAAAAAATTTAAGAGGAAAAAAATTTAAGAAATACCCCCAAAATTTAAGAAGACACACAAAAAATTGAAAGATATTTTATTTTCATAGATTGAAATAATCAATATTATTAAAATATCCATACTACACAAAGCAATCTACAAATTTAATGTAATCCCTATCAAAACATAAATAATATTCTTCACAGAAATAAAAAAAATCCTAAAATTTATATGGAACCACAAAAGACCCAGAATAGTCAAAGCTATCCTAAGCAGAAAGAATAAAAATGGAGGAATCACGTTACCTGGCTTTAAATTATACTGCAGAGCTATAGTAACTAAAACAGCATGGTACTGGCTTAAAACTAACACATAGATCAGTGGAACAAAATAGAGGATGCAGAGATAAATGCATACATCTACAGTGAACTTCTTTTTGACAAAGGTGCCAAGAACACACATTGGGGAGGGGACAGTCTCTTCAATAAATGGTGCTGGGAAAACTGGATATCTATATGCAAAAGAATGAAACTAGAACTCTTTCTCTTGCCATATGCAAAAATCAAATCAAAACGGATTAAAGACTTAAATATAAGACTTCACACTATGAAACCACTAAAATAAAACACTGGGAAAACTCTCCAGGACAATGGACTGTGCAAAGATTTCTTGAATAGTACCCCCACAAACACAAGCAACCAAAGCAAAAATGGACAAATGAGACCACATCACATTAAAAAGCTCCTGCACAGCACAGGAAAATATCAACAAAGTGAAGAGACAATCCACAGAATGGGAGAAAATACTTGCAAACTACCCATCTGACCAAAGATTAATAACCAGAATATATAAAGAGCTCAAACAGCCCTATCGGAAAAAAATCTAATGACACGATTAAAAAATGGACAAAAGATTTGAATAGACACTTCTCCAAAGACATAAAAATGGCAAACAGGCATATAAAAATTTGTTGAACATCATGATCATCAGAGAAATGCAAATCAAAACTACAATTAGATGTCATCTCACCTCAGTTAAAATTGCTTATATCCAAAAGACAGGCAATAACAAATGCTGGTGAGGATGTGGAGAAAAGGGAAACCTCACTCACTACTGGTGGGAATGTAAATAAGTACAATCACAGTTTGGAGGTTCCTCAAAAAACTAAAAATAGAGCTCCATTATAATCCAGGAATCCCACTGCTGGGTATATACCCCAAAGAAATAAAATGAATATATTGTTCTGATATCTGCACTTCTATGTTTATTGCAGCACTATTCATAATAGTCAAGATTTGGAAGCAACCTAAGTGTCCATCAACCAATGAATGGATAAAGAAAAAGTGGTATATATACATGAAAGAGTACTATTCAGCCATGTAAGAGAATGAGATCCTGTTACTTGCAACAACATGGTTGGAACTGAAGATCATTAATGTTAAGCGAAATAAGCCATGCACAGAAAGGCAAACTTTGCATATTCTCACTTATTTGTGGGTGTTAAAAATTAAAACAATTGAACCCATGAAGATAGAGAGTAGAAGGAAGGTTACCAGAGGCTGGGAAAGGTAGCGGGAAGAGTGTGTGTGTGTGTGTGTGTGTGTGTGTGTGTGTGTGTGTGTGTTTGGGGAGCGGGAGGAAGTGGGGAGGATTAATAGGTACAAAAAATAGAAAGAATGAGTAAAACCTAGTATTTGCTAGCACAACAGGGTAACTACAGTCAAATATAATTTAATAGTACATTTTTAAATAACTGAAAGAATATAATTGGATTGTTTGTAACACAAAGGATAAATGCTTGAGGTGATGGATACCCCATTTACCCTGATGTGATTATTATGCATTGCATGCCTGTTTCAAAATATCTCATGTAACCCATAAATATATTTACACCTATTATGTACCCATACAAATTAAAATTAATAAAAGAGACTTGTTTTAGCATACAGGAGGATCATCCATTGGAACAATGTATCCTAACTTTGGTGAAACCGACTCTGTTCTTGTAGTATTAAGTCGAACAGAGGTGAAAAAAAACAGCTGTTTTTAGGAACTTGAGGGCAATTCACCTTGGTGTAGAAAAGTCAAATTTATTTCTAATACTTACTTTGAATGTAAGAGACAGACAAAACCTAAAGCATGCATTTTACTGGGTTCACTGTGCTTCACTTTTTTTAGGGCTATGAGAGAGGACTTAATGTAGTTGAGGCATGAAGGAAAAGGGGGGATTTGGTGTGCTCTGTGAGAGAGGAGTGAGTCTGGAGAGAAGAATGGCAGGAAGTCACTGAAACAGCTGCATGGGCTGGAGTAAGGGTAATGAAAGCAGCAAATGCTCCTTCACTGTCTTGCAAGACCCAACAGTCTGAATGTGGTGGTCTGGAGTTCCTCTTCTCTCCCACCTGCCCGTAAACCTTAGCAGAATCTGATGCTTGAGCATAATGTCTAAAAAGTATTATGGCTAGTATCATGTGGCTACATGTTAACTCAGTTAAATACTGAATTGGGTGGCGGGATTGACAAGGAAAGTTTTGAGATCCATACAAGGAACAGGGTTTTTCCCAATCAGGCCTGATAGGAAGCTTGACTCACACTTTTGTAGGTGGAGTTCTCTGCCATGGCTGTCAGATAAGTACAAAGACAAAGAAACAAACTTGGAAAAACACAGGGATGTATTATCTGTCACCTCTATTCCTTCAAGCCAATTTGACATTCAAATACTCAAATGCAGATTGCCAGCATTTTTCAGATGAACTACAACAAAGAAGAAACTAATGAATGGACAAATGAAATGTGGTATATACATACAATGGAATACCATTCAGCCTTTTAAAGGAAGGAAATTCTGACATATGCTACAACATGCATGAATCTTGAAGACATTATGCTAAGTTAAATAAGCCAGTTACAAAAAAGACAAATGCTCTATGAGTCCACGTATAGGAGGTACTTACTGTGGTCAAATTCACAAAGACAGAAGGTACAAAGGTGGGTTCCAGGGACCGGGGATGGAAGGAATGAGGAGTTAGTGTTTAATGGGGATTCAGTTTCAGTTTTGCAAAATGAAAAGAGTTCTGGAGATGAATAGTGGTGATGGTTGCACAACAATGGGAATGTATTTAATGCTACTGAACCATACACTCAAAAATGGTTAAGATGATACATTTTATGCTATGCATCTTTTACCACAATTTTGTTTTTGTTTTTTTGTCTTTTTGTTTTTTTTGAGAAGAAGTCTCGCTCTTGTCCCCCACACTGGAGTGCAATGGCGCGATCTCGGCTCACTGCAACTTTCGCATCCCAGGTTCGAGTGATTCTCCTGCCTCAGCCTCCCGAGTAGCTGGGATTACACGCGTCTGCACCACGCCCGGCTAATTTTTGTATTTTTAATAGAGATGGGATTTCACAATGTTGGCCAGGCTGGTCTTGAACTCCTGACCTCGTGATCCGCCCGCCTCGGCCTTCCAAAGTGCTGGGATTACAGGCGTGAGGCACAGTGCGCAGTCCAAAATTTTTTTTTAAAAAAAGAGAAGAGGCCGGGCATGGTGAGTGGCTCACGTCTGTAATCCCAGCACTTTGGGAGGCCAAGGTGGACAGATTACTTGAGGTCAAGGGTTTGAGACAAGCCTGGCCAACATCGTGAAACCCCATCGCTACTAAAAATACAAAAATTAGCCAAGCGTGCTGGCAGGCACCTGTAATCCCAGCTACTCAGGAGGCTGAGACAGGAGAATTGCTTGAACCCTGAGGCAGAAGTTGCAGTGAACCAAGATCATGCCACTGCACTCCAGCCTGGGTGACAGAGCGAGACCCCATCTCGAAAAAAAATAAATAAAATAAATAAATAAATAAGAGAAGAAAAGAACCCTTAGGCTTTTGTATGTGCACAATTTTCCTCACCATCTAAACAGCCCTTCTATTTTTGTTTTTGCTCTGATAACAGCTCTTACTAAATAGTTAAACAAGTCCTTGATATGACTTCTTCAGGTTTTCTGTAAAATGGGAATAATCTTTTTTATTATGCAAGTGCTTCTTTTGAGGTATAATTGGACCTTCTCTTAAACATCAGCTGAATAAGACTCATCTCTTCTCTTCTTTATCTGCTTCTACACTCAAAAAATAAAGAAGGAAAATTTAATCACAAAGCCAGAATGTGTTACAAGAAGTGCTGCTATGAGTCAGATTTTTCCTGCAGTACTTAGGGCCCATGGGAAGTGACTGCAGGGCTGAGATGGATTTACCAGGAGACCAATGCTCAGGACATCTTACTAAAGTAGTGGCTTTCATGCCCCGTGGAAAGGCCTGGGAAAGTTGTGATTTCCCCAGAATTACTGACTTCACTTCCCAGATACCGTTTACAAAATCCCATGTATGGCAAAGTCTTTGTACCCTTATCCCAAACCGTGTCCTTATTTGAGAATCAATCACTGAGGCAATGAGTAGAGGCACCAAGGCAGAATTTTGAAGACCTCTGAAGCCAGAAAGACTTAGTTACGAATCCCTGCTCAGTCATGCACAAGCTACGGGTCCTTGTCCATGTTACTAAATCTGTCACAGCTTAATGTTTAAAATTTAATGGGGCCGGGCGCAGTGGCTCACGCTTGTAATCCCAGCACTTTGGGAGGCCGAGGCGGGCAGATCACAAGGTCCAGAGATCGAGACCATCCTGGCTAACACGGTGAAACCCCGTCTCTACTAAAAAATACGAAAAATTAGCCTGGCATGGTGGCGGCGCCTGTAGTCCCAGCTACTCGGGAGGCTGAGGCAGGAGAATGGCGTGAACCCGGGAGGCGGAGCTTGCAGTGAGCCGAGATTGCACCACTGCACTCCAGCCTGGGTGACAGAGCGAGACTCCGTCTCAAAAATTAAAATAAAATAAAATAAAATAAAATAAAATAAAATAAAATAAAATAAAATAAAATAAAACAAAATAAAACTTAATGGTATCAGATCCCAAATAAAAGCCTTCCTCTTGGTGGGAATGCAAATTAGTACAGCCATTGTGGAAAACAATATGGAGATTCCTCAGAAAATTAAACATAAAACTACCCTATGATCCAGCATTTTTGCTTTTGGATATATATCCAAAGGAAGTGAAATCAGTAAGTCAAAGAGATAGCTACACTCACATGTTTATTGCAGCATTATTCACTGTAGCCAGGCTATGGCATCAACTTAAGTATCCATTAATGGATGAATGGATAAAGAAAATGCGGTACATATACACAACGGAATACTATTCAACCTTTAAAAATAAGGAAATTCGGTCATTTGTAACAATGTGAATGAACCTGGAGAGCATAATGCTAAGTGAAATAATCCAGCCACAGAAAGACAAACACCACATGTGCTCATTTATATATGGAACCTAGAAGAGTTGAAATCATAGATGCAGAGAATAGAAATGATGGTAACCAGGGACTGGGGTGGGAGGTGTTAAAAAAGTCTTGCTCTGTATCTATAATTTGGACTTTTTTTTGTTTGTATTAATGACTCTTAAACATATAAAATCCCCCACTGTATTTTTGGTCTGTCTCTCCAGTTCCCCGATACTGTTTTATTCCTTAATTCTTTCCTCATCTTTAAAAAGAACTCTTTGTGTTTACTTTTCTTTACCTCTTAGAAAACGTCACCAAAGGTTGTTATGAATCACAGCAGTCTGGCTTGAGAAATGGTCAACATAAAAGTTCCAAATATAATTTATCCCTGGATGATGTTGTCTGTGAATTATTCATACAATCTGATTAGGAACTTGAGAGCATTTGTAGTCAAATAACAACTTTTCTCCAAATGACGCACAGCACGTCTGAGACAGAGCACAGTGATCTCAATTGCCAGATGAGAAACCGAGGCCCAGGAATGCAGAGGGCTGAACCAACGTTGAACGAGAACTGTGGAATAAAAAGTCAAAATGTTTCTACCAGGGCTTAAGACTAAGTAGTAAATCCCCACCTACTCCCTCTCCTCCTCCTATTTCCTGTAGGATAAATTATTTTTAAGAGAAACACGCAGGTGAAAGGAAAACACGCTCTTTGAGGACATGTGGCTAAACCAGATGCTAACAGCATTCAAGCTCAGATACAGCAATAACAGCAGAAACCAAATGTGAACTAAAGCCAGTACCTAATCTGCTGTTCTTAACCTGGCATCCAAGGCCTTTCATGAGCCAGCCCCGGCCTGGTTTGCCAGCCTTGGCTTGCCCACCGAATTCCCAACTGGAAACTGAAACCCCAAGTGACATTCACACTAAACTCTCTCCAAACTCCCAGCATCTCCACCCTTCTTCTCTTCCTGTCTTACTTATCCTTCCATCTTTGACCTGAGCATCAATGCCACTAGGAGTGCTTCCCAGCCTTCTTCCACCCCTCCTTGGGGTTAGAGTCCCCTCCCCTGTGTTCCCAGAGTACACTGTGCATATTCCTGTCTTAGTTTCTCATAGTGTGTTAACATTACCTGCTCCCTTGTGGCCCTTTCCCACCACACTGGGAGCTCCTTTAGAGGAAAGGCTGTAGCTTGAGTGCTTGGCGCACATTAGTTCTTCAATAAATGCATGCTAAGAGAATCAGTATTGTCCAGGTCTCCAAAGAAAAATAACTCTTTGGCCAGGTGTGGTGGTTCACACCTGTAATCCCAGCATTTTGGGAGGCCGAGGTGGGTGGATTGTCTGAGGTCGGGAGTTCGAGACCAACCAGGCCAACATAGTGAAACCCTGTCTTTACTAAAAATACAAAAAATTAGTGGGGCGTGGTGGTGGCCATCTGTAATCCCAGCTACTCGGGAGGTTGAGGCAGGAGAATCACTTGAACCCGGGAGATAGAGGTTGCAGTGAGCCAAGATCACGCCATTGCACTCCAGTCAGGGCAACAAGAGTGAAACTCCATCTCAAAAAAAAAAAAAAAAAAAAGAAAAGAAAAGAAAAAAAATAGAAAAAGAAAAAGAACTCTTTGCTTGATTTCTTTTTCTTTTACCAACAGGTAATGAGCTTTCCCCTTGCATGTAGTAAGGCTATGATCTAGCAGACTTGTTCTATGGAATCAGTATGGCTTACCTAAGTAAAAAAAAAAGAATAATAGATTGTTTGACTTGAAAGGACGTTCAGAAGTCATTTATTTTTCACCCCCATCAGCCCCAATGTGAATTTCCTAGAAATTTGTAAAGATTTTAGTAATTAAAGGCCACAAAAGGTAGCAGTCAGCATTAGAAACAAGGACATGTTAACCTTAAACGGGCTCAGATGGCATGTTCAGATAAGTTTGGTTTTCAAGAATCAAGAATGAAGCTTCCAACTTGTCACCCCTTCCTGTTGAGACATGTGAGTACATAGAAAGTCATGTAATTCATAAGCCTATGATTCATTTACTCTCCATTCATCAAACTGCTGAGTGTCATGAATGCGTTTGACGCCTGTTTAAGCTTCCTTTTCTTGACAAGGAAGTTTGTTTTTGGGAGATAACTCATGTACTAAAATCTAGGGACTTACAGGGAAATTCCAAAGCAGACAAGTCAGAGAGGCATGTAAGCTGGCCCCAAAACCTTTTTCCAGTATTGGTTAATAATCTAGGAGCCTTGAGGGGAGTAATAGTCTATAGATGACATGAGCCACTAGTTAATGGACTGAATTACCCAAGAGATCAATGAGCGACACCAGAACTTTGAAGGTTTCCCCAATTCTCTATACAGTCTTGGTTGGCTTCAGATTTATGGCATGAGACTAAAATGTGTAAAAATGACCCAAGGATTTTAGAAAGAAAAACACTCAAGTAAAATAGTGGTCACTTTGAAAAGTAGTAAGAATGGACCAATTCAAATCATAAACTGCATTATTGCCTATGCGAAAATCCCATACTATACCTTTTATTTCCTCTTCTAATTTTTGAATTGTAAAATACACATAACATAAAATTTATTACCTTAACCATTTTTAAATGTACAATTCAGTTGTTCTAAATACATTCATAATGTGCAAACATCACCACCATTCATCTCTATAACTCTTTTTGATGCCAATCTTTTTTTTAAAAAAAAAAAAAAGGAGTTTTTTTTTTGTGATTTTTTTTTGGTGTGTGTGTGATTTTTTTTAATTTTTTTTTTGAAACTGAGTCTCACTCTGTCGCCCAGGCTGGAGTGCAGTGGCGCAATCTCAGCTCACTGCAATCTCTGCTTCCCAGGTTCAAGCCATTCTCGTGCCTCAGCCTCCCGAGTAGCTGGGATTATAGGCTAGCCCCACCACACCCAGCTAATTTTTGTATTTTTAGTAGAGACGGAGTTTCAAATCTTTTAATGTTCTGAAATGACCCTGTACAAGGAAGGGTTGAGGTCTTTCTTTTTGTTTCTCTCTATGATAGAGTTCAAGATTAAGAATGCTAAAGTCAAATCTTCAAATGAGAGCATCAGTCAGAAGTCGATGTGAGATTACTAGCTATGACTGAAAAAAAACAAATCAAAACAAAAACAACCAAATATCATCATCTAGGAAAAGGCTGTTACTTTAAAATAACTGTGATGTCCAGAACTGAGGTCTGACTCAGGCTTGACGAAATCAGGAGCGGCAGCAGTCAGACTGATGCTGAAGAGACATCTTAGTTTGCTTGAGATGCTGTCAAAAAATGCCTGAGAGAAGGTAATTAACAGAAATTTGTTTCTCACAGTTCTGCAGACTAGGAAGTCCAAGATCAGGCACCACAGGTTTGCTGTCTGGTGAGGTCCTGCTGCCTTGAACGCTGCATCCTTTGTAGAGGACAAACACCGTTTCTTCACAAGGCAGAAGGGATAGAAAGGAAAAAAGAGCCTAGCTAATTTCCTCTAGCCTTTTCATAAAGTTGTTAATCCCATTCATGAAGACAGAGCTCTCATGACCTAATTACCTCCTGAAGGTCCCACTTCTTAATAATATCACCTTAGGGCTTAAGTTCCAACATAAGAATTTTGGAGGGGACACAAACATTCAACCATAGCAGGAGAGAAAGCACTGTAGTTCATAATAGGCTGAACCCAAGGAAAATCAGTAGATTGAGATGAGTTCGAATTACAACTTGGGATCTCTAGAAACCTAAGAACCCTTCTAATTCTTGAATTACTGCATTCCTGCTTCATGGTGCTCCAACATCTGCTTGAACACTTCTGTATATACAAAACCCTTTGCTTCCTCAGCTTACCCATTATACGGATGGCTCTGAGTGTTCGAAGGTTTCTCCTTGTATTGGAGCAATATTTATCTCTGTTTCTTCCAGCCATGCTTCCTTTTAAAGATATGCACAGTAAGTGAAATCCTTTTATCCCACATAACTTAGTGAGTTTGGGGACCCATCTGTGGAGATTTCCGTGATTGATGATTCTCTCTAGGTGAAAGCTTCCTGGATCTTTCTACTTCTCCTCATAAAATATAGCTTCTAATACCTCCACTTTCTTGATTGTTTTCCTCTGAAAATCCTTCTATTTGTCACTTCATCCTTTAAATGTGTTAATTAAACGAACGTACAGGCCTCTTCATGCTCAGATCTTGAAAAATTCATGGTGGAGTCACATTATTTTTTAAATGAACATGGACAAATTTTCTTCTGTTTCCCGAGCTCTCTCCCTCGTAGCCAACGAATGTGATTTTTCTGTGCTTATTACATCTAAGTGGCATGTTTGTCAGCATTTGTTTACTAGAAAATTCCATTCTCATTATTTTCGAATTCCTATGGGCTGTTGAGTGAAAGATCTTGCCTTAGACCACATTTAAATCATGACATCAAGTGCAGCCATACAATTCAAGGACAAATAAACCCCAAATAAAAATAAGGAAAAAGGAGACTCTGTATATCATTCGAAAGCAAAATGAAACATCATTTTTTTATGTGAGTGTAAGTGGAAGTTGACAGGCAATTCAGGATAGGATTAGTGAAGGGGGAAAAGCACTTATTGATTTATTTTTTCACAGAGAAAGCCAGATTGTGTATGTCTAGACCTTGGGTATATACACACACAGAATTAATCAAGAAGAGAATGTACAACTGCATCAATATGTTTTTATTTTTATGGTTATTTATTGAGCTTTATTTGTCTATGCAATAGAGAACAGTCCATAGGCTCCATGGAAAGGTTTGTATGATATATATACTGTAGCGGAAAACAGATGGTCATCTGATATTAATAACTGTGTTTAAACAAAGCTGAATTGCTATTAGTGATACCATCAATGATGATGTATTTGGAAAGCATGGTAAAGGGACTTTCACCCCCTTGGAATATTTTTTCTTTCAGTGTTTGTGATTGTCTACACAACATTGAAAACATCTGCACGTAAACCAAACCTTTCAGCCCGTCATCTGCATGGCTGGCATATGCAGTGCCAAACAACTGAGCACTGAGAAAGAAAAATGCAACTGGCTAAATTATTTAGACCAATACAACCAGATCTGAATAATTATTCAAAGGGTTGATTAGTATGGACACCTCACTGTATCTAGACACAAAATAGAACATCTAATTCAAATCACTCTGATCTGTTAAGATCTTACTTGGTTCCTGGTTACTTACAAGAGTACAGTTTGGATGCTTTAATCACGCCTGTCGTCCCAGCCTCATCTGCAGCTTCTCTTCACTTTATAAACTCGACAATCCAATCATACAGACTATGCACCAATTTAAGAGCCCGTGATGCTTTTTCATGTTTTCAAGCATGCCTTGGCTTCTTTGCATTCTACCTAATATTTTTCTTCCAATTTGTCTGTCTGATAAACTTCTAATCTTTGCATCCATTTTTAAAACCATGCTCAAATATAAACTCCTTTGGGGAAGTCATTGCTGACTTCTCTATACTAAATTAGTTGTTTCTTCCACCACACTCCAATAGGGCACCTCATGAAAGTTACCATCACACTTTGCACGGGGACCTTTGTCTGCAGTTGTCTCTTTCTTACTGGACTATGAGTACAGTAGGAGACATGCCTTTTTAATCTTTGACTCCTCTGTACCTAGAATACTGGCTAACTCATAATTGGCATTCCACAGATTATATTTGAACTAATTGCAATGTGAACTTCTTCATTGATAGGATTTCTATCTAAACAATTTTGGGTTCTTGTTCAACAATTCACTAGAGCTATACAAATGATAGCTAAAGGAATAAATCTCAATTCAATATTGATTGGATTGCATAAATTGAAATAACATGTTCAATCAACTTTAATTCGTTGACTGCATATTTTGCATTTCATGCCTTTTTTCAACTGCATGGAAGACACATCTTTATGGTATTTGAATTATTATTCACAAAATGCACTTTAATATATTTGTAGTTGTGATATGTGGCTTATGAGGATGCCTGAACTCTCTAGGAATTTTCCAAATCTCCTACAATGCATGATACTAAAAAAATACAGCTAATGTTAAATACCTAGTAACCTTCACAGAAGCTATGTTCATAGCATGAAAAGGTATAAAAGGATTATAGTATGTCCTATTCACCTATTCAATTCTAGGCACTGGAGAATTTTCATCATGTCTTTTTTGCTTTATATTCAAATATTTGGTAAGAAAAAGAAATTTCCCGTGTTATCATTTTATGTGTAATATTAACTTGAGAAATGTACATGCTTTTATATCTGTAATATATATATTACATATTTTTATATATAGTTCTTTTGGGTGTGTATATAGATAGATACATGTAGATATATATTTATACACACACATAAACATATAAATATGCATTTATAGTTAGTGAAACAGAAACAAACAAAACCTAAAGGGAAAGCCACTTCATTCCCCCAATCTCACCCACATGCCAAATAATTTTCACTTTTTCACCAAAACTGTCAGTATAAAATGGACACTGTGGAACGAAGGGCAGTACAGACATACTTTCGCCAGGCTTAAGGGTATGAGATAATGAAACTAGCTCCTGGGATAAGCATATTTATTGGGTTTGTTATGTATCAAATGTAACAAAAGTAGAGGATCTGAAGAACACCCTGTGTGGTTCTTTTCACACCCTTTGATCACACAATTCCTCTTTAATTCAGATGCAGTAGAGCTTAAGTGGCTTCATTGATGTGTTAAGTGTGGAATGATTTTTGTATAAAATAAAAAAGGCTCCATTATGTGTCCAGAAAAGCCTGTGTGCGCTTGTTTATTGAGACAGGAAGTCGGTTTCCCACACAGAACAACAGTTCTGCGATGCTGAAGCATTGTGTCTGAAAGAAGAGTAAAGGAAACTTAATTTTCTACCTGGCAGAAATCGGCTTCTGGAGGAAGGGACAGACAATGCGATTGGACTTCAGCTGAATGAGAGGGCTTGATTGATTTTCAGAAAATGTGCCGTGTACAGGGAGGTTGCTTGGAATACTTTTGTTAGGAAAACGCACTTTTTGTAGTTGGAGCCTGTTTTTGTACCTGGCTTAAAGTGATGCCTCCCAGTGAATACTTGCTACCTCTCTGAAGTCAGGTGGGGAAAAAAGAAATGCTGTCCCAGAATTGTTCCCTCCTAGATATTGTCTCCAGGTTATTGTTTTGTTATATTTTTCCATTAAGTCAGCTGCCATTTGCTTTTTTTTTTTTTTTTTTTTTTTAGCTTGCTTGGAGAATACTTCTGAGACTTTCCAAGGTGAAGTTTATAAATCTATCCATAGTTTAAATATTGAGGCATGGATATAGTTCCTATCTGTTAGAAGTGTATCTTGACCTTGTAAATCCATGGAGTAAACCCTATACTGTGGCCACATGATGAAGAGAAATAAGATGAGAAGCCATATCTATCTCACACTCAAAAGACCAGGCTTTTTTCTCTATACCATGCTGCCTTAAATTATTAATACACAAGGTAGCAAAATTCCAGCCATTCTTCCCATCCCTTATGGAATCCCATGTCCACTCTCCTGGTTATTGTCATTGTCATCTTCCTCTTCATCCTCTTTATGAACTGTCTAAAGATTGATGCTTCCTAGCTGGGAATAGTTCATAGAGAGTATATTACATTACTGTTCTACTCAGCAATTTTACAATCTGAAACAGACAATAGTGAAGTGGACCTAAATAAGAAGAATGTATAGAGAATAGTGGCCGGGCGCAGTTGCTCACGATTGTAATCCCAGCCCTATGGGAGGCGGAGGGAGGCAGATCACAAGGTCATGAGATCGAGACAATCCTGGCCAACATGGTGAAAATATAGTAGATATTTTTGTATCTACTAAAAATACAAAAACTTAGCAGGGCATTGTGGCATGCGCCTGTAGTCCCAGCTACTTGGGAGGCTGAGGCAGGAGAATCGCTTGAACCTGGGAGGCAGAGATTACAGTGAGCTGAGATCATGCCACTGCACTCCAGCCTGGGTGACAGAGCGAGACTCCATCTCAAAAAAAGAAAAGAAAAGAAAAGAAGAAAAGAAAGAATGTATAGCGAATAGAATGAGCTCAGGGAATTTTTCCATTCATAACATTTATCTTACTAATATTTCAGAGTGAAGTCAATTTTCAGGGTGAAGACCTCAGTAAAGAATATAGTGGTTTCACATCCAAGAAAAATTTTGTTAGGCTGTGGACACTGTGTGGAGGTGACAGTATTAGAACTGCTATTGGATTGAGGCTTGGTGAGATTAGATGATCCAGGCAGATTCACATCTCCTCAGCCAATTGCTTAATTTTTCCCCATAGAGTGATTCCTTTTCTGCCCACCTTCCTATTTTTCCAACTTAATATTAATGCAACTTCTACTTCACCTTCCCATCATGCATAGGTGATTTTTTTCCTTAAAATTGATGTCATAATATCCTTTTGATCATTATAAACTTGGTTATAAAAGGATTTCACAGTCAAAGAATTCCAGGGAGGGGATAAGTATTGAGATAGGATAAGGAATATTCTTTGAGAAGGTCCCAGAGTAATGGTTCAATCACAAAGTTTCTTCCCCTTGGCATGCAGAATGAATTCTTCATTCTTGACTCCTTTATTAGCCTATCCTATTTTATCCCAACTCAGAGTAGCTTAGCCATAGCTGTTATCCTAGGTATTTAATGCTCCTTCTTCATGCATGTCTCACATTCCTCTCATGCATTTCTCATTAAGTCGTCTTTCACCCCCTCCATCTGTTTGTGTAATGCTTGGTATGTGACTGTTGCTGTGTAATAATAGGCCCTAAGTCATGTGACTTTAATTTGTAAGGTCAGACACCATTTTTCCTGCAGAGAATTCATTTTTGTCCTAAAGCTAACTCTTTTACCTCACGATGCTACTGTTTCTGATGACCAAAGATAAAAACTGAACTTTAAAAATCTCTCTTCACCTGTGTGTATATATATAAAAAAAAAATACTGGACCTTTATCACCAAAGTCAACAATCCAGTGAAAAGATGGTCACATCAGGAATCCATAAGCTGGATTCTGATCCTGATATTGTAATTGACTTGTCACAACTCCAGTCCAGTTGCTTCAGCTCTCTGATCTTCGATTTATTTATCAGAAAATTGTCCTTCCTCTCTCTCTTTTGCCTCCTCCCCTCCTTCTTCCCATCTTTCCCTCCTTCTTTCCTCTTTCTTTCCTTCCTCTCTTCCTTCCTTCCTTTTTTTCCTTCTTTTTTTGACAGAGTGCAGGAAATTCTACCCCCCAAGTATGGCACCTTGGCATGCTGAGTATTTTAAGCTGAAGGAAACAGAGAAAACCACAGAAGCAGAAAGGTCTTTCTGACCTCTCTTGAAGACCCTCATGTGACAGGTGTCCTGCCCTACATCCAGAGAGAAGGAATGTTCCACAGACAGACTAAGAAGAATCTGAAGAATCAGGCCTTACTAAGTGCCCTCCAGGTTATCTTTAAGTCATACCCCCTTTTTGTCCAATCATGCCTCTACATTCATCATCAAACCTAAGCATAAAAATACAGTTTCTCCTGGGTCTTTGGGTCTTCATTTTTGAAGACTTGTGTCACATAAAACATGAATTACATACGTTTGTTATGCTTCTCTGTTGTTAATCTGTCTTTGGTTATAAAGGTATCAGCCATCAACCTTGTGATGGATAAAGCAAGATATTATTTTTTCTCCTCTATACTTTCTTTCTTTTTTCCTTTCTTCCCTTTTCTTTCTCTCCCTTCCTCCCTTCCTCTTCCTTCCTCCTCTTTTCCAAACTTTCTCCCTTTTCCTTTCTTCCCTTTAATTTATATTTACTAAATGCCTCCATTCTCAAGGAGAGAGCAACAAACAAATACAAATTTCGTCAATTAAAAATAAGTTAATTTTTAAAAATGAAACATTAAAATAACAACACAAGGCTATTGCCGTTAAATGAACAAATAAAAAGGAATAAACTTTGTATGCATTTGCAGAGCACTATATAAAACTATGATATTATTGTTATGGGAGAATGAAATTCCTAGAGAGACCAGATGATGTAGAGATTAAAAACTTGGGCTTTGAGATTACTAGAGAAACTTGAGTTTCAACTCTACTAGCTGAGTGACGATGGGCACATTACTTAAAGTTTCCAAGCCTAAATTTCCTCAGCAGTGAAATACAGTGTGTTAATAAAAGTACATAGCTCAAAGGGCTGTTGCAAAGATTGAACGACATTTTATATGTAAAATGCTAAGCACAAATGCCTAACATATAATAAATGCTAAATAATGATAGCTATTATTATTCTTATCATTGTTTGTTAGGTAAGGCAGAGTAACTTATACTGTTGTCATTTTTGTTATGTAAAATAACGATAGTAATCTCAGAGGAAGCAAAGGTTGGTGGGGTTGGGGGAATTAGGACTTCTCCTGAGAACCGTCAGTTTCCTCTAGAGAAAGGAATTCATGGAAGGAGAGATGGGACTGTACCTGGTGGAAGCACAATAGGGTGGTGGTTAAGGCTGATATTTGTAAGCCCTCTCACTTGTTGATTGCCAGCCTCTTCCTATCACCTTCTGAAGACCTTTTTATCAGTTCCTTACTGAGTTTGTCCAGTATTACCTCTTAGTGTCCCTTGGCCAGAGGTTTCTCTTAGAAACATCAGCTGACAGCTTGAAAGTCTCACTCTTTTTCCTCTATCTGTCAAAATTCTATTTATTCTTCGTGGCCCGGTTTAAATACCAACTTTTCATGCAGCCTTTCTGGGCTGCCCTAAAATGCCATTCAGAACACCTACTCCGTGTTCCCACTGCACTCTTAGCAACCAGTAAAGCGCAATTGTGTTAGAGAGAGTGGGCAAATCTCTCTGTGCAATAGCGATAATAATCTGTCTCTTGTATTAGACCGTGAGCTCTTTGAGGAGAGGAACTGCACTGCCCTCAGCTTTGGATCCTATATCTTAGTCACTTGTGCCTCCTACATTTTAAAACTACACAAATGAAATTGCATTGTTTTCATGGAATTGAATCCTATGAAGAAAAAAGCAATGGGTGTGAACTTCTAACTCTTTTAAGGTCTGGTTGGAGCTGACCTAGGAGTATACAACCAAGGAAAGGGCTCAAGCACTCTGACTTCCAGCTCAAATCCTTACCTTCATTATAAGCTCCCTCTGGATCCCAGAGGCCCTCCATGACTGAGGAGGTGGCTCTGGATTCCTCAAAACTGAATTTCAGATAACTCACTTGCAATATTTGGATGAGTGCCTTGATGACATACACTCTAGAGATCATGAGGCAATGAGAATATTTCACTTAGCTTATTTTTTGCCGTGTGCTTATCAGGACATTCACATGGCTGGAGTTAGAAAAGGGTGTGGAACCTATATTTGGCTAAATGCAATGAAGAAATTCCTTGGCTAAAAAAGAAAACAATCTTTCCTTTCTTAAAAAGTTAAGTTGATGTAAAAAAAAAATCTTTGCAGTGCAAGATAGAGTTTCTTTTTCCTTTTCTGTCTGTCTTGGGGGCTTTATCTGATTTTAATCATTATTCAAATTATATGATTTGAAACAGCTGAAGCTGTTTTTTTTCCTTGGGGAAAAAAAAAAGAAATCTGCAGTTGCAACTATTGCAGCTATCTACCTACCCTACTCCCCTCCTCCAGGGTAGCATGGGCTGTCAAGTGTAAATGTTGAGGATTATGAATTTTACCTTTAAAATGCTTCAATGCCCTGCAGAGTTTTCTCAGCAATTTTCAAGTCTTGTTAACCATAATACATCTAGTTCTTGATTATCCACAAAAAAGGGAAATGAATAGTGGCACAGATAATCCAAAACAGAAAAACATTCAAAATGTTTCTTATATTTTACTTTGGAATGCTTTGTATGGCTTTTGGGGGTTCCAATTTTCTTCCCAGTGATGTTCTGCTCAGGAAAAAGTTAAAATGAGTTTGCATTCCCTAAGCCCGCACTGGGGGATGTGGCTCAGCCACATGCTGGGTGGCAGGGAGAAGGCAGCCCAAAAAATAAGGGAAAAGAATTCCACTGATAATCTAGAAGTGGAACTGCTCCTATGAATAATAAAGGGCTGATCAGAATATAATTCAGTTTTATAAATTCATGTGGACAATTTTTTGGTCCACATTAAAAAAAATCTAGTTATCCTCTTCAGAAGAGTTAAAACTGGTATCAAAGAGAACTTTGGTATCAAAAATAAATGACCTCAAGATCCTTTACTTCTCACAGCCCAGTAGCACTGGCACTATGTGAAGGAGTCAGGATCTGTTGCTGGGGCCAAGGGGACTCAGTTCTCAGCTAATGTACTCCAGCTCCATCCTTCAACCTTCTTCAGTTGAACATGTGTAGATTTATAAAATGCCAGGCTATGTACTACTGTCCCATCTACCATGGTAGTTACAATTATCATTCCTATTTTACAGATGAGAAAACTAAGGCTCATATAGGCTCATTATTAATTTAAGTTCACAAAGCTACTCACTGTGAGCAGCTAACTTTGAGCTCAGGACTATCTCACTCAGTTTGGATAACTAAGTTGAGAGTCAGAAGTTAAGGGGTATCAAGCTTTTCATTATTTGAATGTTTTCCTGGTTTCCCTCATTGTTCTTAGAAAGCAAATTCAATTAAATATTTATGAGCTCTGACTACTAGGTTGCTCGTATGTATATATGTATAATATGTATGTGTGTGTGTGTGTGTGTGTGTGTGTATATATATATATATATATCATGATATTGTGTTGCAAGAAAAAAATCTAATAATATTTAGATATAATCTCTGCCCTCCAGAGTTTTCAGTTTAAAATAGAAACCAGATGAATAGAATAGAATGAGAAACCACGTGACTATAGAGTAAGGCAGAATGAGACAAGTAGATATAAGAAATGGCAGGGCAGGGTCAAATCACATCAGGATGGGAACAAAAAACAGGAGATTTCAGAAAAGGCTAATGAATGAATGAATGGAAGTCAGTGGGCAATTTCAATTTCAATATGCTGCGTATGACGTGAGTAAGGAACCAAGTGCACACTGCTATTGAGATGGGCCTTAACAACTGGATACCATTTTGTTGACAGCTCTGATGTAGATGGGATGGAATTCCAAGTGCTGGGAATACTTCTAGCAGCTAAAGTTAAGAGCGTACCAGATGTGTTCGAGAACCTTGAGTTGATCTGAAAAGAGAATCTGCTCAAGGAGAAAACAATGTAAGCGAAAATGAAAATAGTAACAACAAAAAAACAAAATAGCATCATAATCTTGTCATAAAAAAATCAGAGTTAGGGACAGAGATGAGAGAGAGAAGAGAAGAGAGAAGGAAGCCATTTTTAAAACCCCTCATGTTTTCATGTTTTAGAAAATTGAAATACTCACCTAGTAATTTGGTATAAAACAATGGGCACATTTTTCAGTAATTTTAGTACTGGAAGGAGAGGAAAAGAATAGGTAACAAAAACAAATTTATTAGTCCAAGGCCACCCTATTGCTCAAGTGGATCCCTAAAAACTCAGGGGTCCTAACTCCTACTCCAGTGATCAGCTGCTAGCTAGGCCAGCTTTAGGGTATGACGGTAGCACCAAGGCCAAGCTTCTGGGAAGCCTTAGAGTAGCTTCTGGGAAGAAAGTAGGGATTCCAGGATGTTTACAAAATATAACTCAAGGATTATGTGTCTTCAATTTGTTCTGGAAGTTTCCACACTCATCTTAGCTAAATCACATTCCTTTTCCCTTGCAGACTTTTTTGTCTGTCCTTGATTTCTTCTTTGACATCTTCTCTTCCCCCATTATCTTTTACTCTATCAAACCTGATTTTACCCCCTGTATAAAAATGCAAAAGCCATAGTCGTTTACTCCTACACACCCTTAGCATTTGCTGGGTGTTTGTCTCTTTGGTCTCTCGAGCCTTAGATATCTCTAGGCCCCATTCTAGCTCCCATGAGCAATTTCACATCACTATGGACATGACCTCAATGAAACTGGCTATGGTACTCTGGGTTTTCAATGTACAATTCTATTTCCCTTCCTGTAGTGGATGCTGTGGGGCACCACCTCCTTGAGGACCAAGGCACTCCAGCTGCCAGGAATTTGGCTGCTAACCTCACACAGCTGAGCCTTCCATGAAAATTGCTCTCTGCCAAAGAGAACTTCCTAGTCCAAGGTCATGTCTACTCTCCAGAGGTAACTCTTAACTAATGTCTGTCCAGATCGTTTGCCACAATGTTAAACAACTGTGAATGACTATCAGAGCTCCAGAACGCCCCAAGGGATCTGGGTAGCCCTCTCCTGTACATGCCCAATGTCCATCTTTTCCCTTTGCCCAGTCCTGCTTCCTTCACTCTCTCGTGAGTATCATCCCTGAGAGCACTCCTGATAACTCCCTACATGCAAGTCTCCACCTCAGAGTCAATTTCCCAGGGAACAGTCTCAATACCCTATATTTACTGTGGCTTGTATGTTGTTGCTGTAGTAACCTGTCTTGTAATGAAAGAAAAAAAATCACCATCTTTGAAGGGGTCAGAGATCAAGGTTTTGGTAGCCCCTGTACAACAGAATTCATTGAACCAGGCCTATAGCCTAGTCCAGCCATTTTCTTACCTCTTGACCTTGAGTTAAGTAATGTATCATTCCTATGTACTGGTTTCCTTTGGTTCAAATGGATAATAACCTATATGGTGGAATGATGGGGGAGAAAAATGAACAGATGGTTAAACATCCCTAAAAGACCATTACATACTGTGAAAAGACTTAAATTCTGTGGTGAAGTCTCCAAAATCTTAATCCCCATAGACTGAGATTCTACAGAGTCCACTTCTTTGGAAATAGTTTTGAAAATACCCTTTGCTTCACTTTCTGTGAATTATGCAACCACAGAATTCCTCTGGGGACTCAGCCACACCCCAAATCTTAGCCTAAATCACTGAGTTTGACACAGATTCATAAGAATTTGGCAAGCAGCTCACCCACATTTTCTATCAAATTGAATCCAAATGTTGCCTAGGTTGGATGAGAGTTCGGTCAAGAGAAGGAGGCCCAGGCCAATGGACTGCTAAATGGTGATATTCGAAACCCAAATGAGTTTGGCTTGGCTTTAAGACTAGGAGGAAAGCTTTGAACCATAGCATATGATATAAGCCCCGGTCCAACTCAAAACCAGTTTTACTTTTTTTGGTTGTTATTTCAGAAATGCACTGACCCTGCACTCTACAGGACACTATGCTCATTCCGAATGCTAAGGTCAGTCCTAGGAAACTGCAGGCGCCTGTAGGGTCAAAGTAGAGTGGGGAAGCTGGTTCTTAACACCTGTTCCTTTACTTCCTTCTGGAACAGAGCAAACCTTGACAAGATGGGGTGGGGTAGTAGTGTTTGAAAGGACTGGAAGAACTACTAATTCAGGCTCCTGTGAAGAACCCAATCAGCAGTGGGCTTTGTGTTGAGGCTCTGATTGAATTCTCTCTCTTTACAGAGAAGGTGTTGGCCTCCTGCTTCCTGGAATAGTGGCTATGACTAACTCATGTAGCACTGGATACAATTATAAAACAGAGAAAGTTAGATTTTGCTGCTCACATCAAATTTTCTATCACAACTTCTCCTTAATTATCCTTTTAATTTAACTTTTGTATTAGGTTTGGGGTACATATGCAGGTTTGTTATATAGGTAAACTCGTGTCATGGGAGTCTTTTGTACAGACTTTCATAATCCAGGTAATAAGCATTGTACCCAACAGTTATTTATTTCTACTCCTCTCCCTCCACCCACCCTCCCCACTCAAGCAGGCCCCAATGTCTGTTGTTTCCTTCTTTGTGTTCATGAGTTCTCATCATGAATTTAGCTCCCAGTTATAAGTGAGAACATGCCGTATTTGGTTTTCTGTTGCTGTGTTAGTTTGCTAAGGAATAATAGCCTCCAGCTCCATCCATGTTCCTGCAAAAGATATGATCTCATTCTTAAATAATTATCCTTTTCCTTCTCCTTTTTCCCCTTCTCCTTTTCCCCTTTCTCCTTTTCCTTTACCTCCTCTTCCTCCTAATCTTCTTTTCCTTTCCTCCCTCCTCCTCCTCCTCCCACTACCCTCTTTCTTCCTCTTTTTTTCTCCCTAAGAAACTTCACACTCTCCACTGTCTTCAGGCTTCATCGATCACTCCTCCAAAAGCCCCCATTACACCAGCACCCCACCCCTGGGAAGACTTTCCCAAGCAGCATCACCCTCTCTCTACCCTCACCCCACACAATCATCTTCACCCCAACCCTCTCCACACTCCTGCACCTCCCATCACCACTAAGACTTGTCTCTCAGAGGTCTTGTCTCCTAAGGCCCTAGCTGCCTAGATAAACCAATATGTTAATACACATGGGAAAACCCATGATAAAGCCAATATTAAAATATAGTATGTCTGAGTCTTGGCTTTGTCACTCCCAGGCCATATAATATTCGGTAAGACATTTAGACTTTTTAAACTTCCATTTCTTCACCTCTAAAATACAGCTAAGAAAGACTCAACATACAGGGTCTTAGTTTACATTTAGCTTCCACTGAAAAACATCTCTTGATCTTCCAAAATAAGATTAAATGCCCCTTGTCTATGTTCCTATGTCATTCTCTCAATTCACTTGTCATAAAGCTTGTCACTTGCATCCTAATTCCCAGTATACTTCCTGATTCTTACTGCAGACTCCTGAGAGCAAGACATATGGTTGATCCCCCTTGAAGTCCAGTGGCTAACACAATGTCTAGCACGTAGCTGTACTAAAATAAGGACATTAAATGAATAGGCCACCTCTGGAAGCATTTATAAATAGTGGAAATTGTTTCTCCCAGATGGCATATTTATATTGGAACAGTGTCCTTTTTAGATCATGCCTCTGCTAGAGAAGAGACCATAATGGAAATATCAGGTGCAGGAAGATGTTTTGGTGTCACTCAAATAGCTCCATGTAGGTGGCCTCTTGCTCTCTCCAAACATCCAGCTGGCTCTGGGCCCGTGCACCTGAAGGGAGATATCTGAGACTCAGAACACTTCCTGCTTCATTTCAGTGACACCAACTTGGCTCCGTTTTCACCTCCAAGCTGGGATCAAATGTTCCCCAAGTGCAGAGAGTTAAGGAGAGATGTCTCATTCTCTCCCTTGACCTCCTCTCTTATTCCCCTCTTATTATGTTTTTCATAAAACTTTAAACGAGATTCCCAGAGAAAAGCCCTGTCCTTTGGTCAGGCCAGCAGCCTCCCCAACTGTGGGCTCTGGCACTTCTCTAAAAAGGTCAAAATGGGGATAGAAAGTTCTTGATGAGGTGCTTGAGCACTTACATTAATGGGAGAAGAGATAAAGAGGGAAACACGGGGAGTGTGGGATGTGTGAGACTGCATGTTCACAGGGAAAAGTAATGTTGTGCAGAAAGCCTGCCACTGCTAATGAACCTGGTAAGAGGACAGGAAGGAAAGGGATTATTTCTGTTATCCCTTTTGGGAAACAATTTTCCATGTGTCTTACATTTTTACATCTGGCAGGTGCTGACAGTCCTTGTGCTGGGCTCTCTTTTTAAGGATGTTTCCATAGTGGAAACATATATGGAAAAACGGAGCTGGGCTGGAGCATAGGGCAGGTGCACTTAGGGTCCATTATGCAAAATTTGGGTTTTCTATACTCAGGGCTTCTCTCTCATAAGCCACCCCACAGTGTGTGCAGGTATTGCCTGGCTCTCTTCACATTGTTCTGTGGGAATTGGGGCTTGGAGGGTCAAAGCAAATATGCTAATACTCTTATTGCTTGCTGTGCTGTGAGTAAAGTCCATTGTCTCTGACCCAGGAATCTTGTGTCTTCTGCCAGCATCCATGAATCTGTCAGGTTATCTTGTGAGCTTACAAGTAGTATAAAGTTTCAGCCCTTCACAGTTCTTGACCAAGTTCTGTTCTCTCTGCCTAAAGGCAGCTTGTGAAAGAATTCTGCCTTTATAGGTCTATGTGAGCCCTATCTCCTATGAGAAAAAGAGAAGAGAGAAGAGAGAAAAAGAGCACATACGTATTGAATGTCCCCTGTTTGCCAAGCCATGCTGAGCTGAGCTGAGCTTCTCCTACATTATCTCATTTAATCCTCATAACACCCTAGGAGTAGATATCATCCTGCCTCTTTCATAGATGAAGAGTCCCAGGCCCAATAAATTGAAGTGACTTGCCAAGATCACTCACAGAGTGTGAGGTTAAAACCTAAGCCCGTCTGTTAAGAGAGCTACTGATCTTTCTGTTATATCATTCTAGGAAGTCCTTTATTTTCTGTGTATTGAATAGATGACCAATCCAAGATAACAAGAGAGATGCTAGCAAGTCTAAAATCATTTCCCTAACCACTCTGTTATCTGTTCTATGATTTTTCCCAGTTCTGTCCCTGGACGTATTCCTCAGCTTAATGAGCACTTCTTCATTTTTGTAGTCTTTTGCCTTTCCTTTTCTAGGACCCCAGCCTCCAGCCAATGTTACTCCTTTTGCTTAGCCTTGGACTTCTTGACTCTTGCTATTGCTCTAGGATATTTTTTTGGAGCGGGGGTCTACTCAGAAGAAAAGATGGGAAGCCCTTTCTCTGATATCACTGTAGAATGAATAACACTGTCCAGACGTCACAGTTCTATTCTAAAGAATTCTTGTTTGGTTTTCAGATGTGACTGGAGTGATTTGCACCCGGATGCCTAGACTCGCCATCTGCTCAAAGACTGCTCAGAAAGCCCTCCCATGCATTCCCCTGCTGCATACCAGCCCACTCTGCCTGCAGCTGCTGTCTGCAGGACTTCATATCTATGCCACACTGTGTAAAAGCTGTGCTTCAAGAAATCACAAAAACATTTTCCTGCACCTACTACACAGCCTGAGTGCGGCATAAGTTGACCTTGCTTGCTAAGAAATGGGGCAAGAAATGCTTTTTTGTGTGTGTCATGTCTGTTTGTTTTTCAATTAAGAGAGGAAAGCATTAGGCAGATGGAATGTACATGTGAGGATGAGGAGACAGAAAACAAGTAGCCCTTTCCATCAAGATAGAGGGTTTTCTGGGGTTGCTGGCTATTGAATGTCACTCCTGATTTCTCTTTCCAAGGCACTGTACCACCAGCCTACTGAGATTGTGTGGGAGCTTTCATGGGGGTTGTATTTCACTGATGAAAATAAATTTTTTGCATAATGTGAATGTTTATGTTTCTTTATAGAATAGACTTAGTTTAGCAATAAGCTAATAATACTGACGTAACTCTAATTCTCTGGGGAAAAAATTTGCTCCCCCACCTTCCATTCCTGCAACATCATCAAAGTACTCACAACAAGAATGAACAAATTAGCAACACTTACTAGCACTGCCTAGACTCAGTGTAAGCAAATTTTGAAATAAAAAGGAAAGCGTGATGGGACATTCTTATGGTTTAAATATTTGTCTCCTCCAAAACTCATGTTGAAATTTAGACTCCAATGTAGTACCATTGAGGGGTGGGGCCTTTAAGAGGTAATTGGGTCATAAGGATCCTACCCTTATGAATGAATTAATCCATTCATGAATTAATGGGTTAGTGGATTAGTGGATGAATAAGTTATCATGAGAGTGGGACTGGTGGCTTTATAAAACAGGAAGAGAGACCTTAGCTAGCACTCAGCCCCCTTGCCATGTAATGTCCAGCACCACCTCAGGACTCTGCAGGGTCCCCCCCAGCAAGAAGGTCCTCACTAGATGTGGTCCCCTGATCTTGGACTTAGCTTCCATAGCTGTAAGAAATAAATTTCTTTTCTTTATAAATTGCCCAGTTTAAGTATTCTGTTACAAGCAATAGAAAATAGACTAGGACACACATAGACCTTGCTTTACGGAGTTTATAACCAATTTGTAGAGAAAGACAATTATTCATTAAAAAAAATAACATACACCAGATGGTAGGTGAAAAGACACACGTGAGCAGCACAAAGTGCTACTGAAGTTGTGAAACAGGTATCATTAGTCTCCTAGTTACCAAGACTCTAAATTGTGGAGTTATCTTCACACCTCAAACCTAATTCACTCCCACACAGGTTCCTTCAAAATGCCTCTTGCAGCCTCCTCTTTCTCCGTTCCATGCCTAATAGCATCACCTTACTTTAAGTCTTTATCAGTTTATATTTAAATTGTTAAAACTTTTTACTTGTCTCCTTGCCACTGGCCACTTCCCACTGGAACTCATGTGGAGCAAAAATTAAACTTCCAAAAGCACCACTTTGATCCTTTTCCTTCCCTATTCAAACACTTCCCTGGATGCCAATTTCCAACTGAAATAAAGTCAAAACTTGAGGATTGGCATGAAAGAAGGATCCAGGTTTGTGCTGACATGGGCTTGGTCCTAGGATGGTGGGAAAAAGAAAGAAAAAAATGAGCAAGTCAAGCAAGACTTGATGGTTGGAATACAGGAGCTGAGAGAAGGTAGCATTACCAAGAATTATGGGCTTGAACCTAGAAGACTGGAAGACGAGCAAAAGGCAAAAATAGAGAAGTGCACATTTAGAAGATGTGTTGAGGTGAAAAGACTCAGGGCTTTCGCAATATCACCTACCACTGAGTATGCACTTAGAGGGACATAGGAGGGGCACCATAGATGCTTGCTGAGCAAATAAATAAAGGAATGAATGAATAAGCCTCCTATTTGCATTATGTCCATCGTTTCACTTTATAACAACCTTAGCTGGGGGTTCTTATTATTATCACAATTTTACTGATATCTAAACCAAGACTCAGAGAGGTTACACAATTTTCCCAGTATCCTCCGGTAAATGAGAGGCAGTGCTGAGATGTGAAGCCAGGTCAACTCGATGTCACAGTCCATCTAGCACGTTCTGCCCTCTGGAAGCATCTAATTGTGTAGCACCTGGAGACGTGGAGCTGTGGGACACATTTGCAAAAGGCGATTGTTTATCGTCAAAGCTGCAGGAGACACTAGAGGAATGTTGCAGAGGACAAAAAAGTAGACATTCTGGACCTCAGCAATGGGAAGTTTTGGAGATAGAGGAAGCGGCACTCTTGAAGGGAATAGAAGAGAAGACCTAACAAAAGAAGAATCACGGAACAAAAAGAGAAAGGAGATTTGTCAGCAAATATGTGATTAACAACATGACAAGCTACAGAAATAGTCTTAACAGGAGCAGTGAGGCAGCCTGGTTTGAATGGAAGGAAAGAGCCTGGACCACAGCAGATAGGCTGTGTTAGAACCACCCTTCTGTTTGAAGCTTGAGCACAGAGGGGAGAAAAAAATAACTTTTTTTCACTTACTGCAAGGGACATGGTGGACGCTCCTATAATAAAAGACAGATTAACAAGAGAAAAGCATAACAAATTTATTTTAAAAGTTTTTTGTGACTCAGGAGGCTTCAGAAATAAAAAAAACCCCAAAGATCCAGGGAAAACGTTGTAAATCTGACGAAACGGTAAATCTGACGAAAGAAGTGTGAAGAAATGTGATTGGACAACAGAAAGGGGCAGAGCCTTATGGTAATGAACTGTGGGGGGCGGGAGCGTGTTGCTGAGAGAGGCCTATTTATTCAGACGCTTCTCGGCCTCTCTGTGCTGCATTTCTTTCCTCCAGATACAGGGCGGTTCATCTCTCACATGAGGGTCTTACGATCTACTTGCAGGAAAGGTAAGACAGAGAATTCCTTTCTGTTTGGCTCTCGCACAGGAACGTGGTGGAAGGTCAGAGAGACCTTGCTTCCTAGGCCCTCTCAATCTCCTTCAGCTCAAAGGGCTTTGGGGTAGTGTTTTCTGACCCCCAACAAGCAAGCTGCCTAAATGACTTGAAATTTATTGTTTGTATTTATCACATGGTGATAATATCCGTTTGGCAGGATTAAATGTGATAATGCTATCATATAGCAAATAGCATCTAACATTTACAAGGCACCAGGCAACAGTCTAAGCCCTCAACACATACTATTTCATTTAATCCATACAACTCTGTTGGGTAGATTTTGTTGGAGTCAGCTTGTTTGCAGATGAGGAAACACAGGTTCAGAGAGTTTAAGTAATTTACTTAAGGTCACACAGCTTGTGAGTAGCAGGGCTGGAATTTAAACCCAACCATTCTGCTCCCAGAAGCTATGCTCTTCACCATCATGCTATGCTAAATTGCGTTAAACAAATTATCCATAAATAGTATTGCCTTTCCTCTCAAGAACACGTGAGCTACATTAATTTTTTAAAAGTAGGTAGATTATAAATATTCAAACCAGAGGTGAACAAACAACAGTCCATAGTCCCCAGATCTGGCCAACCGCCTGTTTTATTGTATGACCTGCAAGCTAGGAATGGTTTTCACATTTTTTAATGATTTAGAAAAATTAAAAAATAATATTTTGAGACGCATGAAAATTATAGTGAAATTCAAATTTTAGTGTCCATAAATAAAGTTTTATTGAAACACATTTTTTTTTACATATTATTTATGCCATTTTTGCCACAGAAGAGCAAAACTGAATACTTGTCAGGGGAACTACAAAGTCTAAAATATTTAATATCTGGCCCTTTACAGAAAAACTTTGCCAACCTCCTGATATAACCAAAAACTTTCTTTGGCTAACGGAAGAGAAGCGATTTAAGGGCTTGAATTTCTCAGGAAATTCTTCACCCCTCCTGGCGCCCCATCCTCTCATATTCTCCACTGGCTGCACGCGCACCTGCACTTCATTAGAGAACAGTCATGGGGAGGAAAGAAATCCCCGACAGAGTAGTTTGTTGCATTTCTTGGGTGGAGAAAGAAGGCGGGAGGAGGCTTGCTGGGTAGGGTGAAGGTGAGGCTTTCTTCTCAGTCCTGAATTACAGCCAGATGAGTGTATCCCTGTTTCGTCTCCAGAATTATAACTTTTAATAAGCATGGAAGTGCAGGAGCTTAGCACTGTGGAGGAGACACAATGGCCAAGTCACATCACAGGTGTCTTCTCTCTGAGGCTGGTCCATGATCAGCAAAGCAACCAGCTCAGCCCCCTTCCCAGTGTCTATTTGCTTTCTCAGGCTTACTGTGACGAATTCACTGGGAAGTGGCAAAGCCTCGGGGGCTTTTGCACAGAGCCAGGGGCCAGTCCCTTGGGTTCTGTGTGGAGCTTTGTCAGCAACCTTCCAGCCTGTTGGTGGCAAGTCAGTTGCTCTCTTTCTGCCTTACTTAGCATAATTAAACTGAAGATAGTTTACCAAAGTCAGTGTGTTCAGGCATCCAGCCTGTAAGATATTAAGTAAGCAACAGAATGACAACAGCAAGGATGTGTAGGCTTTCTAAAATTTTTAAAAATTTTTTCTAAAATTGTGGCAAAATATATATAACCTAAAATTTACCATTTTAACCATCTTTAAGTGTACAGGTCTGTAGCACTAAGTACATTCACAGTGTTGTGAAACCATCCATCTCCAGAACTATTTCATCTTGCAAAACTGAAACTCTGTACCGATTAAACACTCCCAATCACTCTCTCCTTCCAGTCTCTGGCAACCATCTTTCTGCTTTCGGTCTCTGTGAATTTGACTACTCTAGGTACCTCATATAAGTGGAATCATACAGTATTTGTCCTTTTGTGACTGGCTCATGCCACTTAGTATGTCTTTGACATTCATCCATGTTGTAACATGTATCAGAATTTCCTTTTTTCTTTTTTTTTCGAGACGGAGTCTCCCTCTGCTGTCCAGGCTGAAGTGCAGTGGCACAATCTCAGCAAACTGCAACCTCGGCCTCCCAAGGTCAAGTGATTCTCCTGCCTCAGCCTTCTGAGTAGCTGGGATTACAGGGGCCCGCCACCACGCCCTGCTAATTTTTGTATTTTCAGTAGAGATGGAGTTTCACCATGTTAGCGAGGCTGGTCTCAAACTCCTAACCTCAAGTGATCCACCAGCCTCAGCCTCCCAAAGTGCTGGGATCACAGGCAAAAGCCACCACACCCAGCCGAATTTCCTTCTTTTTAAAGGCTGAATAATATTCCATTACATATATATGCCACATTTTGTTCATCCATTGATGGACACACGGGTTGCTTCCCTCTGTTGGCTGTTGTGAATAATGCTGCTATGAACATGGGTGTATGCGTGTCTGTTTGAGCCCCTGCTTTCAATTCTTTTGGGTATATGCCCAGGAGCAGAATTGTTTTATCATATGGTAATTCTATTTGTAATTTTTTGAGGAAGCTTCATACTGCTTTTGGTAGCGTTTCTGTGGAACATATAAGGCCAGGAGGAGTGGCAGCCTAGCTGGGTAGATAGGCGCCAGATCCTAGACTTTGAGTTTTATTAGGGATGTGATTAGAAGACTTTGCAAGTTTATCCCTTGGACCAGTCCTCAGTGCATATAATTGTTTGTTGAATTGATTTTAATCTAGTACAACAATGATTTATGTTTCTTTCTTCTCAGACTTTGGCTCCTCCTGTTCTTTATTTTTGTTTTCTGTTTTTGTTTTTACCACTTCGTTCCAATCTGACAATAGCGGCTTTCCTTTTATTTTATTTTTACTAGAGATACATCTCAGATATAGAAGAACATAAATAACGCTGGGCCATGAGTTTAGACAAAAACAAAACAACAGAAAGTGAACCCCTCCAAGAAAATAATGAAGCTACCTACATAGGTTAGGCTCAGTTGCGCTTCCAAATGTGTTTTAAATTAAGTCATCTCAACCGTGACTACAAGTTCAAAATATTGAAAGCAACCTTATTGGAATTGGAACAAGGCATATTTGGTTTCCTCTGAAGGATTTTTTTTAAGTGTAGTTAATAGCAGAGCTCTGAAATGTAAAAATACAGGAAAAGAAAGCCCATATGCAAATTACTCTCCTAGTAAATGGCATTAAAACTCGCCATCTTTCAGAAGTTGTGATCGCTTGGTAAAATCTCACTTATATGAAAGTGCTTAGGTAGCAACTGCATTTGTGTGAGTAAGGCCAATCAAGTGGAAGTAAGCAGAAGAATTTGGAGCAATCTAAACAAATATTCAGAGTCCATAGACTCAGATAGGTTTTGCCTTTATTTTACTCGCAATACGTACAGGCAAACGTGGTTGCCTAGTTCCCCAAGAGGACAAAATGGAAGGAATAATTTACAAGCAAGCAAAAAGAGAGTTGGCTAAAATCAGGCAAAAGGGCTAAATCTGAAAAAAAAAAAAAAAATACTACTGAATTTATAAGGAGGGGATAGTAAAAACAGGAAAGGTACACAAACCCTGAAAGAAAACACTGCCACAGCATGCAGAGTATCCTTGAATTATTTGACCGGGAAATCGACGCTTTCCCATCTCAACAGCCTCCAGTGCATCTCCACAGGAAGGCGTAGCATCCAAATTGATGCTCATAATGATTTCTTCCATCATTATGGTTATACCTTAAACAGTTGGGCCACAAAGTAGTAAAAATGAACTACTCTGGGAAATTCACATCTGCAGAGATAACTGGATCTTATGATGCCAGTTAAATGAGGTATCAGATTACAGCATCTAATCTTAGCATCATTTTGTTTGTTTGTTTGTTTGTTTGAGTCTTGCTCTATTGCCCAGGCTGGAGCGCAGTGGCCTGATTTGGGCTTACTGCAACCTCCACCTCCCAGGTTCAAGTGATTCTTGTGCCTCAGCCTCCCAAGTAGCTGGGATTACAGGCACCTGCCACCAGACCCGACTAATCTTTGTACTTTTAATAGAGACGGGGTTTCACCATGTTGGCCAGGCTGGTCTCGAACTCCTGACCTCAAGTGATCATCCTGCCTTGGCCTCCCAAAATGCTGGGATTACAGGCGTGAGTCACTGCACACGGCCCTTAGCATAATTTTATGTTTAATTATAGTAGTAACAAAACTTTATAGTTAGAGAGTTTATATAGTTTTCCTACATACTAAATATGATCTTAGGAAAGACTCAGTTTCCTTATCTGTCAAATGATGATGATAATAAAAGTACATCCTAGATCTGTTGTGAGGAGAAAATGAGATGATGCATGGAAGGCACCCAGCATTTTACATAGCCTGTGTTTCCTAAACATTAGATAGCATACAGTGCCACTGTATGATCACCACCGTCACCTCTGCCACCACCACACTGTTGTCTAATACTGTTGATCTTTATGACAACACTGTACCTGGGCTCCTATCCTCGCTCTATCATTTATGATCTGTGTGACCTTGGGAAGTCAGAACTTCCTTCTGCTTCAGTTTTCTCATCTGGAGAATAAAGACAATGCTATATAATATCTACCTTATTCAGTTGCTAGAAGAATTAAGTGAGATAATAATAAAAAACATTTAAAATAGGGAGAAGCACAGGGCAAGCATTTAAGTAACATTAGCTATGCTTATTATTATTGTTATTATTCGGTATCATTTCTAAGGAAAGTAGTTCTCAAAGTGTGGAGTGGGGACCCCTGGTGGTCCCTTTTTTAGGCAGTCCATGAGGTGAAAACAATTTTCATAGTGATACTAAAATGAGTGCCTTTTTCACTTCCATTCTCTCAAGTATGAAGTGTTTACCTGAGGCTACATGAAGTACGATATCAGTACAGATTGAATGCAGTCTTAACTCTAGCTGCCTTCTGTTAAACACTAAAGAAATTTGCAGAAATGTGAAACAATGCTCCTCT